>NC_000003.12:59100909-59403939 GCF_000001405.40 Homo sapiens
GCATTGGTCTCCCTGGGAGCTAGAGACCAGAGCAATTCCTATTCAGCCATCTTGGCCCCTCCCCCGCAAGGCCACTCTTAATAAAAGGCAAGGACACTTGTTGGACCTCGGTTAGAGGCCCAGTTTAGGAGGGTTAGAGTCTCTTCTACGATTTAGGGGGTTAGAGGCACCTCTTGGTAAAGTCCCTTTAAGAACAGGTTTTGCACTATGGGGTGCTAACTGCTATTCTCTTTGGATTAATCTGCCTTGTACTCTTTGCTGATGGCTGTGGGTGACAGGCATGGACAGGATTGTGGGACATGAGGAGTTTTTTCCTCCCTAAAAGAGGAAACTTGAGAGGTGATGAGACTGCTGGAAAAAAATCCCTTTACGACAGCAGCTGCAGCTGCCTGAACTTTTCAGTGTCGCCGCAATGTGTGGGTCTTTCTCCTGGCCTCCCTGATCATTTCACCTTCCCCACCCTGCCAACAGGCAATGCTTTTCTTCTCTACTTTTTATTTCCCTTTGTTATCTTTTCTATTACTCAGGGCAACCAACTTGCCCAGAGACCATGTGTTGAAACTCCTAGCCAGAGGTTGGATTAAAGATGACAGGGCCCTTCTGGGGGCAAATTTAAGCCTTGCCAGTCTGATATTGGGTGCTAAGCAGAATGACTAATGTCTATGTTTTATCACATGTATTTTGCTCTGGCCAGAGCAAAAAAAAATTATTCTCCTTTATAATGCGGCTTGGCCCCCAGGGCTATGGTGTCACAAGCTGAATCACTAGGGTTGCTCAGGGAAAGGGAAACCAGAAGCCTGGCATGCTGGCAAAAGGGTAAGAATTTCTTACCAGTCAGATTTCTGGCTGCTCTCTGTGCAGTTGAATGGATGGTAAATAAATAAATAAATAAATAATCAGTGTTTATCTCCTCTGTAAAGTTTTGATTAATGCGAAAAAGAATTCTAAGGCTAGTCTTAAGCTGGTGTATTTTGTGCTATGAATGTGTTTTTCTGTGTCAAGGGGTACTTTAGGTGCAAACACTGGCTTAGAACACTTGTAAGCCCACTTTTCAAGACCACCCAGCAAGCTGGTCCATAACAAACTTGGCTGCAGGTCCCTGAAACAAACGAAAAACTGAATGAAGTCTCCACGTTGTTTTATGTCCTTGGGAGCTTGGCCTTTTAACCAGGTGGTGGTACTTTCTTTTGGTCTCTGTCTTCAGGAAACAGGAATTTTAGGGTTCATGTCAGAGTTAGCTCTAAAAATCCTATCACATAGTTAAAAGCCTCTGCAAGCTCAGGATTCACTACTCTAGATTCCTCGTGGGAAAGGAACTGGAGACTGCCCTGTGCTGTAGTTATGTCTCCTGTTAGCTTTTGAATTTGTTTGCTACTTCTGCCCAGTAGCTGCTAGTACTAGCTGCCTAGTAGCTAATGTTTTGCACTTTCACAGTGGCGGTCTGAGTTCAATTCCCCACCTAGGAAGTAAGTCATTTCTGGTTTAATATCTGTGTGACCTTGTCTATTCTCTTCTCCATGGACTGCCTTAATTTTTTGTTTCTCTAAGCACCTAGGAGGTTACCTTTGGCAAAGTTCAGAAACTAGAAATATTGGCCACTTGGCATGGCCGAAGTCGGGTAATAAGAGATCTGGAAGGATTTCTTTTTTAAAGAGCACCATGGTTAAAAATCAGCTTAATTAAAAGTGGATAAACAAGCTATACATATATTTTAAAGGCCGTTATGTTTTTGTCTCCTTGGAACTTTTTTTTTCTGGAAAAAGGTGTTTCTTCTCTGTCAATTGAATTATTTTTTCTCCAATTTTTTTTTTTTTTTGTCTTGCCACTCTTCAAGCACACATGAGAGACCCTAAGATAACTTCGGGTAGCCTGGGACTCCTTGGGAGAAACAGAGGAGGCGCCACAGACCCCGTTTTGGGGAAAAAAACCCTCTGTTTCCCTCATGAAACCCCAGGAATTAAAAGCAAATAGATCCCTCTAAAACTCAAAGGCACTGTTCTGTTTTGCATTGTGTTATCTAACGGTTTTGAGTTTTGGGGTATCAGAAATTACTTTGCATTATGAGAGAGCTTTCGTGTGTAAGAACTAGGTAGGAAATATACTTTAAGGGATGGCTAATAGTAGTTATGGAGGGATACTTGACTCTTTGTACACTCAGCTCAGACAAGCATGCTCTTGGCCACTTGGGAGATAAGGAAACATCCCCACCCCCCACTGGGAGATGAGACACCCTTGAGGGATAGGCTGATGACAAAATGGGCTGATTGGCTTTGGGTTGCCTTGCAAGAAATGCAGAGTAGAAGCACTGCGCTATCTTCTTCCATAGTATTTCCCTCCTTTTGGGGATCCAGGAACCAGTATAAAATGACACCCTTAATTTTGGGGATCTGTCTGCCTTCAGCTGCTTATTTGCTGCTTATTTGGCCGTAAGAACGCATGCTTTTCTGGCCCTGTTCCTCCAAGGGCTCCATCCTGAAGCCAGTAATTCAATTAAGAAACTGGCAAACGAAAAATCTTACAAGTGCTGAATCTGTCTGTCTGTGTATTTATATGTGTTATATGTTTACATATAAAAGAGCTCTAATTAATTGGCTTAGAAAAATAAGCACTTAAATCAAATATTTTGTCAGAAAAATAGAAACTTTAATGCCTTTTTGTTCATGTAACTTTAGTAATCTTTTGGAAATAGTTTTAAAGATTATTAGTAAAATTATCTTGAAAATGTAGACATTTGGTCTAAATTAACGTCAGATATCAGATTTGCTAAATGCTTTAAGGTTGAACTGTTTATTTGACTTTTGAAAACTGTTTAATTTACCTACCTTAAAGCCATTAGATTCTAGATAGGGCCTGGGAACATGTGGAGTTAGCCTGAGAGTTAGCAGTCAGCTCCTATCTGCACTTCTGCCTGGTGTGTCCTAGGCTAGACTCCCCACCTAGTACACAATTAAAATAGCTTATTAACCAGGGTTTTCACCAAAAATGAAAGTCACTAAAAGTTAACATTGTAACATGTAATTAAGACTACTGAAGAAACAGTGTTTTTTTTTTGTTGTTGTTTGTTTGTTTATTTGAGACGGAGTCTTGGAGTCTCTCACTGTCGCCCGGGCTGGAGTGCAGTGGCAGGATCTCAGCTCACTGTAACCTCTGCCTCCCAGGTTCAAGCGACTCTCCTGCCTCAGCCTCTCGAATAGCTGGGGTTACAGGCACCCACCACGATCCCCGGCTAATTTTTTGCGTTTTTAGTAGAGACGGGGTTTCACTGTGTTAGCCAGGATGGTCTCGATCTCCTGACCTCGTGATCTGCCCACCTCGGCCTCCCAAAGTGCTGGCATTACAGGCATGAGCCACCGGGCCCGGCCTACTGAAGAAACAGTTTTACATGCAAGATGTATAAGAAAAGTGAAATGAGTTTTTGGTAAAAAAAGATTACAAGAAGGCATGGGAATGTGGAATTTCTTCAGCCTAGATTAAAGTGTTAAAGGATTGTTTTAAGTAAGAAAAAAAATCTAAAGGTTTAAACAAGTTGTGAAAGATTTGTAAAAATTAATTCTAAGAGATTCTATGTGTGAACATATTGGCTATTATTCAGTTTTTCTGTAAATTAAACACTGAAATAGAAGCACAACAGGTTTTTCTTAAAGCACTGATCTGCTCTTTCACAAAAAAATGTAAAGGGTTATAAAAGGTTTATAAGAATCTTATGTTATGGTTAAACATTAAAATTGGGTAAATATATCTATAAGGTTTTATTAAAAATTGAGTTTAATGTTAATAGTACATTATTATAAAGGAGAAATTTGGCTCATTTGGTATAAAAATCATACAGAAAGCATTATCGAATGTGAAGTAGTGTTTTGCTTTCTTTGGACTATATTTGCATAAATGTGTTATGTTCCAAAGTTATGGGAAACTTGGCTTTGGATTGCCTTGCAAGAAATGCAGAGTAGAAGCACTGCACTGTCTTCTCCCATAGTATTTCCCTCCTTTTGGGGATCCAGGAACCAGTATAAAATGGCACCCTTAATTTTGGGGATCTGTCTGCCTTCAGCTTTACCATGATTTGTCTTTAGTAAAAATGGGAAACTGGAGAGAGAAATATTATGTTTCAAGAATTATAGCACACTGGTTATTGAATTCTAGTATCAGTTGTTTTTAAGTTTGTTTCTGCAATTTAGGCTAACCCTGCTTATTCCTGTAAACCAACCAGTGATTTTTGACTGTTCCTCAGAAGAAACAAGAGGGATGGGTAATGTAAAAATCTGGATCGGTATTCTAATTCCGGGCACATTACAATCAGCTAACAACCCCATATCAGCTTAGTTCCAACAGTTGCCCAGTTCATGAAAAGCCTTCTAATTTAGTTTACTTGGAATAACTTCACTTATTTTGCTTTAATCTTGTGGAATATATTGCTGTTATACTGTTTGTGCAGGAATACAGGACAAGCTTACTGAGTGCTTTCTTAAATTATACACTTATTAATCTTCCAGATATCACCTTCTGTCGCAACTCAAGAGTTTATAAATGGACCTTACCATACTGATGCTTTCCAACTGAGCTCCTCTCTACCCTGAATGCAAGAGACCCTCATAGTTAGGAAGAAATATTATTACCCCTATTCAGCCTGAAGAAGTTACAGAAGACAGATGTTTGTCCCTCTGCAAACCTTAGGATTAAGGATTCTTTTATAAAAGGGAGGGGGGAAATGTCAGAGGCCTGTGAGCCAGAGCAACTTTATCTTAAACAGGAGCTGGGTAAAATGAGGGTGAAACCTACTGGGCTGCATTCCCAGATGGTTAAGGCATTCTAAGTCACAGGATAAGTTAGGAGGTCAGCATAAAATACGGGTCATAAAGACCTTGCTGATAAAACAGGTTGCAGTAAAGGAGCCAGCCAAAACCAAACAAAACCAAAATGGCCACGAGAGTGACTTCTGGTCGTCCTCACTGCTGCTCTCCCACTAGCACCATAACAGTTTACAAATGCCATGGCAACGTCAGGAAGTTACCCTATATGGTCTAAAAAGGGGAGGCATGAATAATCCACCCCTTGTTTAGCATATCATCAAGAAATAACCATAAAAATGGGCATCCAGCAGCCCTTGGGGCTGCTCTATAGAGTAGCCATTCTTTATTCCTTTACTTTCTTAATAAACTTGCTTTCATTTTGAAAAAAAAAAAAAAAAAAAAGAGCAAACTGCTGTAAGAGTAAAAAGAAAGCTCCAAAAAGGGATGAAACTTTCAGAAATATGAAGAGAATCCATAAAAACCTGTGTTGACAGTTCTAGACACAACTGCTACTTTCAATGTCTAGTTTCCAGTTTCTTTGAGTAAAAATGATTCATCATGCCAAACTTCATGCCAAGCCTTCTATCAACAAACTGACCCTTTAGAATTCAGTAAAGTAAGAAGGCCAAACTTTGCAAACTTTATGCAACCTTTCAGGACACTGATTAAATAAAAGCATGAAGAAGGGCTTTGAAATTCAGTTTGTAAAGGCTATTTGACCAAGGAGGGCAATATATTGAGCAAATATTTGAATATGTGGTAAAGTAGCACAGGCACAGTCAAGTGAGACTGGTGGTAAAACAGAAACACATTGCTAACAGAAGAAGATTCTTCATAACTTCTTGCAGTATCCAAACTCATGTTACTGACGTGTCCCACTGTCATGTCCAGCTTCAGGCAATATTGTCCTTGTTTTAGTCCATTCCTATTGCTATGGAATAAGCAATAGGAATTCCTGTTGCTATGGAATAAGCTATGGAATGGACTAAGACTATTGCTATGCTAAAATACCTTAGACTGCGTAATTTATAAATAACATAAATTTAGTTCTCATAGTTTTGGTGGTTGGGAAGCCAAAGATCAAGGTGACAGCAGATTCAGTGTCTGTAAGGACTCATTCTTTGATTCCAAGATGGCAACTTGTTACTGTATCCTCCCAAGGGGACAAACACTATGTCCTTACATAGCTGAAAAGATGGAAGGGCAAAAAGAGCCTAGCTCATTCCCTCCAGACCTTTTATAAGGCACTGAGCCCATCCATTAAAATGGAGCCCTCATGGCCTCATCACCTCCTAAAGGACCCGTCTGTGAACACTGTTGCATTGGGGATTTAGTTCCGGCATGAATTTTGGAGGAAACACGAATATTCAAACCACAGTGGTCCTGAAATACCACAGACCATTAAGTTCTAGTAGAAATACAACATAAGCCACATAAAAATGTTTAGTAGTTACATTAAAAATGGTAGAAAGAGATAAAATTAATTTTATCAATATATTTTGTTGACCCCAGTATATCCAAAACATTATTTCGATATATAATCTTGTAAAAAATTATTGAGAAATTTTACTTTTTTTTTTTTTGCCAAGTCTGAAATATGCCATTTCTTTCGTACTTACAGCACACCTCAATTAGGACTAGCCATATTCTAAGAGCTCAATAGCCACATGCATGCGGCTAATGGCTACCATATTGGATAGTACAGTTCTAGTCATATATAAAATATCCTGTTTTTAGGAGTCTCCATAGGAGATAATTCTTCAACTTTTTTCTGGGACCCCATTCCAGTTTTCAGTGATGCTCTAAAAATGCTCTCAAATGTACCCTAAGTCCCTATTGCCAGTGTTTGACTGTTTCATCTCATGCTGTTATTATACAATAAATATTTATTGACTCCCTACTATATACTAGATTTTATGTTAGGTGTTGGGATATAATGGTGAGCATCAATACTGTGCTTTCTGCTTTAAGGTGCTTACACTAATATACAAGAGAAATATTAAACAAATGAGCAAATTAAATCTGTACTTGTGACATGAATTAGTATGGAAAAGTTCCGTGAACTATGAGAATTTGTAACAGGAGGACCTCTCTTACTCTGGAGGGACTGAGAAGCTTCCCCAGTGAAGCAGTCTTTGACTTGAAATCAGAGCCTCTTGTGTCAGGGCTCAGAGGCAAGAAAGAGTTTGCATTTTCAAGGAACTAACAGGAGGATGATGTGGCTCCAGTGGAAAGAGCTAAGGCAAGAATGATTCAAAATGAGGTAGGGGAGTTAGTCGGAGACCAAACACATGTGACTTTAGGTCATATTAAGGACCAGGATCTTCTGCCAAAGAGTAACAGAAACCACTGTATTACTGGATTTACATATTGGAATATCACTCTGTTGTAGACTGGAGAATGGATCTGAAGGGAAAAGGGTGAATGTGAGAAGACCTTTCAGGGAGCTACTTTTTAATCCAAGTAAGAGAACTGAGGCAGTGACTGTCTAATGGCATAAACTGATGACCTTGAGACATATTTAGTAAATAAAACTGCTAGGACTCTGACTGACTGGGTGGAGGAGACTGCAGGAAATGGGGAAGAGGCGTGTCCAAGCTGACTCCTGGCTTTCTGACTCGTTCAAGTAAGTGGATGTGCATGTGTTGCTTCTTAAAGAGAGTTCTCTTAGCTCTCCTCTGGATAGAAATTTGAGGGTAAGGTATTCCTCATCTAAAATAAAAAATACAGTGTTAATTTGCCTGTCATTTCTTTCTTGAATCAGAATGTAATTCTTTGGTGTTAAGGGTAGGATGTTATAAAGAAAAAACATTAACCATGAGCTTCTGTCCATCTGTTAAGCTTTACTTACTGAATAATCACTCAGTAAATAAACTGGATGAATCACTTAATGATTTTACTGTTTTGAAAGCTAGTGTATGTTTTCTTATAAATTAAATAATCTTTCCGTGACAGACAGTATTATTGCCGTAGTACTGTCATGAGTATTATGACAGTCTTTGCAGAGGAAGGAAACAATCAAAACAATCAAAGGAATACAATCAAAGAACAATTTGTCTGACCTTGAAGTTTTGTAAACCAATTAAGAAACCACAACAATAAAGCTTTTATTTTTCTTTACAATTGGTTTGCACAGATTCATAATTATTCGTAGCTAATCATTAAAAATTACATCTCTTTTAAAATTAGTTATTAAATATGTAACTTACTTCCTAATCAAAGTCAAATCACATGAAGACTTCAAATTGCCAGATAATTCAAAATAGTTGGACACTGACAATCATGTTCATTCATTTATTCATTCATTCATGGGATAATAATTAAGTGTCTAGATACTTAACACAATAGACAACCCTTTAGGGGTTTACAATATAGTGGTGAAGGCATAAATGAATAAACACATAAATAAATAAATAATGCATTGTCAGTAGTGATAAGTATTATTATTAAAAACAGACAGGGATAAAAAGCCATAGAGCTGGGTGTGGTGGCTCACACCTGTAATCCCAGCACTTTGGGAGGTGGAGGTGGGCGGATCATGAGGTCAGGAGATCGAGACTATCCTGGCCAATATAGTGAAACCCCATCTCTACTAAAAATACAAAAATTAGCTGGGTGTGGTGGCATGTGCCTGTAATCCCAGCTACTCGGGAGGCTGAAGCAGGAGAATCGCTTGAACCCAGTGAGCCGAGATCGCGCCACTGCACTCCAGCCTGGCAACAGAGTGAGACTCCGTCTCAAAAAAAAAAAAAAAAAAAAAAAATCACAAAAGCCATAGAGCAACGACAAGAGCTGTCTTAGCTCCACCATGAAGAAAGATCTCTCAGTATGGGAATATTTGAGCAGTGCCCCAAGGAAGTGAGGGAGTAATCTGGGAAAATATCTGGCATAAAGAGCCTTTTAGGCACAGGGAAGCAAGTGCAAAGATTCTGTGGTGGGCATCATGCATCTTCCAGGAACAGCAAGGAAGCCAGTGCTGCTAAGCTACAGTGAGAAAGGTGCTATAGTTTGGATATGGATTGTCCCCGACAAAACTCATGTTGAAATTTGATTCCTAATGTCGTGGTATTGGGAGGTGGGGCCTAGTGAGAGGTGTTTAGGTCACAGGGGTAGATCCCTCATGAATGGCTTCATGGTATTCTTACAATAGTTAGTTCTTACTCTGGCAAGACTAGCTTAGTTCTTATGAGAATTGATTAGTTGCTTCAAGAGTGGGTTGTTATAAAGCCAGGGCATCCCTTTTGTTTTCTCTCTTCACATGTGTCTGCTTCCCTTTTGACCTTTTCCACTATGCTGTCACCACAAAAGCCCTCACCAGAAACCAGAACTCTCTCCTTAGACTTCCCAGCCTGCAGAACCATGAGCTAAATAAACCACTTCTCTTTAAAAATTTTCCAGTCTTGAGGCGGAGGTTGCGGTGAGCTGAGATCGTGCCATTGCACTCCAGCCTGGGCAACAAGAGCGAAACTCCATCTCAAAAAATAATAATAATAATAAAATAAAATAATAAAATAAAGTGTCCCAGTCTTAGGTATTCTTTTATAGCAACACAGAACAGACTAAGACAGAGGGAACAATGGAGGAAATGAGATCAAAAAGGTTATGAAAAGTCACATTATAATTCTTAAGGTCATATAAAGATTTGGGTTTTTATTCTAAGTATGATGGGAGGCATTTGGAAGGTTTTGAGCAGGAGAAAGATTTCAGTTTAGATGCAGCGTATATAAGAAAGAAGATAATCAGCCATGATTCCTAGGTTTTTGGCCTGAGCAATTGGATTCATGGTGACACTAATTGAGGTGGTGAAAACAAAGGAGGAATGAATTTAGAGAAGAGATCAACATAGTTCGGTTTGGAGCATGTAAAATTAGAAATTGAACATTCAAGTAGAGGGTAAAACTAAAAAAACTCTTTATTCTAGTATTATGTGTAGTAGCAAAACATTGGGCTTTCCAAATATTCATCAGTAGAGCATGCACTTGTTAAATAACCTTCATTATAGCAGCACAGTAAATTATGAGTTTGTAAAGAGAATAAGGTATATCTTCTATAGAGGATCTTTAGTATATGTATTATATATGAAGAAAAGAAAGGTAGAGAAAAGTAGTATGTATTGTATGTTACCACTTTTAAAGGGTGGACGTTGTGGTTTTGGTATGTCTCACAAAGTCTATGTATTGAAAGGTTAATTCCCAATGCAGCAGTGTCAAGAGCTGGGACTATTAAGAGGTGATTAGGTCCTGAGGGCTCTGCTCTCATGAATGAATTAATGTCATTATTGTGGGAGTGGGTTAGTTATCACAGAGTGGGTTCCTAATAAATGGATGAGTTTGGCCCCCTTCCTTTCTCATGCACATGTGATCTCTTGCCCTTCTTCCTTCTTCCATGGGATGACGCAGTAAGAGGGCCTTCACCAGATGTGGGTCCCTCAACCTTGGACTTCCCAGCCTCCAGAACTGTTAAGAAATAATTTTATTTTCTTTATAAATCACTCAGTCTATGGTATTCTGTTACAGTAACACAAAACAAACTAAGACAGGTGAGGTAAAAATACATCTATGTTTGGGCCAGGTGCGGTGTGGCTCACGCCTGTAATCCCAGTACTTTGGGAGGCCAAGGCGGGCAGATCATGAGGTCAGGAGTTCAAGACCAGTCTGGCCAACATAGTGAAACCCTGTCTCTACTAAAAATACAAAAAATTAGCTGGGTGTGGTGGTGTGCACCTGTAATCCCAGCTGTTCAGGAGGCTGAGACAGGAGAATAGCATGAACCCAGGAGGCAGAGGTTGCAGTTAGCCAAGATCATGCCATTGCACTCCAGCCCAGGCGACAGTGCAAGACTCCATCTCAAAAAAAAAAAAGAAAAAAGAAAAAAAAAGAAATACATCTATGTTTGCATTTATAATATATAGTTACATAATACATTTATTTGATGATAAAACATATTGATTATTCTTTAGGAGGGAGAAAATAGTGTGAAGGAGACAGAGATAGGAGGTAGATTTCCCTGAACATAATTTGACTTTTAGATTTGACTTTGTAACAATGTAAATATTTTATATAATTATAAAACAAAATAAAAATGATCCTAAAAATCAGAAGCAAACTAAAGCAAATGAATCTAAATGTATTGAGTTGGTGGCATACCCACAGAGAGGGGAATTATTTTAAGTAAGTTTAAATTATGGTTAACTATATTAAAGCTTTCTTTACATTCCTAGTGGATTATATCTAAAGGACCAACTGAAAAAACAAAAAGGACAAAATAATCTTAAACTGTTTTTGGTAATCATGTTATCGATGGTAATGTAAGTGCTGTTCTCAAACTGAGGAGTATATATTGTGGGATAAAGTAAATAGGATATAATATGATAATGAGATGCTGCAAGCTGGGACATTTGGTATAGGATAAAAGAGATACAGATAGAAGTAATAAGATTGATGAGCTTAAGAAAAGTTCTACAGTCTTGGATTTGAATTGGAAGTATCAGTATGAACACGTGCTCTATTTTATTGCTTTGTAAAAAGTATGTTGTAGCCCTTTCCCTAAAATAACCTGAAAAACAATGATAACCTCACAGCAGTGAACACCTCTACTGTCCTAATTGTGGTCTCTGTATCTTCATTCTCATTAAAAGGAACCAGAATTTGATGAGTAAATGGCAGATTCTAGAATCTAGGGCAAAAAGTTTACAAGATAAGCCTGGAACATCTTGTCCTACCAGAAAGTAAGCTAAATATTAAAAACAACTGGGATTGTGACAAAAGGGTGCAGGAATCATCTTGAGCAGGTTTTTTTTCCTGGACAAAATCTGGAACACTTTGAACATAATTAGGAAAATAATAGCAGCAAATTGAAGCATATGAAATAGGTTTAAATTCATGAGTTTATAATGATAGCAAAGAAATTATTGGTCACTTTTGGAAAATTCTAGGTAATCAACTCATTGTTCTGGAAAAAAAAAAAGCTAAGAATATTCTTTGTTTTTCGTTTTTTTTTTTTTGAGATGGAGTCTCACTATGTTGCCCAGGCTGGAGTGCGATGGTGTGATCTTGGCTCACTGCAACCTCTGCCTCCCAGGTTCGAGTGATTCTCCTGTCTCAGCCTCCCAGATAGCTGGGATTATAGGCGTGCGCCACCATGCCTGGCTAATTTTTGTATTTTTAGTGGAGACAGGTTTCAGCATGCTGGCCAGGCTGGTCTTGAACTCCTGACCTCAAGTGATCCACCCTCCTCGGCTCCCCAAAGTGCTGGGATTACAGGCATGAGCCACTACACCCGACCAAGCTAAAAATATTCTTATCTTTCCTTTCAAACTATATCCCTGGGTAACCAAATATTTGGTGAGGAAAAATGTCTACTTATGGGTATTCCAAAGAATAAATGAAGAAGGTGGAATTTGAATATCACTATTTTGCAATCCTAACAAGTTAGTGGATCTCGGCAGTGATCACCAATTGTTGCTGACATCCCATACAAAGAATCAACTAGGCATTATTTGCCTTCTGATGGAAATATGTGACATACCTTATGAGCTATTCTTGCCAAAAAATAAACCCTCTGGATCTAACAACCAACTTACAGGACATACTAGATACAGAAGAACATGTTGAATCACACCACTGGGGATGTGATCAGCAAAACCCGTACTGTAGGATACTCCAGAGGGGAATAAATGTCACTGCATGAACAAATTCACTGTAAGAAAAGTAAAGGAGAAACAAGAGGGGACAAATATCAACCACCTGTAGGTACTGGCCTTATTTGGGTCCTGGTTTTAACACACAAAAAAAGATGAGGGGAAAAGACAGAGAGAAAGAGTCAGGCAGTGCTTGTAGAATTTCAACACCTGTAGAAACTCGAACATTGACTGAATATTTGATAATATTAAGGAATTATTATAGACTAGAAACAAGACACACAAGTAGTAATGGGCACATCTAGTACCCAGATCTTAGTTTCCAAATATCATTTCTTAGTAAAGGAATCAAGTTTCTTTGGAAAAAACGACTGATGTCAGTGAAAATACAAAGAAGTCTGGTGCTATAACACAACTGTTCAGGGACTAATGGAGATGTGAACAATCACAGAAGCTGAATACAATGGCCTTCCACTGTGAAAATCTGGGACAATTTGAGCATCAAAAAATTATGAAAGTAATAGATTATAGCACATTGAATAAAAGAAATTTCTGAGTTCATGAGATATTTAAAGAATGAAAGAGAAATAGAGAAAGGGAAATATGAGGGAAAGCTCTTATTTGGAGACAGTAGGAGCATAAATATGTCAGCCAATAAAAGTAGAAGGAATTGCAGAATTAGGAAATCTTTCTTTTGCAGTTATCTATGTAACACTTGAGCTTGGCAAAGACTGTTGATAGAAGCTATAACTATTGGATCAAAGTTGTTGGAGAATAGAGTATTCACATGATAGTGAAATACCTTCTCACAGATAAACTGCTAATTACAAAAAAATGTATCTTCAGCAAGTGATTACATTTACTTTTGTGAGGAAAGGTACTGATACCAATGACGATAGTATTTCAATCTTTTTTTCAGATGCAAGTACATATCACTTATCCAGTGTTCTTACAAAAAAGATGTTTCAACTGAATCTAATAATGAGGAAATAATCAGACAAATCCATTATATAGAGTGATCAGTAAGACAACTGGTCTAGACTCTTAAAACTCAATGTCATAAAAAACAGATAATGTAAAAATGCTATTCTAAATTAAAAGAGGATAAAGAGACATAACAAGGAAATGCAATGGGTGAAACTTGATTTGGATTCTAAGTGTGGAGAAAATGCTATAAAAGACATATTGGAGGCTTCTGGGGATATATAAAGACAGTATATTAGGTGATGTTACTAAATTATCAATTTTCTAAAAATGGTCATGGCATTGTGGTTATATAGGAGAATATCTTTACTCTTAGGAGATGCTGGCTGGAATATTTAGGGGTAAAGTATTACAGTGTCTTCAATTTGCCTTCAAATAGTTCTTAAAATATCTGCATGTGTATATACATGTATATATGTATTAAGAGAGACTAAAAATGTGGCAGAATATTAAAATTGATGAAACATGGTGAAGGTATACAGGCATTTATTGTCCTGAAGCTCTGTATATTTTTTCTGTAGATTTGAATATTTTTTCTAATAAAAAATTGAAAAAAATGAAAGAAAAACAAACAGATCACTTAGCTTAAAAATTTTGTGTTTACTTAGAGCTTATTACTATGCATTAATTTTCAGTCTTTTAATGTAGGACCGAGTGCTTCTCTTTGAGTAAAGGATTGAAGTTCTGTGTCTATCTTGCATAAATCACTTTATAATTATAAAGATGTCCATTTTCAGTAACTGTAATATGAAATAAAGTCACCTGCAAAGCAATGAATACAGAATTCTTCTAAATTTATTTTATTTTTCCCTTTAATCTTTTACCTTTATCTCTCCTGCAATTTCCTTTTATTGAATCTTTCCAAGGCATTCAGGCCTGTTTTTAGAGAACAAGCAACTCTTTCTTCTCACATTTACATTTCATCAGTTTACATATGTAATTAAATATTATAATTAAAACAAGTACAACTGATATTAGTAAGTCTGGGGACAAATACAGCAGCTCACTCTTGGCAAGTATACAACTCAACTGGTGGGTAATGAAGAAGTACATGGATTATAAGAGATTAGCCTACCAGTTGCCAGTTTTTAGTGGCTATAGTATCCAGTTGGGATATTTTACAGTAAAACTGTAGACAGTTGCTTAACCTGGTAGATTGCTTGAGTAGAAATTAGTTAGAAAAGTTCTACTATAGTGAAATACTCACTAGGCCTATGTTGCAACACGATTCCAAATTGCTCATATACAGTGAAATTCTGCCCATAGCTACACGCCCTGGTCAAATTACTTTATGAATATTCTCTTCTGTTTAGATTAGTGCCAAGGCCCTTCCCCCAGTCAAGCTAAATAAAATGGCTTCAGACCCCATAGCAGTTACAAATGGGCACATTTAGGTTACTTTTCTTTCCTTTTATTCTGTGACTCACCCCCATCCCCACTAATATGAAGCTGTTCATTTTGAAGTTATGTTATTTGGGTACTGGACCAGTATCTCCTGGGACTGTGGCATAGAATCATAAATTTCATACTTGTTAATTAGTAGTACTTGTGGACCATTTCTGAGACAACTACAATGAAATTCTGAGTCTATTGAAGCAGTATTGAACGGTTTAGCTTTCACTTTCAAAAAAAGAAAGGTTGCCTGCTTCGTGAGCCCTGAGAATGCTGTCCTGAGGAAGATGGGGGTCTGTTTCTTGTAAGTGGCATGCCAGACAGCTGGATTAGATTTCTGTCTCTGTTCATTGAACTCGCTGCTCAGCTCTCCAAGTAAAGGAGGATAAGAAAACTGTTGAGAGGGGCTTTCAGCAGATTTGTAAGCGCCAGCATCTTTCTTCTCTAGAGGATGCTGCACTTAAATGCTACTCCTCCCTTCGGGGCACCTTTCAGGTTCTGGCTTTTTCCAACGAAGCAAGAAACCCTAATTATTTCACTTTCAATCAATTCTGAAACCTCAAAGACCAAAATTGTCTCTTCAGATCCACTCAGATGCCAAAGAGAGGTGTGGAAGAGAAATTGCTGCACATCTACCAGCAGCTGTAGGACTCTAAGCCATCTTTTGCTTTTATTTTCTATGCAGCAGTCAAGCATTGTTGCTAACACTCAAATAAGTAAAAATAAAATGTTTCAACAAATACCTTGGAGAATAGGGTCGATTTTTCATTGAAAACGTCTCTACAGTCATTGTGACAGGCTTTACTACAATTCATTGACCAGTCCACTTCTTTTTTTTTTTTTTTTTTTTTTTTTTTTTTTTTTTATTTGGGACAGAGTCTCGCTCTGTCATCCAGGCTGGAGTGCAGTGGCGCGATCTCGGCTCACTGCAAGCTCCGCCTCCTGGGTTCACGCCATTCTCCTGCCTCAGCCTCCCAAATAGCTGGGACTACAGGCGCCCACCAACATGCCCGGCTAATTTTTTGTATTTTTAGTAGAGATGGGGTTTCACCGTGTTAGCCAGGATGGTCTCGATCTCCTGACCTCATGATCCGCCTGTCTCGGCCTCCCAAAGTGCTGGGATTACAGGTGTGAGACCAGTCCACTTCTTATACCAGGGAGAATTGTACTCCCTCCACCCCGAAAGTCAGATGTGATCATGGGACTTGACTTTGGCCAGTGAACTGTGGTGGATGTGTTTAATTTCCAGTGCTCGAATTTCTGCCTCTCTCTTCTCCAGCCTATCAAAAATCTCACTTCATAAAACCTTTGAGGATAAACCACTTCAGACTGTCAGTCTGACTGTTTCTTTTACTAACTTTATCTGAGTTATTACCTATTTATACACATATATCAATTTACTTAATAGAGGTTTTTCAGAAAGAAAATACACATAAATGGAATTTTTAATGTTTCCTATGCCCAAAGGAAGTCTTAGTAAATTATTTTATACAGTAAATATATCGGTATGCATATTTCCTCCATTTCATACATTGACTCTGTTTAAAGCAGAGCACACCGAATATTCTTTCACCAGATATTCTTTTTCCCTTAGCTGTAGCATCTTTTCTAGAAGTTGGCTATTTCACTTGTCAAACAAATGTTTACTGAGCACTTGCCACATGGAAGTCCTGGGTTCCCATATTTATGTGTAGCTGTAACTGTACCTAAATATTGTGGGTAGTTTGCTGCTGTGGACTGAATTGTGTCCCTCTGAAATTCATACGTTGAAGCCCTAACCCCAATGTGACTATATTTGGAGATGGAATGTGTAGGCAGTAATTAAGGTTAAATGAGATCATAAGGGTGGGGCCATAATTCAGTAGGATTGGTGGCCTTCTAAGAAGAGGAAGAGCGAGAGAGATCTTGCTCTCTGTCTTTCTACATGCACATACCTAGGAAAGAACACGCAGGCACACCCAGGAAAAGAGCCCTCACCAGCATTTGACTATGCTAGTGTCCTGATCTTAGACTTCCCAGACTCCACTGAACAGAATAAATTTCTGTTGTTTAAACCACCCAGTCTATGGTATTAATGGCAGTTCAAGCTGACTAATACATTTGCCAAATCAAAAAATTTTACAAATAAAATCCTTGTGAATCCTGTAAGAAATAAATCAAGGGCAACAAAATTAGAACTATATACAGCTGACTGTAAACTTATTAAATTTGCAATCCTAAATTCTTATTAAATTTGAAAAAATATAAGTCTAATAAAAGACTCAGATAAATTCATGGATGTCAGATTTATGATGGTATATTAAAGGAAACCAGATTTTCAACCTTGTAAGATAAAATGGGGGAAAACAACAAATGAACCAATGCAATAACTCATCTGTTTATTAAACAAGTGCTCAGGACTGCCCTTAGACAATATGTCTCAAGGTATATAGACCAAGGCTACCTGTGTCAGAATCATATGGTTGTGCCTGTTAGATATCCAGTCTCTGGCACCTTGCCACAGTCATACTCAATTTCTTAGAGCTGAAGTCTGGGAATCTTCATTTTAAACAAGTTCTGTAAGTGATCTGTAAGCACACTAATAACAGAGATAGCCTACTTTAGGCATTGTAGGCCTGCATAAGAAATATTAGTCTTTGTTCTTGCAGTGAGATGCTTACAGTTAATATGCATGAAATAGAAGGTGAATCAAGATGGGATGTGATCAAGTGCTCAACTGTGTGATACAGAGTGTAATGTAGTATTTTTAGAAGAAGACATCAGCAAAGAACAGAAAATAGCTACTAGAGATCTGTTCACAGCACTCCAAGAGCTTAAAGGGGGAACTAGAACAGTGGACCAGAGGAGCCCGGAGTCAAGGAGGCTCTGAGAGGCCATCATCTGAAGAATAAAGAGGCTGTTTCTCTTCAGCACTTTTAAGAAAAAGACAATGTCTTTGTTTGTTATTGTTAAAGTTATTATTTCACAAGGACATAGAGCACAGATAAGAGATAGGAGTGAATGAAAATTTTTAAAAGACAGAAAAAAGATGAGAAGTTGGATCTGATGAGACTAGAAGTATGCTAATTTGCCCTGGGCAACCTCTGGAGGCTCAGCTCTTGGAAGAACCAGGTATTGCAGAAGTTTGGGGAGAAGTATAAGTAGAGATAAAAGGAGAAGGAACATAAGTGGGTGGACTTTCCAAATCCCCTCATCTCCACCAGGCAACAATCCTATCCTCTTGTCTTTCAGGAACAACTGACTTTCCTCTAGAGGATTTGAACTGGAGGAGGCTTGAAGTTGAACAATGGAACTCTCAGTACCAACTTCCCTTTACAGTCTGATCTCAGAAATCTGACAGCCAGTTGTATTCCCCCAGACCCTCTACCTTCACCTGTAAGTCTAAGTGGCAGGAATTTCGCAACTCCAAAAAGTGATGCCGAAAAATATTGGAGCAATGTCTTCAAAATTGTAAGAGTATACACCCAACTAAACTGTTGACAAGTAGCATAAAGGGTAGAATAAAGATTTTTCCCTGGCCAGGTGTGGTAGCTCACACCTGTGATCCCAGAACTTTGGGAGACCAAGGCTGGAAGATTGCTTGAGCCGAGGAGTTTGGGACCAGCCTGGGCAACATAGGAAGATTCTGTCTCCACAAAATTTTAAAAAATTAGCTGAGCGTGGTGGCATGCGCCTGTGGTCCCAGCTACTCATAGGGTGAGGCGTGAGGATCGCTTTAATCCGGGAAGTCAAAGTTGCAGTGAGCCAGGATGGTGCCACTGCACTCCAGCCTGGGTGACAGAGTAAGACCTTGTCTAAAAAAAAAAAAAAACGTATTTATCAACTATGGAAGTCCTCAAAACATTTGCCTTCTTAGGAAGCAAGTAGAAGATATACTTTAACCAAAATAAGGGGATAAACCAAGAATCATAAGGACACTGAATTCAGGAAACAGGGATTAGAACACGGGAGACCTGCAAAAGGATATTCAGGATGCAACTACACAATCAGGCCTAGAACGCAGCTGACAGAGATCGATCGGGACACGGGGGCTCAGGATGGAGGACTGTAGGTTAAAAAAAAAATGGAACTCATGTATCTTCTGAGTTTTTGAATCTTATGTGCATTCAGAAACCTACAAAGAGTCTGTGAGTAGTCCTCCGACCTTCCATTTCTTTTTACTTTCGTTGGCCCTGTGTAAAACAAATGTCATTATACTTATCTTTTTCTCTGTTTATGTTTTCATTTTTCATATGAGAAATATAATTTTCTTTTAGGAATTATATAATTAAAAAATTACAAGCGATTGAAGTAATTAGCACATAGTTTTCATATTACCATCTGAGTTACTTTCCATATGACCTAATTAAAAAATAAAACACAACAAACAAAAAAAGGCCCTACTAACATTTATATACAAAAAGGTAGGTAATTTCGTTACATTTTATTTACAGATATTTTTGAAATTTACTACATTATTCTTTAGATTGTTCGCTAACTTAGCTAATTGGAAGGACTGATTTTCCATTTTTGTGGGGAAAAAAACCCAATAACCACCATTTACAGGGAAGAATTTTCACTAGGCAATGTCTTAAAATAATTTTGAAGTGTATTTATTTACGTCTCAAATATGATTTCTTTCTAAAATGTTCAAAGTCTCATTTCCACAGCTGCAATTAAGTGACTTTTTAGGATAATGTTTCATTTGGCTGTATTATGTTAATAATCAGCTAGATGATATATATCTTTTTCATCTTTGTGTACTCATGAATTATTCAGAAGTGTCTCTTGCAAATGAAGAGTAGAGGAATTCAGTTTCTCTTCCCCAAAAAGGGTCAGACATGCTGTAGTTTAGAAGCAGGTGGGTGGTTCTTTCCTCTCTCTTTTTAAAAGTCATTTAAAATATATTAAAATGAACAGTAAATTACTTAAATATCCAATAATGAGAAAATGGTCAAGTAAACTATGATACATCTACTTGACAAAATGACACAACTATCAGAAACTAATGGTTGGAAAGACAACATAGCTGTATAGAAAAATGTTTGTGTCAAAAAAGTAAGTGGAAAAAAGCAAGATATAAAAATATATGTATACTACAATTACTGTTTAAAAATAGTCATAGGAAAAAATCCAGAAGAAAATACAGTAAAATAATAATCATGATCATAAAAGGACTATAGGTGACTTAGTTTTTCTCTACATTTTTCAATTTTCCCCTAAAATCCTATAGGGGATTTTAGGATGAGAAGAGACAAAACAAACCAACAAACACTTATTGAGTGACTAGTGTTTGCTAGAAGCTGGGCTGTGTACTGAGGATAAAAAGCTGAAAAGATATGCTTAGTGATACATAATACATCAGGTTTTCCCTGGCAATACCAAAATCACTGGTATATAATTGATGCAAATTAATTACTAGTGTGTAATTAAAATAAATTTCATCTGGATTTTATTAAGATGAAATATAATTAACTTCATTAAATGCTTAGTAGGTGCTTTTCATGTGTCCATCTAATCCACTCAACAATCATATGAGGAAGATAATTCTCTTCTTACCATCAGGAAACTAGGTCTCAGAGAGGCTATGCAACTTGTCCAAAGTGGCATAATTAATAAGATATTGAGCCTAGCTTGATTTAGAAGTCTATATTCAATCTTTTAACAACAATTTATTAAGCACTGACTTAATAAGTTGTTATAGATTAGGAAATTGTTCTAGGTAAGAGATACTGAAATGGACAAAGCAAAGTCTTTGCCTTCGTGGAGCTTACATTCCAGTGCAAGGCGACATAATCAAAAAGAAATGTCAAATGATATATTAGAAGCTAAAAAGTGCTACATAGACAAATAAAGCAGAGAAAGGGGACAAGCATGCACGGTAGGAAGGGGGGATTGCAATTCTAAATAGGGTGATCGGGAAAACCTTGCTAAGAAAGCAGTGTTTCAGTAGAGGCCTAATAGCGGTGAGGAAATGATCTAACTCTGAGAGAGGTCATTTCCGGCAGAGAGAGCAGTAAGAGTAAAGGCCTTGAGATGGGGGCACACCTAGAGGAAGAGTAAGAACAGCATGGTTAGAGCTGATGGGGCAGTAGGGAGAGTGGAGCAAAATGAGATAAAGGAAAATAGCAAGGAGTCAGGCACTTTGGGCATTGTAAAGCATTGTAAAGACAGAGGTCACTGGAGGGTTTTAAGCAGAGGAGTTGCTATAACTGATTTGGTTTTCAATGGATCCTGGCTGCAATGTGCAGAAAATCCTGTAGGGGATTTTCCGTAGGGGATTTTCCACCAAGATGGAAGCAGGAGACCCTTTAGGAGACTTAGTAGTGACAGATGATGGTTGATTGTGGCAGAGGTGGAGTAGAGGACTGTCAAAAACTGTGGGGACTTAGCTGGGTGTGGTAAGTGCCTGTTGTCCCAGCTACTCTGGGAGGCTGAGGCAGGAGGATAGCTTGAGCCTGGGAGGCAGAGGTTGCAGTTAGCTGAGATCGTGCCACTCCATTCCAGTCTGGGCAACAGAGACAGACCCTATCTTAGAAGAACAACAACAACAACAAAGAAAAAAAGAAAAGAAAAAGAAAAAGAAAAAACGGTCAGGACCTGAGTTTTACCCCACTACTTGCAAGTTAGCAAGTTAGCCTGGAACAGTTTCATGAATGCTGGTAAAAGACACATGAGACTTCTGGATTACAAAGGACTTTACTTCTCATGACTTAGCAGTCAGCAGAGCTTCATGATTATCTCTTTCTCCTTGTCTCTCAAGTCTCAATGAGGGGATGCAGAGTGGCCTGGGTGAATGTTGTGCATACAGTGAGTTTGTGTCACAACAGAGGGGCCCCAAGCTTAGGAAACCCCAATCTTTTATAATGGACTACAAGTAAACTCGCCTAACCTGTGATCTTTTTTATGAGGTGACATTATCTTTATTATACTGGAGGGCAAACAAACGACCACTTCTCCAGAGGGTAACACTATCAATCACTATCTTCCAAGGCTATTTGCTATACAGCCTCCTTGAAAAGATAGGTCAGCACAAAATTTATCAGCGCCTCCACTTGAAAGTTGGGTAGAAATAAACATGAAATACCCATGGAGAATTGTCTTCCAAAAAGGATGTAGTGTGAAGTGACTGAATTCTGGAAGTATTTTGTAGGCAGAACCCAGATCAGAGGTGGGATGTAAGAGAAAGAGAGTCCAAAAAGGAATAACTGAGGCTGGGTAATCTACAAGGAAAAGAGGTTTATTTGGCTCATGGTTCTGCAGACTGTACAAGAAACTTGGTGCCAGCATCTGCTTCTGGTGAGCGCCTTAGGCTGCTTCCACTCATGGCAGAAGGCAAAGGGGAACCACCACATGGAGAGAGCAGGAAGAGAAGGAGAGAGAGACAGAGAGAGAGGAGCTTCCTAATAAGCTCATGGGAAAACTAGTAGAGTGAGCACTTACTCATTACCAAGAGGACATCACCATGCTGTTCATGAGGGATCCGCCTCCATGACCCAAAAACCTCCCACTAGGCCCTATCTCCAACACTGGGGATCAAATTTCAACTTGAGATTTGGAGGGAACAAATATCCAAACTATATCACAGGCCATGGCCACCTTGGGGCTGACCTTCCAGAGAGGAAGACAGACCGAAAGCAACTAAGCATGCCAAATAAATAAAATGATTGCCAATTATGGTAAGTACTAGGAGAGTAACAAACAGGGTACTGAAAGAGATCTACTTTATATATAGTTTCCAAGGATTTGAGCTCTGTAAAAATATAGTTTTATTTAAACCAGGTAAAATTTCAACCAAGATAGCAAGAGAAAAGGTAGATTAAACTCCACTGATGAAGTCAGGTATGCTTGCCTCTGGAATTAATTTCATTCCTGTTATCTTTTTTGAGAAGCAGAATTTTCCTGGGTTTGTGTCCTCTGCAATAGATACATTTAGCATTTTTCATTTTATTGGTAACCTAGACACATTTACTTTGGAACACAAATGCTAGAATTTTAAAAATAAAATTATTTTACTTTACTTACTTATGGACATATATCTGGGAGGTTGAATGTAACGAGCTATTGTCTTTGATGGAAATCATAAGCAACTTTATTCCTTATTGGTTTATTGTCTATCTTTATTAGCTGGAGTAAAAGTTCAATGAGGGAAGGGAATTTGTTTTGTTTGCTGATACATTCTCAGCTCTTAGAATACTGTCTGGTATACAATAGGTGCTTACTATTGATTGAATGAATGTATGATAGACATATTATTTTGTATTCTGTTTCTACATAGACTCTTTTCCCTAGCACTCATTTCATTTGATCAATCTTTAATGTCTGCTAACTTTTTAAAAAATCACTTTTTTGTACCACAGCCATTCTTTGGACATTTACATGTTTTCCATATGTTTACAATGACCCACAAAATACTGAAATAATGTTTTGTGCATATTAACTTTTTAATTTCCTTTGCATTATCTCCTTAGTGTAAATTTGAAGGATTGGGCCAAAGAGTATTAACATCATCATCACTCTTCCTCCATGTTGTCATTTCCAAAAGGGTAGGGACAGTTTTCAGTGGATGAGTATACCTGTTTCACTTCAAACTCAAACTCATTAGCATTAGTGGTTATGTTTAAAATATGTATTTTTAGAAGGTGAAAATAGAGAATCTAACATGCTTTTATTTAATGTCTCTTGATGTTGTATATATTTTTGCATTCATTTATTAATTTTATTTTCTCTGTCGTGAGCTGTCTGCTTATACACTTTGCTCAGTAGAGCTGCTTGTTGAGTTATTCAATTCCTAAGTTCTGGGCAGAATATTGACATCTGGGTTTTAAAAAACTTTCTCCTAGGTACTGAGGTTGTCCCACATGGCAGTTTCAGGCGCAATTCTTCTGGAGATGACAAAGGGCAGGAAGGTGCTTCAGGTACGTGGGGAGGTGCTCTTTGTCGTTCACACCCATGCACTGAGGATTTCTCTGCCTGATACAGAGAGCCTCATGGAGCCACCATTGGTAATATTCCCTCTTTCAACTACCTGCCACATGCCAGGCTGTTGCATTTGCTGCTATATACATGGAAAAATAAAATTCTGATTATAATATATTATAAGTATGATTAAAATAGGATGCAGTGAGAGACAATAATGAAGAAGACATGTGTATTTGGAAGACTTACTTAGATCAGGAAGCCTCTCTCAGGAAGTGACCTTTTACTCAAAGCCTGGAGGGAAAAGATATCCACAAGCTATTGACGATATCATATTTCCAATAGAGGCAGAGTGTAAAATGCCATTATTGTAACCTATCGGAGCAGCCTGTTCAGCTGAGCTGTAACAGCCTCTGGGTCTGAAAGTTGCTTTCATTTTGGTTTCACTCACGAAGACTGTGCTAAAATCAGAGGGATGAAAGAATAATGTTCCTCCTTAAGTTCCTAACATGCCTGGCCACTTAGTGGGGTAAAGGAAATATCTATGCTTGTTTGAGGATCAAATAAAAAGATAATTACTATGTGTCGTTTTTCCCATTCTTTGCATATGATTGTAATAATTACAATAATTAGAGTTCAGCGGGACTCACTCTCTCCTGATTTTACAGATCATGCTGTAGGAGCTGCTAACACAGCATGATACAAAATGCAGTCATAGTGCAGTCTGCGTAAAGGCAATCACAAGTCACATAAACACTGCATAAAGAGCTCCTATCTATACACAGTATCTCCTACTATACACAGGAAACATGAAAATCAGCATTTTTTTTTTTTTTTTTTTTGAGATGGAGTCTCACTCTGTCGCCCAGGCTGGAGTGCAGTGGCGCCATCTCGGCTCACTGCAAGCTCCATCTCCCGGGTTCACGCCATTCTCCTCCCTCAGCCTCCCTAGTAGCCGGGACTACAGGCGCCCGCCACCACGCCCGGCTAATTTTTTGTATTTTTTTTTTTTAGTAGAGACGGCGTTTCACCGTGTTAGCCAGGATGGTCTAGATCTCCTGACCTCATGATCTGCCCACGTTGGCCTCCCAAAGTGCTGGGATTATAGGCGTAAGCCACCCCGCGTGGCCGAAAATCAGCATCTTATAGCTGACATTGTTTGTTTGGCTTTCTAACTTTGACCACTACTTCCACCATACTAGCTTATCCATTTAAGTTTATTTTTAATAAAGGGACACTCGGGGGCCCAGTCTTCTTTAGAGGCAAGAAGAATTTAAAGCCGTCTTGCTGTTACTGTTCATTTAAATAATTCTCAAAAGTCCACATTGCAACGAAGTAAGAATACACAGCCATGTGTACAACAGGAGCGTTTATTTTCTGAACAGTTAGGAGTTTATTTCACCTTCTGCATGTAACCCTCTAAAATGCCCTGTAATTTCTACGGAAGCATGCACTTATAGTCCATTGCCAGAAAAAAAAATAGTCTTACTAGTAGTTCACTGCAGACAGAGTCCAGGATGTGATGCGCAACTTTTTTGTTTTGTTTTTACTATTCTCACTGGGTTCTTTTTTTTTTGTGGGGGGGTGGTTTGCTTGTCTTTTGAGAGGGAGTCTCGCTCTGTCACCAGGCTGGAGTGCAGTGGTGTGTTATCTGGGCTCACTGCAAACTCCGCCTCCCAGGTTCAAGCAATTCTCCTGCCTCAGCCTCCCAAGTAGCTGGTAGGCATGCACCACCATACCCCAGTAATTTTTGTATTTTTAGTAGAGACGGGGTTTCACCATGTTGGCCAGGATGGTCTCGATCTCTTGACCTCATGATCCGCCCACCTCCTCCTCCCGAAGTGCTGGGATTACAGGCGTGAGCCACCACGCCCGGCCCTCACTGGGCTCTTTTAACCTGAGTCAGCCTTAGGACCTTTCTCCCTTGGTCTTCCTCCTTCTTTTCTA
Source organism: Homo sapiens (assembly GCF_000001405.40). Lineage (NCBI taxonomy): Eukaryota > Metazoa > Chordata > Mammalia > Primates > Hominidae > Homo > Homo sapiens. The sequence goes on from NC_000003.12 coordinate 59,126,560, forward strand.
CCCTTCCAACTTCCCGTGTGGTCAAAACTGAGGAAACCACTGCTCCTTGGTCCACCCTGGGGCAATGAGGAATCAGAGCTGGTGGCACCTCACAGCCCTCCATGGGATTTGGCTTAAATTTTTCAGCTTCTTTGGAGTGGAATGTTTGTTCTATAAAACCAGCCTCTCTGGTGCTAAGAATGATCAACCTCATAGCACAACTTTGATGTAATTATGCCCCAAAGGGCCTCATCCACAAAGGAGGAGGCTAAGAAGGAAAGAAAGGGTGCAGAGAATAGAGAGCCTGGATCAGTCTCAGATGATCTGCCAGGGTTCTTGCAATCAGTTTATTCCAGGGTAAACCTCACATAGCCACTTCACCAGAAATGCATCCTCACTAGAAAATGCTTTCTACACAAATAAAAGATAAACAAAGTTCTAACCTAGCAAAGAAATTTAGTGAGGCAAGGACTACCAAGTTACCTGAACAATTAATAAAAATGGCCTGGGCTCTTTTCTTTTCCCAGGTTCTCTGTAATATGTATAAAAGAAATTATGAGTCCAATGATGACACATAGTTTTACTCTGTAGATGGGAAGAAAGCTTATTTATTCTCAGGAGCTACTATTTGTCAGTGTGAAAGGCTAGTTGACCATTTTAGTTGCACTGATACAGCATTGTTAACTTGACAGCAAAAGTAGCTATGACAGCTTTCCCACACTCTGCCCAGCTCTCCAGGAGTTCTCTCACTGCAGACATTTAGTGGAGTTCTGAATGACTCATTCTCATAAAAAAAAAATAAGCCAGACACTGAGCTGGATTAGAGTTTTAATTCTTTCAAGTTTGATCTGTCATGAAGAAATAAATGTATGGGTGGCACTGTTCAAACCTTAACATCTTGCTGCATGAATACTAACTCTTGCAAAATAAAAGTTGTTTGTCTAAATGGTCTAAATATGTGTGTATGAATGCCTAATTTCTTCGATTTTTCCTGAAAATGGCATTTTAAAGTTACATCATGGCTAAGAATTTGTACCCATTTCTCTTATAATTATTTTAATTACAGTAGCTATAATCGTTGCTTTTCAAAGAGACAGCCAACAAGGCTTTATATCAAGCTTTTACTCCGGGAAATGAAGAACTTTTTCCTTTGTAAACTATATAAAAAGATGCTACATATTATGTACCGAGAAAAAGAGTAGCTTTTTTTCTCCCCAAAGTGCCAAAGCATCTCTTTTATCTCCTGGCATCCTCTCAAGCTCATTATTGCTTTAACATTTGAACTTGTCACCTCTCCAAACTCATCTAGTCGCATTTCATCATCTTAGACAAACCTTAAGACTTTCTAAAGCTCCTTTGGATTTTATATAAAATCTCATTCTTTGAGATTCAGGAGCTTCTTTAAAGCTATTTTTAGCATATTTTTATAAAACAGACCAATAAATGGATGGCAAGTTTAAATATACTATCAGTTCATATTTCTTTTTTTTTTTTTTTTTTCTTTTTTTTTTTTTTTTTTTTTTTGAGACGGAGTCTCGCTCTGTCGCCCAGGCTGGAGTGCAGTGGCGGGATCTCGGCTCACTGCAAGCTCCTCCTCCCGGGTTCACGCCATTCTCCTGCCTCAGCCTCCCAAGTAGCTGGGACCACAGGCGCCCGCCACTACGCCCGGCTAATTTTTTGTATTTTTAGTAGAGACGGGGTTTCACCGTTTTAGCCGGGATGGTCTCGATCTCCTGACCTCGTGATCTGCCCGCCTCGGCCTCCCAAAGTGCTGGGATTACAGGCGTGAGCCACTGCGCCCGGCCTCATATTTCAATTTTCATGAAAATTTTTATTTGCTTCCAACTTTGTCTCTGTTACAAGCTTCTTTTTTCTCCCTTGACCCTAAGCCTGTGAGGGGATGTTAATCTTCCTTAATACCTCATTGGGAAGAAAATGTAAAAGTTTCTGGGGTGGCAGCATTTTCAATATTGGATGCTACTGAGAAATATGGTTAGATTTGGAAAGGCTCAACTTACTGAATTGGCAGCTCTTCTACTATCTGAATTTATTTTTTCTTCCTTGCTCACCTTTGGAGATCTTTCCCCCTCAAACTTTTCCTTTTATGTAACTTGTAGGCTTTTTGAGAACAATCCTGTGAATTACTGGAGCTGTACTTATACCTTGAAGGTAAAGGAGAGACTGACTTTAAATGTGTTCCTTCAGTTGCCCCCCAGTTAGGCCTTCCTCCTGGCAGGGCCCCAGTCCTGCTAGGCTCAGTATTGCTGAAGCAGAATCCAGTGTATCCATCCTATGTGGTCTGCAGAAGACATTTCATTTTCAAAGGACCGTTGCTGGGTCCAGAGCCTTTCACGTGGAGGCTATTCTGTTGCACAGCTGGAACAATTTGCCTCACAAAGAGCAGCCCTCATTTGCTTAACACTTGCTCCCTTCTGTATTACGTGTTTAAATAGATTAGAAGAGCATTCCTCTCTGTGCCAGGTCATCTCTCAATTTAGATAGAAGAAGACCCCTTTCAAAGCTGCTCTGAAGATGTGACAGTATCAGCTAGAAAACCAAAGGCCTAGCTAGGTTTCTTCCTCAAATTGCCACTAAAGTAAAGCATCTTAGGATTCTTTGGTGAAAATAAAGAGGGGTCTAAGTTCAAAGAACTGTATCTGGAGGGAATGGAAACACATCTAATGAGTGACAACATTTCACTCTTACCTGAGAAATTGAGAGAACATTTCATCTGTGGGCAGAGATCTCTTCCTGAGCAGGGATAAGGCCTGGCAGACCACTCCAAATACCTGTGGAAGCCTTATGAATAGTTTCGAGAAGTCACTAATGGTCAATAAATGCTGCCTTGCTTACAAAGATTTTCACTTCCCTTCCCAAGTATCCCCAACTCCTTCTTTGATTTATTATGTAAACATCTGCTGTGGAAACACTGTAATTTCTCTTCATAGAATTAGACTTTCATAAGAATGAAAAACAAAGGATTACAGAAGAGAAGCAAAGTGCGACACATTTCTTTAAAACTCATTTTTTGATTCTTACTAGGATTTCTTTCAGTTGGAGCCCTTAGGATGTGTTTATTTTATATACCCAGTCAACATTCCATTACAGCATTTCTACACTTTGCAGAGACTTTTCTAAGGAAATTAGAAAGAAATAGAGAACATGGTCCTAATTTCCCCCTACTATCTGTAAGTGGAAAGTACGTCTGAAATGGTTTGAAGTAAGCATATCACTACAAGGGCTTCCTTGTGCCATTCAAGTAGATTAAGCTCTGCAGTGGCTTAGATACTCCCAAACTTATGGAATCATAGGTTTTCTGTTATGTATTGAGGTCTTTAACAACCTCTCTCTCCCCTAGCTCCTCTGAGTTATTCTACCAGAGTTCAGATGCCCCAGGGGTCTCTGGTCCCTAGGCTAGATTTGGATCTCAGAGTGGACCCCTTAATTTGACAATGTGGGGGTGGTTTCAGTGGATAGTTGGATTGGGTTGTCAGCTTGGATTGGCAGCACAATGCAAATTAAAGTATGTTGAATACTGTGCTAGAACATTGCTAATAAGTTATGTGATTCTGTAGGTTTGGGTGCTGGTACACACCTTGGTGACATTTTTTGGTAACATTAATACTATTTCCAAGGGTTTATATTACTCATATTATTTTTAAAAATTTTCTTTGTTTCTCAAATTACAAAAATAATATGGGTTTGTGGTTAAAACGCAAATGATGTTCAGTTAGGGTTGTGTGTATGGGTGTGTGTGTGTGCGCGCTTGTGTTCAGGCATGTACCCATGTGCACATGTGCATCGTATCAAAGTTCAGCATCTTCCCATCTCAATCCCTTAAGTCTGAAGTGATCCATTCCACAACCTGCTGTATCTTTATACAACTATATTCAAGCATATAAGCATGAATGCATTGTTTGCGGTCCTTAAATTAGAATTATATTGTACGCAATTTGCTTTTTTCACTTAATATCATGGACATCTCTGCAAGTCAGTAGTTAAGGGACTAACATCTTTATTTCTAATTTTTTAATTCATTCATAAACACAGGTATTTTAATTTTACAGAAGTGGGATCACAACCCTTCCTGTAGGGAATTAGCTTTTCATTTTATTATAACTTCTATTATTATTATTAACATTATATTGATTTTCATTTGCATAATGCTTTATAGATGACAAACTCCTGTCACATACACCATCTTATTTATGCTTAGACATTTTATCAGGTGGTTATTGTTAACTCTATTGTAGTTGACCAGGAAGTGTAAAGAGGTTGAGGCTTTCCCTTCACCACAAAGCTGGCAAAGGTAGAGTCAAGATTAGGAGTTGGCCTGTCTTACTCATCCATGCCTTTAGCGAGCATTTAACCTTCTGTTGATGTTTGAAAATGTTTGTGATGGGAAGGTAGGTAAACCCCTACTAAATACCATTCACCATACCAAACAATTGTCAATATAATTTTTTAATTTCACCTGTAAACCTCTAGCAACATAGACATCACCTTATCTACCATAAGCGTTTGTTCTGCTATGCCTATTGTATAGAAATGTAAATTCTATGTTAATTTTTCACCTTAATTCTTAAAACGGATTCTTATCTACTAAACAGAAGCATTATTCCATTTAAATGGATTTCCACCTTCTATTATTTGATTATAAACTCATTTTATCTACATTTTCTTGGACTGGGCTCAATTTGCTGTACATTAGTCCCAAAGCCCTAATGATTCATCTGACTCCAAGCGCATTATTTCTCATTGCATCTTGCTTTTCACAATTTAACTTAGCCTGTAAACTGGCTTTCCATGCAGCCTCCAAATTAATAGCAGAAAAATAAACTTTTAAAGATGAAAACAAAGCTTGCCCTTGACCTCATGGAAAAATAAATATTGGTCTGAGAAATAGCTTGGCTACTGTCCTGATGGGTCCTCAGAGGCACTTTTCTTTTCCTATTTTGTCAATGCTAATACACAAAAAATTAATTAGAATGCTGAGTTTTATGTGTCCAACCACAGATATCCAGCCAGCAGTAGAAATTGAAACCTTTAGGCAAACATGTTGGTAATTAATGAAAAGCATATGCTTCCAGAGTGTAGGGTAGCATAGTGGAATCAGAATGGGTTGTGGAGATTGAGAGATTGGGGCACTGGTTAAGTCTTTGACCTTGCAGAAGTTGATTAATTTCTATAAGCCTACTATTTTTTATTTGTAAAAATAGGGATAATGCTCATAGATTTGTTGGGAGAATTAAATGATATAATGTGCAGTTGCCATTACAGTGTTTGGCATTTAGGAAATCTTCAGTAGATGATAATAGCTGATTTTCAGCTGCTTTTTACCTACAAAACAGCTATTTCTTACCTAATATAACACCTAGTATATCCATATACCTAATAAAACTATGTAATTAAAATTAAATTTAACCTTTTTAGCCAGGTTCATATATAAGTACCTTTATTTTCTTTTTTGTCACTTGTTCTGACTATAAAATGAACCCACTTCTTCCTGTTTTGAAGATAAATTTTAGTATCAAAGTACTTTTAAAGATTATTAATTCTTTCTGCTAAATTAGTAATAAGTTAGTACTTACATTATTAAGGTTTACCATCATAGTACACTGAACAAGTTAAAATATCTTCCTTCTAACAAATGATTCAGGCATGAATTCAAATTTTGATAACATGACTTATGGTTCAATTGCTCAGTTTATTGTGTATTTTTCTTTCAGATTTTATGGCATTCAGTTAGCAAAATAAGGTCATTTAGTTTCAAAATTTGTTGTCTTTCACTTTCTAAACACTTTGAATCTGGACCTGAGGACTCAATGTTTTCTAAGTATTTATTTTGGTTTTAAACTGGATTTCAGTGCTTAATTTTGTTTGTTCACATTTAGAGTGATGGTAGAATCCTTGGAGAATGATAACTTTTGGCTACCTACTAATGCATAGCATTTCAGAGAACAGAAGACTGTATTCCTGTTGTCAAAGAGTTTAGGATCACTTATTTGTTTATAATGGGCCAGGTGCTATTTTAAGCACCAGCAACAGGGGTACACAAGACAGATGTCCTGGCCTTGATGAGCAAAGATTCTAGTTAGAGTGAAACAGAAGTCAACACATAAATAACCATATATAAAGGGCAATTTCAGACACTATATGTACCATATGAGGATCATATAGGGTAAAGTGGCATGAAGGGAAGGCCTCTCTTTGAATTAAAGCCTGAATTATACAGAAGCAGGCATGTGCCCATCCAGGAAACAGTGTTTCAAGCAGAAGAAAAAAACTGTACAATGCTTTGAAGTGGGACAAGATAGTGGGCATAGGAATGAGTATACAAATGACTCTCACCAAAGAACAAAAATGTGCGTGAGCACTGTACATTTGAAAGTCGTTTTCAGACAGGTGAAGAGTGAGAAACTGAGAAAATACATTTGGATACTGTCTTCTTCACGGCACAACGTACTCAAGGTTAATGAATGACTGTTCAACGTTTCAACAGAAACATACGTTGGGCTATTTTCTATCCTAAGGGATATTTTACAAGGGCAGTGGAAGAAAAAGATTGTTTTTCCTAAAGGAGAAGACTAATATACTTATAGATGTGAAAACAGTTTCTATGTCATACGTATCTTTCATTTTAATTAACTTCAACTGGAAATGAAAGGCCTGAATTTAAAGATTGTCTCTTTAGAGCTTAGGCCTATCACTTTAGCCAAGCTGCATTTTGGACACTGTATTCTTGGAATTAAAAAGTCCACTAGAAAAACTCCCAAGATTGTTGAATGTCTTCGTTTTCTTCTCTAAATTGGCATTTTCTTCTCCAAATTATAAGATCATCACAATTTGGTGCTGTGAAATATGAAAATGAAGTCAGAAATATTGAAAACATAACTTTAAACTATTTTTTTTTCATTTCTGCTCCTCCCCTAATGAAAGACATATGTTTTAACTAGGTTAGTGCTTTTCCTGGATTTCCAATTATAGTACGTCTTCATTTTAGGTATGAACAGCTTACATTTTTGTTCCCTGAATTATGAGTTAAAAAAATAAGCACAGTTGTGCAATTCAGTCAGATTCTCAAATCTTTTTAAAGAAACAATGCCTCCGACACAGCACAGAAAGCAGAAGGGCTTTGGGTCTGCATGGACGTTGTCATTAGTAGACCTTGTAACATGTCAAATTTTGAACATAAAGAACTTATTACAAGTAGTAATTATTTCTATAGATTCCTTGATAGGAGGGAAAGTTTTCACATCAAAACTGAATACAAACTGAAAGCAATTTCACCTATATTCCTTCCTCTACCTACATAGGAGAAATTAATTATCTGTGAAAAAAATTAATAGCTCTCCTATTGTAATGCATCAAAGCATTATTAACTCATTTTCTTGTCTGAATTTTTGAATTCTCAACATTAGAATTTCTCATCAAGGTAGTTGAATAATTGGCATTAGTAGAAATTGAAATTAATGTTAGATGCTACATTTCAAAGATTGTTTTGGTTGAAGATTTCCACGTTAGGTAATTAGGTATTCCCAAAGAAATCCAGTGTCCTAAGTATTTTTTAAAAAATTAATTCATAAGAAATCAAAGGAGGGATCTAAAATAGTAACAAACATGTGGATACCTAAAATCAATATATCTGTGATTTACCTCTGGCTGTGGATGTGACACAAAGAACACAGAGAAGGCGTTTCCTAGGAAGTTGGAAGTCTGATACAGACAGGAAGAACTACATTTTATTTTGTGGTGCTAACTGGCAATTATAGAAGGTCACAGAAAATGAAAAGCATGGATATGTAACTGAATCTGTAAGAGTACTTTATTATCAGAAACATGAGAAATGACTGTCATAAAAAATATTTAGTCCTGGTGCATAGAGTTTGGAGGATAAATTTTTGAATTTATTATGAAGCTGATTTTATTTTAAAATCAATCGAAACAATATAAGAAGGTATAATAGAAAGTCTCACTTTTACCTTCTCCAATCCATCCTATTTTTTTCTCCTCAGGCCAAGAAACTATGTTTGCTATATATTTATCCCTCCATAGTTTCTTTTTGCAAATTTAAGCAAATACAACTATATATTCATTCATATTTCCCCTTTCTTACTATTGTGAAGTATTTTATGAGTGGTATATTATGTTTCATGCTTATGAGACATATATACATGGCATATCATTAATGTATCTTCAATGGTAACAATAAAGTAAGTGATATTTTCAACATTTTACATATGAAGAAACTGAGGCTCAAGGGAGTTTAAACATGCCCCAAGGTCATACATTGTTAGAGGCAGGATTTAAAGTCTCTTTTTTTGCACTAGTAATATTTTTTGGTATAACCTTAGCAATTACTTTTAATGGCAAAAACCACAATTACTTTTGCACTTCTGTACTGAAATGTCTGGACAGAATTCTGTAGCTCTTAAATAACTAATGCTATTTTCATTGTATTTGAAGAACTTCATGGAATGTTTAATCTTTTAATTTTCAAAATTAAAATGACTTTTTCTTGGCTAATATTATTTTATAAAAAAGATAGTAAAACACATGTTAAACCCAACTTTCCAGGTAAAGTCACTGTTTACATCTTGGTATCTACCCTCCTAAACTGTTTTGTGTGTAAAGTGATGTCACACCATGCAGTGTTTAAGAGGAGCTGCGGATTGACTTGCAGTGATCTCTCTCTCACACACATGCACACTGTAGTTCTCCATTTCGTTACCCAAGAATGCAGAAACATATTGGAGGTTGGGTGTTCACAATGGGCAGGGCAAGCACAACATTTCCTGTTTTTTCCCTGACCTCAAGTTCCTTAGTGGGATGCACAGCCACCAGTGATAATGTCCATACACGGTGGAATCCTGCATCCTCTTAGGAAACCACAGAACTTTTTCTGTTCTAATTGTTTTTGTAGGGCCCACACCATTCCAGAATAGCTTCTACTAATAATCTACATGCTGCCACTTAAGCAAAGGTCTAGAGATATATCAGTTCTTTGATGTATGGTTATACATAGCTGCTGTGAGTTTGTAAGTTTATAAGGGGTCACCTGTAAGTTTATCTAGCATAATTTCCATTATTTATCCCTTTTGAACATCATGATATACTTATGACCTTTCATAGACCCAAATAATTCCAGTCTACAGCTATGAACAATTGATTTTTGATCCACATTCATAGTCATCACATTTTGGCCAATGAAAGAAATTTTGAAAGTATTTTTGCTGTCTTTTCACTAGATTTGCCAGCCCCAGCTTGAGCTATCCCATCCCAGAAACAGAATCAGTTTCTAGAAATTAAATGTGGATATTAGGATTGCATATTATGTTGTGTTGTATGAGCAGGGGATAGAGCCTAATGACAAAGGCCTCCAGGCTTTTAGTGATAGAACAGACATTTATGTTTCTTTCAATATGAATGAATTAACGTTGCTATGTCATATTTATCACTTTAAAATGTTACTTAAAATGATTGTTCATTAATGCAATTTGCTATTGTTTTGAGCTACATTTTAACCTTTGATCACTAGCTTTGGTATTTCTCCCTATATATATTGTCTTACCAAATTGTGTGTTTAAATTTCTATGCTACCCCAAGTTTACTTTCTTTTGAATTTTTGGCTCAAGCATCCTGAGAATTTAGTGTGCAGATCTCATTTTTCCCCTGTGTGAGGCATCACTAGAACAACAACTGCCTAAAGAAGAAAATCAGGCCAACTTATTTCCAAGGGGAATACTAAAGCAATAAAAAGTCTGGTCCAAGAGGCGAAACTCTCAAGACAGTAGAAAGATTGATGGATGAGAATGGCTTGGGAAGAGTGAGGAAGGGAGGGATGACTACTAGTTTGAGCACAGAGGATTTTTAGAGCAGTGAAACTGATCTGTATAATACCGTAATAGTATGATACATGAAGACACATGCCATTATGCACTTGTCAAAACCCATAGAATGTGCATCAAGAGTGAATCCTAATATAAACTATGGACTTTAGGTAGTAATAATATATCAATATTGGCTTATTAGTCATTAACAAAGGTACTACACTAACAAAAGATATTAACAATAGGGGCAACTGGGTGGGGAGACATGGACAAGAAGGATATATATGGGAATTTTCTGTACTTTTTGCTCAAGTTTTAAATAAACCTAAAATTATGAAATAATGTCTATTAATTAAAAAAACAGTTATGGGCCCTCAATGTTTCAAAGGTAATAGACACTTAGATTCTTAGATACTTAGATGCTTACATAAAGTCCCAAACTGTTGATGGACAACAGCAAGAAAATGGGGACTAAAAACAAATATCTCTTTGAGAAAGAAATCAGTTTTACAATGATCCAGAGAGAAATAGTAATGACACTAGGGTTCAGAGAATTAAGAGTTAAAAGAGATAGATATGTCCTAGTGTCATTATTTTTTCTCTCTGGATTATTGTAAAACTCTGATTTCTTTACGGCCTTTGATGACTACTACTCTTCTTTATCTTGGGAATATACTAGTTTAACTTTCCAAAACCTAAGTAAGAATGCCATAGAACATAATCAGATTATGGCCAAGAAACCTCAGACTTTTAATATTTATCTTAAACATTCAATTCTATAATTTAAAAAATATTAACTAGGCTTATATAATTTTTATAACATTATCTAGGCTTCATAAGAAGCAGCTAATACAAAAGGATATTTAGTCTATAATGTATTTCAGTTGTAATTTTATGTTTACATCATATTTATATATCTCCAATCTTAGTCTGGGTAGCAAAATCCTTCAGTGTAATAAGAAAGAAGAATGCAGCTATTTTAGGTCTTGTTGTAAAGATCCAAGTTCTGATATAAATTGAAAGCACCATATCAATTTTGCCTTTTGTGGTAGTAATTCTGTGGTCATCAGTGAAAAGAAACTTGTTTTTTTTTTTAAACCGCTTGTTCTGGATAATAAAACCTTGTTTGTCATTTAGTTAAAAGCCAAATAGGCTGAGCAGACATTGGACTTTCAGTATGAACCTGGATGAGATCAGAGACAATAATTTATTCTTAATTGCCTGTAGTATGTCAGGGTGACCCCTACCCATGTGTTTCCCACTTACCTAATATGGATGACCTGTCTTCCAGTAACAGTGAAGTTTCCATTTTGCATGGCCACTTAGCACATGCATTTAGGCAGAGGGAAGACAGCATTTCCTTAATATTCTATGCAGTCCCACTCCAGACCAATTTACTGTTACTTCTGGAAGGGTCATTGGTCTCCTGAGAGTGAGAATGCAGAGAGAGCTTGGCCTCACTCTAAGTCTATCTTAGTGCAAGGATGGACAGCTTTCCTTTTGGAAGAGTATGACATGCTGGGCTTTTCTCAGCTAAGCCTGTATCCTGCCCTTCCCAGCTGCATGCATAGGCCAAGGCTTGCCATTGTCTCAGCTGGCTCAGGTCATCAATCTGAAAATTAAATGAAGTTAAAACCACAGAGTTTAGTTATTTAATACTCTAGTTGAATTTTCCTACAACCATTTCAATTAGGAAGAAAAATCATACTGGACATAATGCAACTTAGAACGTTTAAAAAATTGCAAACATCCATGTAGATCTCATATGTATATCTATTTAAAGTATCCTTACCCTTTAGTCAGGTCAAATGTTAATTTTCATTTGAGGATATTTTCAAAGACCTTTGTATAAGTTACAGTGTCTCAAAGCCAAAATTGCTTGCCAAGGGGAAGATTTAGCTCACACAATGTAGTTACTGTCAAAAACTTCAACTTGAAATTCATCTTTTTCTTGGGGCTTTTATCATAGAAGTTCTGTGAAGGCAGATTTTTTTTTTTTTTAAATTTGTTATTACTAGTGGGAGTGTAGACTGGTGCAGCCATTATGGAGAACTCTTTGGCAGGACCTAGTCCAATTCAGTATATGCGTGTCATATGACCCAGCAAGTTCACATCAGAGGGCATGGGTGCTGATGTTTGTCTCATTATTATTTGTGGGGGCATCTGTTAGAGGCAATCTGAGTGTTCAGTGCTGGGGAAATAGGTAAAATAGGGTAAACACTTATTATCTGCACTTCTGGCACAGTCATACCCATAACCACATAGATTGATCTTAAAAACATAGTACTGACTAAAAAGATTAGAATGAGATATACATAAATTTAATATACATATTCACAAAATAACTATATATTTTTATAGGAATACATAATTCATATTAAACATGTCAGAAGTGGTTGCCTGTGAGGATGGGAAATGGGTACGAAAGGGAATAAATAAATTACACAAACAAAAGAGGGGCCTTGTTTGAACCAGTAAAAAATTCATCTAACAAGCTCAACTGGCTGTTGATAGAAATCATTGTACGAATTTCCACTGATACGACACACATAAACAGCAACCTTCCTCAGTGGTCTCATACCTTGTGACCCAGTGGTCTCATACTTTGGACTCGTTAGTTTCTATCCATGGCATACTCAGCTTATACTTTCCTTCAGATCCTTGGTACCCCTTGGAAAATCACTGAGGTTGTATGGATTTTATTTCTAGCCCACTCTTGACCCAATTTGCAACATTCCAGTTATAGATTGACAAAAAGACACACACACACACACACACACACACACACAGGCGCGCGCGCGCGCACACACACACACAGCCAGTGCCTGATTTAAATAGAGAAGGACATAGAAACTAATTGGAAGTAGGATGGCCACAGATATCATGGCAAGGCTTATTCATGGCCCCTAGTTCCCTGTTGAAGCACAACAGGTCCTGCAGACTGGGGCACTTCTGTTATACCATGTATCTTTCATGATCAAAGCTTACATCATTTTTCCAGCAGAACTTTTATTTCTGTTTAAGGGAAGGTTGATAAGCCTTATGCTTTTCATTGTGAATCATATATCATCAGCAGGCCACATTCTCATCTGGGGCAAGGACATAGTCACAGAACAGATGCTTCTAAAGAAGATCTTTGGCCGGGCGCGGTGGCTCACGCCTGTAATCCCAGCACTTTGGGAGGCCGAGGCGGGCGGATCACGAGGTCAAGAGATCGAGACCATCCCGGCTAAAACGGTGAAACCCCGTCTCTACTAAAAATACAAAAAAAAATTAGCCGGGCGTAGTGGCGGGCGCCTGTAGTCCCAGCTACTTGGGAGGCTGAGGCAGGAGAATGGCGTGAACCCGGGAGGCGGAGCTTGCAGTGAGCCGAGATCCCGCCACTGCACTCCAGCCTGGGCGACAGAGCGAGACTCCGTCTCAAAAAAAAAAAAAAAAAAAAAAAAAAAAAAAAAGAAGATCTTTGCCTCCAGTTGCCAGTGCTCTGGAAGGCCAATTTCCATGCACATTGTTACTTGAATTTGCATTTTTCTGACTAGCAGTGATTCCTGTTAGCAGCACTGTGAGAAGATCAAGTTGGACCGTTTAGTTGTGGAAAATTATAACGTCAATAGTTTTAGGTCTTTTGGCCTGCTAAAACTCTTCAGGGAAAGTAAAGGCTTTGTCGCCAACTTTCTGGTAACTGCATGGGGGAAAAATCTGGAAGTCTTAATGTATAGTATGGATACATTTAATGAATTGTTCTGTTTTCAGTATGATGCCCCATCCCATTCTCAACTACACTTGGTGTCCTCTTATTTTACCATCTCCAAAATTTAAAAAATAAGCTATTTTGCCAGGATAGGAGAGGGTATTTAGGGAAGCTTACTGCTCATTTATTTCTTTTGTCCATTTTTCTATTTTGCTGTTTTTCTCTTGTCAATTTATGAGACCATTTGTCTATTTACTTTAAAGTATTTTTTGTCTATTTACTTTACGTCTATAATTTGTGTTTTGCTTTATAATTCTTCATCCAAATAATTTTAAATTTTTATATAGTTAAATATGTCCAGATATCCTTTTGATAAATGTCAGGCTTCCTCTCTTGGTTAAGAAAGTCTCTACTATTTCTGTATTTTACATGTAGTCTCTTGAATTTTTTTCCAAGATTAAAAACAATTCTTAGAAAACCAAGTACCACATGTTCTCACTTATAAGGGGTAGCTAAGTTATGGGTATGCAACGGCATACAGAGTGGTATAATGGACACTGGAGACTCAGGAGTGGGGAGGGTGGCAGGGGAGAGACATAAAAATCTACCTAATGGATATAAGGTACACCTAATGGATGTAAGGTGATGGGTACAATAAAATCCCAGACTTTGCCACTATACAATTCATCCATGTAACCAAAACCCATAAAGCTATTGAAATAAAGAATAAAAAATAAAAAATTATTTATATTTTACACTTGATCTCTATGCATCTGTAATTTTTTTAAAGTAATGTGATAGGCATTATTTTCTTCCATATGAATAGCCAGCCAGTTCTAAGTATTACTCACAAAATAAACCATTTCTACTTGTTAAATTAAAAATAGTACTTTGCTTTAAATTTTATTATCATTTATAATGGGATGCTATTTCTTGATTGTCGATTCCGTTCTACTGATCTCTTTGTTCCTGCACAAATATCACATTGATTGGCCCCCTGGACAAAGGAAAGATCCTGTGGGTATCCAGACCAAACAAGTCAAATACAAAGTATCCCAAATCAGGATAATTTCAGAATAACTAACCCAGGAAGCTAGAAGGCACTGGAGGCAACATCTTTAAAAATATGGAGGAAAATGTTTCTAATCTAGAAATTCTGTTGCAGAGGAATGATCAGTCAAGTGTGGTGATAGAATACAGGCAGTTTAAGACATGCAAGATTCCAAAATACTTACCTCATGCACTCTTTCTTGGAAAGCTACTGCCCTCCAAAAAAGTCAGGGAAAAGACCAATATAGAGGAAAACAAGGGATACCAGAAAGAGCAATGCACTAGAGGAGAGAGGCAAAGGAAGCCCCCAGGAGGTTGTGAAGGAAGAGCCCAGGAGAGGCGTGGTGCATCAGGCAGAGATGAAAACCAGTGTGGATTAGAGCAGGTCAGAAATATCCAAGACAGGCTTCTTCAGGAGGATGAAACTGTTAGAAATCAGATGTGTCTGATTGTCCCGAGAGGAGACTGAGGAAACTGACAGAATTAGGGCTAGAATTAGTGGTAAATATGTAGAACACAAAGCAAATGATTAAACAGTAACAAAATTACTTCACCTTCCAGAGAAAATTAAAAAATGCATGAAAGGAAAAATGAATACAGTTCATGTCATAGCTCATCTATGGATGGTATTTATATAACTGTACTATCGAAGTCCATGATTGTTGATCTTCCTTGTATTACTTTATTAGTGGTGAGAAAATGGACAGGGCCCAGTGTGTGGCAGGAGCAGGAGGATGCAGATCTTTGTCTTCCATAATTGGAGATAACACATGGAAAAATCAAAATAGTATAAACATATTATTTAGAGCTGGGATAGATAGTCTAAAATAATTACTCAAAAGAGATGCAAATGATTGCCTTCAGGAGGGAAAAAATTAGAGGCGGGAGCCAAGGAAGTGCTATTTTTCATAAACAAAAAAACCCAGAAAAGTAAGCAAAGTAATTTTCAAATCAAAACTTCCCAGGTGCATTTTGTTCTGTTTTCAGTTATTATGTGCATGATTATTTTGATACTACTTTAGAAAATGTTTTAAAAACTAGCATGAAATTTAGTGATTCCTACTGTCCACAATAACAGTATCATTCCAAAATTCAGCTTCCTCTTGGATCTAGTGTCCACTTCTTCCCCGGACAGTAGAAGTGGGTAAGTAAATACCTTGAGAAACAGAGTCCCAACATGGGAGGCAATGCAGGGTTCAGATAAGTAGTTCTTCACTTTGGTTCAGATTAAAATGGTGGATGCATATATATAAAGCATGCCTGCTGTATTTTTGTCCTTGCTGCATTTCTGGCTTCAAGCAAAAGTACTAAAAATCAGTGAGCTTTTCTGAAACTTTCAGTCCTGGTGTTCAGATTCAAGACTTTAATAAGTTCAAGTCAGTTTGGGAAAAAGCAGCTCAACTCTGATTCAGACTTCTGTCTTAGGAAGTTTGACTTCCTGCTTTTTATCGTCTCACATCTTTTCTAAAGGTATGTGTTTTCTTTCTCTGGTTCACATGCCTGCCAATTAATTTGTATCAAAGCCTGCTCCTCTTCTTTCAACATGGATCTGTTCAGAGAAGCATTTCAGGGGCAAGTGACCACCTACTCTTTTACGCTGTTCCATTAAATGTGCCTCTGTGTCATCTTTATCCATCTCTGTGGGCTTTTAAATCTGGAGTCCTTCAACAATGGCATCTTTGTTCTCTATCCAGTGGATGACTCTTACCATTGGAAAGCGGCGTTACGGGAACATGAAGGGATGGTGTTAATTTATGTGATTCAGCGTTGAGAGGTATAATCTTAACCTAGAAGGGGAAAAAATGTGACTTAGGGAAATGTGTATAATATATTTTAACATCTATGGGATTATGCTGTAATTTGGTTTCACATTTTATTCACATTCTATGTGTGCATGTTTTCCTGTCAGTGATCAGTTATGTCACAAGGCTTTGGACATTTTTGGGCATGGTTGTTAATGGCCTCATGGTTTGATTCCTTTTCCTCTGTGTTTGGCCAAATGTGTGTAATATGTATATGTCACCCAGAAAGAAACACTCAGGGTCCATGCAATTCATAGTCTTCTTTCAATAATAACTCCATAACTATTGTTGGTTGAGCATATTTGAATCCACATTCTTATTGATACATATATACAATTGAGTATACAAGTGGGTTCTGGTATTGTTGACTACTTCCTTAGTAAGGTAACATGATAACCCTAACAAGTATGGCTAAATGAATATTTTGTTGCAGTATGGATACTCTTTTCTTTTTCTAATTGGTCTGTTCTGAATTGTGATGCCCGTTTCTTGCCTCCAGGCCTTTATTGCTGAATACTGCTATGTATTCATACACTTATTCAAAGTATGGTCTTTAAGTCCTGAGGTTTTATCAATTAAGGCCTGTGTAAAGCTTGGGTCCCCTAGGTATGCTCTGCAGATTGTTCTATGGAGCACTACAGTTCTATGTCTTTCCCTGAGCACCCAAGTTTGTATTGGTAGTTCTTTGGTGCTGCACACTCTTTGCAGGATCATGCTTGGGTAGTGAAGTGCTCTTAATGCTGTGGCCACTGGAGGGAGAAGTGAATACTACTTTCATGGGAAGAATCTTTTTCTGCTTAGAGTCTTGTCTTAAAACTCAACTGTTCTTTCCTCAAGCTTCAGCACTTCCTGTGGATCAACATTAGCTCAGGTCAGTATTATTTAATCACTTAGTGTCTATCTGCAATGGGAGGTGATGGAGGGGGAGTTATACATATGTGTGTGTATATGTGTAAGTATAAATGGGTATATATATTTATTTTATATATATATATATATATATATATATGAAAGATGTAAAATCACAAAAATTTATACTGAGTATGCCAATGGGAATGGGTCTTCCAGCCCAGTATTCAGTTTTCTTAGCAAAGAGCCAAGGGGAATTGTGGGGAAGAGAATATGGTATTTGTTCTCTCACTTCTATGTCTCAAAATGTGCAGAATTCAGAATGACCTTAGCTTTTTCTTTGTCGTCTATTTTGATGCTATTATCTAGAAATTGTAAATAAAATCTTTTTGGGATATATTTCTTCATGCATTTTACATATTTTCTATGTGGATATATAACTCTTAGAATGGGAAATATATGCTAAGTCTTTATTTTCAACCTATCTGTCTTTAATATAAGGTGCTTTTTTATTAAATGGCAAATATTTGGGTCTTGTGCTTTTTAACCAGTCTGAAAATGTTTGCCTTTTACATGGAGTGCTTACTTTCTTTATGGTTAATGTAATTATTGATGTGGTTGAATTTTGGTCTGCCATCTTGGTATTTGATTCTATTTGTCCCATCTTTTCCTTAACCCTTGATGCCTTCTTTTCTGATTCTTTGAATCACTGTATTCAGCATTTCTTTTAATTTGCTCTATTGATGTCTTATTTATACCTCTTTGTGTAATTTTTAGTGGTTGCTCTAGAGATAATGTAATTTGAAGGTAAACTCTTTAAAAGCACATGAAAATGTTAGAAGCTTATGTCAGTGTAATTCAATTCTTGCCCCCACCAGCTCTTCCAGTTGGTTCTTGACTATAGTTTCTGTCTCTGCTAAAATTCCTTATCAGCTCATATATGTTAAAATTTTATAACTAGTTTCTTTTATGTATTTATCATAATTATTTTAAAGTCCCTGTTTGGTAAATCCAATATCTGAACTCTCTCCAGATTTGCTTTTATTCCCATTTTTCTCCTTCTGGATCATGGGCCACATTTTTCTTGCTTCTTCACATCTCATAATTTTATAAATTTTATGCCAAGCATTATACGCAAAAGAGTAGTATAAACAATACTTACCACCATACAAGTGATATTGCTTCTTCTTTCAAGCTGTTAATGTGAGGAACAAAATCAATCTAATCTGTAGTTGTACTGGATCTAGGCTTTGTCCACTTTTAGTTACACGCAGTTACTGCTGGCTTCACATGTTTGAAATTAGGTTTAAGATGTGTCCTTCGGCAGAGTCTGGTGAGACTCCAGAGATCCTGTTTGCCAGCTTTAAGTGTCACTGGGAGTTCTCTTTGACTTTTAGTCCTGCCCCTAATTTTCTGCACTGCAGAGACCTCTCTCCCCCTAGCTGCCCTGCCCTTGCCTCTGGAGGACTGTTGAACTATCCTCTGTTAAGGCCCAGAGTACTTTGGAGAGATTTTTCTTGGCATTAAGAGAACTGCTTCAGGCACTTCGTTATTTATGTAAGATACTTTAATAAGTTGAGGTAAAATTCACATAATATGAAATTAACCACTTTAAAATGAAGGATTCAGTAGCATTTAGTGTATTCACAATATTTTGCAAATACCACCTCTATCTAGTTCCAAAACATTTCCATCATTCCAAAATTAAACTCTTTACCCATTAAGCAGTTTGTCCCAACTAGCACCCTCTCTCCAGCCTGTGGCAACCACCAATGTGTGCTCCGTCTCTATGGATTTATATGTTCTAGATATTTCATATAAATGGAATCATAAAATACACAATGCTTTCTGTCTGGCTTCTATGACTTAGCATAATGTTTTGGAGGTTTCTGTTGGTGTTGTGCCCTGCTCTCAGTTTTCAGAGTCCATGCCCTTCACTTGGTGAAGGTCTGGAGTGACTTGGAGGGATTTCTTTCCATTTTTCTGGCTTGCCCTCAGGCTTCCTGGTATTTGTCTTTGGCGAAGGCTCTCTCAGCTCTCCTTACCTACCCTTGACACTCAAGTCCCATGGAAACGAGCTCACAGGTTGGGGAAGACTTGCCTGTGATTAGGGTTCCTGAGGTTCTCATTCATCACACCATCCCACGGGGTCATTAAAGGTTCCTTCAAAGTTTGGCTAGTTTCTCCTTATCCCTGTCTTTGGCAGATTTGTCTTCTTTTGGCTGTTCTGTCAGGGAGTAAAGAAACAGTGGCTCTCTTCTCTCCCAGATGGATTAATCACTTTCTGGAGTTTAGTTTATTTGGGTTTCTTTGCATCCTCAGCAATCTGATGAACCTTTAAAAAAATGTAAACTTGTAAATTGTTGAGCTTGTTTTAATGGCTAGGTTTGAGGTGGCAGTGTCTTGTGACTCTCTATTTATTCTTTTAAAAATTATAATATATATTTATTCTTAAAATGCATTTTATTTATATATTCATTCATTGTTTTTGAAGTCTCAGATAATTACATTTTTTATTGTGGTAAAATACACATAATATCCACATGAGTGTAAGGTGGTATCTCATTGTGGTTTCGATTTGCATTTCCCTAATGATTAGTGATGCTAAACATCTATTCATGTGTTTAATGCCATTCATGTATCTTCTTTGGAGAAATGTCTATCCAAATTCTCTGCCCATTTTTAAATTGAGTCATTTGATTTTGTTGTTGTTGAGTTCGGAGTTCTCTATATATTCTGTATTTTAATCACTTATCAGATATACAATTTGCAAGGACTTTCTTCCATTCTTTAGGTTGCATTTTCACTTTGTTGATAATGTTGTTTGATGTACAAAAGCTTTTAATTTTATGCAGTCTGATTTGTCTGTATTTTGTTGTTGTTGCCTGTGCCTTTGGTGTCATATTCAAGAAATCATTGTGAAATCCCGTGTGGAGAAGCTTTTGCCCTATGTTTTCTACTTAAGACTTCTATAGTTTTAGCTCTTACATTTAAGTATTTAATTCATTTTGAGTTAATTTTTGTATACAGTGTTAGTAAGGGTTACATTGTTTGGATTACTGGAGCTGCTTTGTAATAAGTTTTGAGATAAAGAAGTATGATTCCTCCAGCTTTGTTGTTCTTTTTCAAGATTGTTTTGGATATTTGGGGTTTCTTGCGATTTCATATGAATTCTACCATGGATTTTTTGATTTCTACAAAAAATATAGTTGGGATTTTGATAGGGATTGCATTGGATCTTTAGATAATATTGGGTGGTATTGACATTTTAACAGTATTGCATTTCAGTACATGAGCAGGGATACCTTTTCATTTATTTATGTCTTTTAAAATTTCATCAATGTTTTGTAGTTTTTATTGTACAAATCTTCACCTCTTTGGTTAAGTCCTAAGTATTTTATTTTTTCTGATAGTACTGTTAATGGAATTGTTTTCTTAATTTCCTTTTCAGATTGTTCATTATTAGTGTATATAAATACAACTGATTTTTGTGTGTTCATCCTTTTGCGGTCAGAGAACATACTTTGTATGGTAGTGATCTCTTTCAAATCTATTGAGATTTCATTTGTGGCCTATTATAATATAAGGTCTATCCTGGAAAATGTCCCATGTGACCTTGAGAAGAATATGTATTCTATTGTTGTTGGGTATAGTGTTCTGCATAAGCTGTATTGTGTTGATCTAGTTGTATTGTGTTGTTCAAGTTCTCTATTTCCTTACCTATCCTCTGTCTGGTTGATCTATCTATTATTTAGAGTGGGGTGTTGAAGTCTTCGACTATTACTGTATTTGTTATATCTTCTTTCTTTATGGAATTTTTTATTGATATACAATGTCCTTCTTTGTGTCTTGTAAACTTTTTTGATTTAAACTCATTTTTGTCTGATATTAGGATAGCCACACTTGTTCTCTTTTGAGAATTATCTGCATGGAATGTCTCTATCCTTTCACTTTCAGGCTATTTGTATCTTTGGAACTAAAGTGAGTCACTTGCAGATTGCATGTAGTGGGATCATTTAAAAATTTATTATGCCAATCTCTGTCTCTTAAATGGAGAGTTTAATCCATTTACATTTAAAGTAATTACTGATAAAGAGGAACTTCTGTCACTTTGCCTCTTATTTTCTATAATGCCTTACAACTATTTTATTCCTCATTTCTTGCATTATTGTCTTCTTTTGTGTTTGACTGATTTTTTTCTGTAGTGAAATGTTTTAATTCTCTTCTCATCCCTTTTTGTGTATATTCCAAAATGACTTTCTTTGTGGTTACTATGGAAATTACATTTAACACCCTAAAGTTATAACTCTCAAATTTGAATTTAGACTAGCTTAATTTCAATAGCATACAAATACTCTGCTTCCTTACAGCCTTGTCCGTATCCCTTTAGTTACTGATATCACCACATTACATCTTTTTACATTGAGTATCCATAAACATAAACTAATAATTGGTTTTTAAAATATGTTACTCTCTTAAATTACGTAGAAAACAAAAAATGAAATTATAGAAAAACATTATCAAAACACAAGCTTTTAGATTAATACTTGTTTTTAAAATATATGTTAGTCTTTGAAATCACATAGAAAACAAAAAGTGGAGTTACAAACTGTCATTACAATAATATTGGCTCTTGTAATAGCCCATATATTTACATTTACCGAGATCTCTATTTCTTCATAAAGTTTTTAGTTATTGTCTAGTATCCATCCTTTAATTTCATCCTGTAGGATCCTCTTTAGCATTTCTTGCAGAGCAGGTCTAGTGATAATGAACTTCCTTAGCTTTTATTTTTCTGGGAATGTTAATTTCTCCCTCACTTTTTATGGACAGTTTTGCTGTCCATCAGCAAATCAAGAACAGGATTCTTGATTTACAGGGTTTTTTTTCTCTTTTAGCATGTTAAGTATTTCAGCCTACTGCCTTCTGTCCTTCAAAGTTTCTTCTGAGGAATCTGCTGCTAATTGTATTGATGATAACTTGCATGTGGTGAGTGGCTTCTCTCTTGTTGCTTTCAAGAGTCTCTTTTTGTCTTGACTTTTGACAATTTGATTATAATATGTCTCAGTGTGGATCTCTTTGAATTCATCCTACTTGGAATTTATTGAGTTTCTTGAACCTTAATGTCTTTTGTCAAACTTGGAAATTTGTGGGGTTTTTTATTTTGTTTTGTTTTAAATAGAGACAGGGTCTTGGTCTGCTGCCCAGGCTGAAGTGCAGTGGCACAATCACAGCCTACCACAGCCTCGAACTCCTGGGCTCAAGTGATCCTCCCACCTCAGTCTCCCAAGTAGCTGGGACTACAGGCATATGTCTTCACATCTGGCTATTTTTTTTAAAAAATCTTTTTGTAGAGACAGGGCCTCTGGTCTCACTATGTTGCCCAGGACTGTCTTGAACTCCTAGCCTGCACAGCCTGCAGCTGTGCTTTGGCTTTCCAAAGTACAGCTGCCACTTTGGTACTTCCTGCCACTTTGGCTTCCCAAAGTACTGTCATTACAGGTGTGAGCCAGTGTACCCAGCCAAACTTGGGAAGTTTTTAGCCATTTCTTCAAACGATCTCTGTCCCTTTCACTCTCCATCCTCCTTCTGGGTCTCCTGCAATGTGTATGTTGGTTTGATTGATGGTATTGCACAAGTCTCTTGGTTGTCTTAACTTTTCTTTAATCTTTTTTCTTTCTTTTCCTCAGACTCAATAATTTCAATTTTCCTATTTTCAAGTTTACTGATCCTTTCTTCTGTCTGCTCAGATCTGCCTTTGTGTCCCTCTAGTGAATTTTTTCATTTCAGTTATCGTATTTTATAGCTCTAGAATTTTCTTTTTGATTTCATTTTGTATTTTCTGTTTATTGATATTTCCATTTGTAATGCATTGTTTTCTTGACTTCCTCCACATATTCCTTTAGTTCTTTGAGCATCTTTAAGATAGTTGTTTTAAAATCTTTGTTTAGTAGGTTTGCCATCTGGTCTTTCTCAGAGATGATTACTGTTGTCTTATTTTTTTTGAATGGGCTATACTTTTCTGTTTTTTTTTTTTTAATTCCCCGTGCTTTTTTCTTTTTTTGCTGTTGAAAACTGGTCGTTTGGATCTAATAATGTGATAATTATGGTAATTGGATTTTCTCCCTTTCCCTGGAGTTTGCCATTTTTTGCTTTTGTTTCGTTTTGTTTTGATTTGATTATTGTAGGCTGTCTCCATGCCAAGAATCAAACTGAGGTGTAAAGTTAATGTATTTGCTCATTTTTTCTGAGCCTACTTCTTTCCTCAGGCATAAGCAGTGACTTGAAATGTCCCTCATATATGTAGTTATTTTTGAATGTCCTAGTGTTTAACATCTGGCTGTCAAAAGGGAAAGAACAGAATGAAGTGGGGAAAGATTGCTGGCCCTTTAAATATCCTGGAAGTTGTCTCAGCCTGAGTAGGCGGGGCTTGCAACTATGAAAGAGGGTTGCAACAAAGGCCACCTGCTGCTGTGTCTGCAACTCCATGATCAGAGGCAGTAATTAGCTACCAAAACACGGATCCCTGATATTTAGGGAACAGGGTCCTCCTTATCGCCCACCTTGCTCCTGCAAGCTGTGTGCTAGCTGCTCTAGGAACATGGGCATGACTGCTTGCTAGGAGGCTGGGGTGAGGGATGGGTAGCTGCTGCTTAGATAAGAGCTAAAATTGACCAAGATTAACTGCAATTTACTGTTCAGTGCTTCCTCTGGACCTTGCAAGCCTTCAATAGGCTCCAGAGTTCCAAAATAGTTACATCACACAGATTCTGCCAGTGCAATTGTCTAGGTGGGGAGACAGAGTCCTGGTGCTTCCGACTCTGCCAACTTCCCAGAACCCTCTGCCTATATTATATTTTACATATAAAATACATCACTGTAATGTAAATTATGAAATAGACTCTTATGAAGCTACAGCCAACTTAATGACAAAAACATCATGCTGCTCCTCAATCCCATCCTTTTGCTTCCTCTTTAAGAGTTTACTACCAGCACACATTTCTCATTTATGACTTTCTTACATTGAAAAACATTTTTCCACATAAGTATGCATCCCTACAAAATATATTCCTTAGTTTTACCTGTTTTCAAGCTCAAGTGATTGTCCACATTGAAAACAAATAAAATTGAATCCTTACTTTAGTCCATACCCCCAAGTCAATTTCCTTACTCTTTATCCCATGCCAATTGGACTTCTGCTTTGACTATTTTACGAAAACCAATCTTGACAAAATGTCCACTGACCTCTCCTGTGTCAGATCCAATGTCCACTCTCCTCTCGTTATCCTAGTTGGCCTTTCAGGACTACTCATCATAGCAAATGTTTTTTTCTCAAAGTCGTCTTCCTTTCAGCTTCTGTGATATTGCTCTGTTCTGGTCTATTGTCTTTCTCCATGGCCTTTCCTACCCAGTCTTCACCTTGGCATTTACTTTTCTACCCAATCTCTACATTTCGGAGCTCCTCGGTGCTCAATCCTAGGTTCCCCTCCCTTATCCTTTCATAATTTCTCGTCAGATAATCTAATTCATGCCCATGGATTTATATGCCACTACCTGCTGATGACTTCTGAATTTACACCTTGAATCTAGCGTTTTCCTTGGACCTCAAAACTCATGTATAAATCAACATATATCTCTGGTTTTATACACTTGGGTGTACACCAAACACTTCAAAAATTAATATTATCGCAACCGAACTCATAATATTTTTGTGAAACTGCTCCCCTCTCAGTCTTCTTCATCTCAACAATCTATTTAGTTGCTCAAGTCAGAAACCTGAGAATTTTACTTTATTTGGGGTACTCTTGCTCACTGCACTCAATTCATGGAATTTCTCATATATAGTCCTCATAATGTATCTCAGGTTCTGCTTTTCACCATCTCTACTGCCACCACCTTTGTCCAGATTATCTACTTTTTTTTTTTTTTTTAATAAGAGTCTCGCTGTGTCACCGAGGCTGGAGTGCAATAGCACAATCTTGGCTCACCGCAACCTCTGCCTCCTGGGTTCAAGCGATTTTCCCGCCTCAGCCTCCCGAGTAGCTGGGATTACAGGCACCTGCCATCATGCCCGGCTAATTTTTGTGTTTTCGTAGAGATGGGCTTTCACCATGTTGGTCAGGCTGGTCTTGAACTCCTGACCTCAGGTGATCTGCCCACTTCAGTCTCCCAAAGTGCTGGGATTACAGGCATGAGCCACTGCGCTCAGCCTAGATTATCTACTTCTATTGCCTGGTCTACTGCAACAGCTTCCTAATTGATTTTCCCACTTCTCAACTTGCTGTCTTTCAATATAGCATCTACCAATCAGCTACAGAAGTCTTCCTGTAAATGTAGATCTAACAATGATACGTTTCTGCTTAATAAAGTTTAGTATAATTAAAACAAAATCCATACTCCTCCTCACAACAAAATGGACCTGCATAGCACCTCCTGCTCACCTATTTTCCACTTGAGCCACACTCTCCTTTGCTCACCATGTTTCAGACACTCTGTCCTTCTTTCCGTTCCTAGAAGAGGTGAAGATTTTCCCCATCTCAGAGCCTGCCTATATCTTCTTTCCTATGACTAGAATGCTCTCCCAAGGCTCTTTAAATGGTTAATATCTTCTCACTGTTTAAATCTCAGTCTAGTGGCTTTCTCAGATTTTTCCTGGTCATTCTATTCAAGTGTGTTCTTCTCCCCACTTATTCTAAATGCCACTGCAAACCACCTCTTTCCACTGTTATTCTCTGTCTTAGTTTCCTGGGGCTGCTATAACAAATTACCACAAACTAGAATGCTTAAAACAACAGAATCTTATTCCCTCACAGTTCTTGAGGGCAGATGTCCAAAATGAAGGTGTTGGCAGGGACATACTCCTTCCAGAAGCTTTAAGGAAGAATCCATGCTTTGCCTCTTCCAGCTTCTGGTCACTGTCAGCATTCCTTGACTTGTGGCTGCATCACTCCAGTCTCTGCCTCCATGGTCACATTGCCTCCCACCTTCTGTTTGTGTTATCTTTCTTTGCTTTTCTCATATAAGAATACTTGCGATGACCATTGTATACATGTATTGAAATATCACCCTGTATCCCATAAATATGTACAGGTATTATGTTTCTACTAAAAATAAAAGGAAAAAACTCAGTTGCACCCTACACTTCACATTTTAAAATGATTAAAAAGCACAACTTTTTTCTCTTTAGATACCTTGGGGTTCCTTCTTTTGAGGTGGTATGAAGCGGTCTTGCATTATATCATAGGATGAAGAGGAAAGATATAAACAAGGTATAAACTGTGATAATTGTGAATTGAGCCTCTTCAGGCTGCATTTCATGTGCATGAACGAAATCTTAACTAGTATCTTTATTCAGACACAGAAACCTGAATGGATGAATATTCAAAATGTGTTGATGAGTTCCACACCCTCTTTCAAACATAAGTGCCAAGTCCTTCCCTTAATTATACCCTGAGCAA
This sequence comes from Homo sapiens, assembly GCF_000001405.40. Lineage (NCBI taxonomy): Eukaryota > Metazoa > Chordata > Mammalia > Primates > Hominidae > Homo > Homo sapiens. The sequence goes on from NC_000003.12 coordinate 59,153,219, forward strand.
AATAAGTTATGTAGAAGAAGAAGTAAAAAGAGTACTTGTGATGGCATTTTGGGCCACCAGATAATTTGAGGTAATCTTAACTCAAGATCCTTTTTTCAATCACATCTGCATAGACCCTTTTCCCAAATAAGAACATTAACACATTTCAGAGATTATGACTTGATGTCTTTGGGTGGCCATTATTCAACCTACTACATACTCTATCTGGCTTTCTGATCATCAAATTCAGAATAATTTTTCTATACAAAATAAATTTTATATTTATTTTTTATTTTCTAGTTTATCGTCAGTTTTCTTTATGCCAGTGCTATGCAATAGAAATGTAATGAGAGCCACATATATAGCTTTAAATTTTCTAGCAGCCACATTAAAAAGTGAAAAGAAACAAGTGAAGTTAAGTATAATAGCATATTTTATTTAACTGAATGTATGCAAAATATTATCATTTAAACATGAAATCAATATGAAAATTATTACTGAGAGGTTTTGCTTTTTTGGGGGGTACAAAGTCTCCTAAATCTGTCTGGTGTATATTTTGTACTCACAACACATCTCTATTCAGACTGGCTACATTTCAAGTACTCAGCCACAAATGAATAGCAGCTAGTACTGAATTGGACAGTCAGCTCTAGACATGTAAAACACGTCTATTGTGCTTTTCAGGGCCAACACAGTGCTTGAAACATTAGAAATGCTGTATATATGAATATATATGATACACACATGCTATGCATATATATGAATAAGTTATTGGATGAGTAAAAGAAGACCAGCAAAATCTCATGCCCAAATATATTACATTTCCTTTAACATCAAAATAGATATCTATTTGCAGAGCCACATTTATCTGAATTTAACTGTGAGTGGAAAGTTAAGAATTAGTGATTATAAAACAGCTTTTTCTGTACATCAGCTTATTTTTTTGCTTGTGCTATTTCTCTGGATGATAAATTTCACAACTTATTCTAGTATATAAGAATGTTTTATGTAAACTTTAGGGGCATTTGTGAATGTTTAATATTCTAGGATTTGGTGAATTGTATCTTAATGCATATTTATTGTAATATTTTCTTTAGTTGTGGTGAATTCGGTGAACCAAAATTTCTATGGAATTTGTCCTCTTAAATATTTATTGCCACATAATATTTTAGGTTTGAACAGTGGGGAGATACAGCATCTCATAGAGAAATCAGAACACGAATGAAATTCAGCCTATAATAGTTTATATATCATTTTGAACTGACTAAAGCTAGGCAAATCATGCATATTCACTTAAAAATATTAAGTTATAGAGGGCAAATTTTTATTTAATAATAGAATAAAATGAAAACCTCCTAAATCAGTGGGAAGAATCCTCAGAAGTGGAAGGAAAACTCTACATCAACTTAAACATTTCAAGACAACCAATTTCACTAATTTAAAACAACTTCCAGAGCCAAGGATCCAAGCAAATGAGCCTTTCTCTTTAAACATTCTCACTCATCTTGGGAGCATTAAAATTAGTAGAACTTATGATCTTGAGTTCTATTCATTTGAGAATGTGTTTTCAGTAAGCACACATATTGGGGTTGGGATCTGACAGTCCCTTATATATAACCACCATGAATACACATTGAATTTTTTACCATTAATATTTCAAGGGGTTTGATTCATAATTTTACAAGCTGAACACCCCCATGAATTGAACTAATATTGAAAAAAAATCTTACTGCAGACCAATGGGATGCACTATATTCATAACATATTAATATTAAAAGTAATAAGACAATATTTCAACCCACAGCCTGATCCTTTTCTATAGAACTCTGGAGTGGGTAAGGTGATAGGAAATGCAGTGGAGAGGAGGAGGGAAGGATTAGAGAAGTCTTAGGATCATGTTTTGCAAAGATCTCATCGATGAGTGGGTCAGGACTTCATTTCTGCGAAGCAAATTTTAAAAATTGATTATCACCAAATCTTCTCTGACATGATCGTTTTGCCTAGATCTATCAGTGTCTACTTTCCCCAGTTCCATCTACTGTAGTTTCTGACACCTTCCCCCAGGAAGCATAGCCTGGTTCAGATTTTGAGCCAGTTTTGATGAAGGCAGGAGGTACACTCAGCACCTCAATTTTGCCAGTCAGTGGTATCTGAGTGTAGTTGTGTTACCATAGAATTATTTTTCATTGTACTTAGGAAAAGCTTTAAAAGCTGGATGAGGCCACTCAACATGGTGCTTTCCTTACATACCCTGCGTCACACTCTTTTTCCCCATTGGAATGCTGTTAGCCCACCTTTGTCAGTCTTTTATACCTGGAGGTGGATGTTATCTTTCAATTACAATGAAAGATAAAAAACAACACAAACCTTAGACCTGCTTCTCCAGGATTTAACTGTGGTGGTTTTTGGTTTTTAACTGTGTGGTTTTTATAAGATCATCTTATTAGAATGGGCCTTAGGTGGTATGTGAAAGCCACATCTAAGAACTTATAAATTGATTTATTTATTTACAGACAGGGTCTTGCTCTGTTGCCTAGGCTGGTCTTGAACTCCTGGCCTCAAGCAATTTACATGCCTTGGCCTCCCAAAGTATTGGGATTACAGGCATGAGCCACCGGGCCTGGTAACTTATAAATATTGATATCAAAGGGTGAGAAGTAGGTAATGATCATTTTAAGAATTGTGTAAATTTCTGAGTAATAAGCTCAAAATTTAATAGATGCCATATAATTTGAACTTAAAATAATCTCTAAGCATGTTTATAAAAATTACATGTGTTGATGAAGATTTTTTACTAAAAGAATTTTTGGTATTTTCAGTGTTTACTTATGCAATGAAGTATTTAAACGTTTAAAGAACTATAAAATGGCCTAACCCTGAGAACTTGAGACTACCTAAAATAAATGCTAATAAAATATTAAAGGACAGATCAAATACATCAAAAGTCTAAAAGAAGTTCATCACACTGTAGAAAAACTTCGATGAAGAAAGAACAGTGACTTGGAACAAGAAGAGAAAAACTTCACAGGACTAAAGAAATAGAAGAACACACATAAATGATTGTAAATTGCAATCATGTAGAAGAACATAATACAATAAGTATGTTATAATGTGATTTTATTATAATATACATTACATAATATATACATGTTTCATATAATACAGTTATAAACATGTAATATGTGTAATACAAAATGTGATATATATTATGGTATGTACTTTATTATAATATAATATGTGAGCCCTGAAATAAATAGAAATCATCATTGCACATTACATTTACATATTGCACCACTGGATACAAATATACTCTCATAATCAAAAGAATCTAGTTTCTCATACATTTAGCTGTTTGAGTACCATTCACAATTTCCAGGGACAGATTTTGACTTTATCTATTCAGACCTTTAAAAACCCGTCGAGTGTGGACAATTCAAAAGTGTAATTCTTGGAATCACATAGTGTATCTAAGAAACATTAGGTATTTAATCTTGCTAATAGTAAACTTTATGGATATGTTACTAAAATTCATTTATATTTTATTAATAATTATTAGGATCTTGAAGAATAATGTGCATTATGTCAGGTCAGCTGAATTTCCGTAAATTCCATCTGCTCTTTGATTTCAAGATGTGAATGCTTTTCAATTATGAAACTCATGAAAGTCAGTTGAAATTTATTTATCATGTCCACTTCCATCCCTTCACCTAAGCTCTCACACAAACTTAGATCTCCTTGCAAGGTGCCAACTGCAAGAAGGAGGTCCAAAGTGACAAGACTTCTCTGGACACTGTTCATTGACGGTTGACTGCTCTAGACGTAAACGAATCCTACAATAACTGGATTCATTTTCTTAGCCTTCCATTCTTTCTTATTTCTTGCTCACTCCTTTCTCTGGTATCCTGTATTAATTAGGCAGTGAATAAGACAAAGAACAATACCTCTTTGTGTTCCTACAGATTCAGTTACTATCACTAACTGAATCCCCAAGCATGCAATTTAGCATCTCTCTACTTAGGTCAAAGCATGTTGCGAAATTCGCAAGACTCCAATCCTACTTAATTTTCATTTATTTTAATATTATATAGCGCAGAGTCCTTGTAAGAGGAGTAATGGTATTCTGTGAAACCACATAAGCAACAACAGGGTGCTATATTTCCCCAAAGACAGGAACTCGCCAGTATTGACAACTTAAGTGGCAAATCTACCCAATACCGCAGTAGTTAAGACCCATTTGTTTTCAGGAAGTGGAGTGAATGAGCTGCTTCTCCTCCTGGTATGCCTCTTCTAGTAGGTCTAGTGATAAGATGTCATGTCTCAGCCACCCTCTTAGTGGTGCACATTCTGGAAGGGACTACAGAGTTTCCAGAGGTGCCAGCAAAAGGCTCTGCCAATGTAAGTATCCCTACATGAGTAGGTTGGGAGTGGATTTAGACATTGCTTGAAATAGGGACCTTTACATCTATATTAGTTTTTTTTAAAATAAATTATTATGTGTCTATTAGTAGCTTCACTTTATTCTTCTGATTTGTCCTGTTCCTCACCCCATCCCTTGCATAATCCACACCAAACCTCATTCTGTCCTTGAGCTTCATTCAACCTGTGCTTTCCATTCAACTCCAGAGCCATACTCTGTGTCTTACTCCATCTCTCACTGAGGTGCTGGACACTCAGGGATGGGTGAGGGATGGAGTGTGGATTAGGGGCAAGTTAGGATGAAGGGTGAAATGAGGCTCTTTCACAAGGTAATGGTTAGAAATATCACTGCAGAAATTATTTGTAATTTTAAAAATCACGTTTTTAAGTTCTGACTCATATCAGTCAATGTGACACTATTGGAGTAGCTGTGTCAAAACATTCTATTAATCTGCCACTTAACTACACGAAAATGTCTTCTTTTTGGCCTTCAGTGACCTCAACAACTCTTCACCTTGAACATTGATGGTGGAGAGATTATTGGTGCTGTCAAAGTTTGCCCTATAAATTTATCAAGAGAAACAGGGAAAAGGGTGAGTTCTTGGAACTTGCTAGCAGAATAGTAGTACATTCCTGTATTTCCTTATCTACCTTTGGCCTTTGGCCTTTGGCCTTTTATCTCATTTCTCTGTGTCCATGGTCCTCTGTAACTTCTGCTAACATTTTCTAGTTCATCAAAGACACCACTTCCAAGGGCATTTATTTACCCATGGAAATTGGTTGGAAATTTGATGTTACCAAGAGCTGCTTTATTCAATATGTGGGATGAATGTAAATTTATCAATTCATGTTGAACAAATATAAAATATAAGTTAGGTTAGTGGTGAATAGCACTGTTCATAGACTAGAGTCTCATGAAGTGCAAGGGGCCCTGAGATGCGGAAAGTGGTACTTGGATAACTTTTATCTAAAATTTGTGCTCTGATTCTTTTATAACGTCTTAATAAATGGTTACACACATCAGTAGACCAGCAATGCCTACCCCATAAGGTGAGCTATTCCATTTCCAGTTGGTTCTAATTCAAGCCTTTCCTGAATTTGAGCTGAAATCTACCTTCCTGATCCTTCTTCTAGTCCAAGTGTGGCTCACTACAACCTTGGATTGAAATTAACTCATCTTCAACCTGACAAATTTTCAAATATTTGAAGACAGATATAACTGGTCTCTGCTTCTTGGTTTAAATGACATCTTACCTTTAATTTGTGACATCAAAGTATAGGTCAGCAATGATAGAATCCAGATGTTGATCAATCAAATGCTATGGTTTTGACTTTTCTCAAAATATGCCACCCTATCCATCACAGTATTTACAGCCATGGTGGTGCTTGAAAGCAGGTGATTATTTATAAAATCCCTGATGTGTGCAGATTCTCAGAGTGTACAGTTTAATTTATAACCAGTAAAATGGTACATACTGGCAGATGAAGGGGCTTTCAAACAATAAGCAAATCTCCAGGAGACACCCTGCATCTCTAAAGAAATGTGAGGTTTTTGAAAGGTAGATTTAAAATATTCTAATGCTTAAAAATAATGTATAAACTGGCAAATACTTAAGTGGATATTATCCAAGTACTTCTAACTTCATTATAATTCTATACTAAGAGAATTAAGAATTTTGTCTTTTTTTAATAAAAAGCATTTCCATGAAAATAGACTTACATTCTATGCCCTAGATGTTTTTATTGATTTACTGTTTCTGAAATTTCTCTGTTTTTGTCTATTTTATTATCTGAGATAAAATTCTTGGGGCTTTGCCTCAATCTCTTATGTTTTAATGTAGAGATTAAAGTAATCCTTTTTGAAAATATGATGATAGTAAGACATGCTGAAATATTTATCAAACATATTTATAATCTCTTTATTATGTGACTTTTATTTAATAACAAACTTGTTTTAGACGGAAAAGGACAGGATTAACTTTTCTTATGAAGATAAATGAGAACAAAAAGTATATATAATTTATTGCTGCTCTGTGAGTTCCTAGAGTTACTAAAGAATAGCAATGAAAATAATTGCAAGAAAATTGGAGAGAGAACTTCCACATGCTGAAATGATGAACTGAAAATGTTTTTACTTAAGGATGAGTAAATTACTTTCACACAGTTGAGCACACATTCCACATTTTTATATTCTGTATAGGCAGAAACTTTTTAAGAAGAGTCAGATCTCTTGGAAGCAAGTTACAAAGTTTATGGGAAAGTTTATAATATTCATTCATTTATTCGTTGTTTGCTCAATATCAGCACCAACAGAATACAATTTTTATGACACTTGCCATATTTTGTCTTGTAGGATACTTTTTAATATATATGTGTAGGTTATAATTTCCTTGAGTCAGGGTATGAGTGTTGTTCACATTTGTATTACATGTGAGGCTGAGAATAGGCACAGCAGGCAGCTACTCAATGTAAATTCTATTTCCATAGATTTTTGATGTTGCTGCTAAAGTATCATTTCCATATTTTTTTGAATCTCTGCCCTAAGTAATTATCAAAGACACACTGTGAGTTACAATACAAATTTATTTAACTTTAAAAGGATTTTAAAGTACATTTGTGGTCTCATTTCCAGAATTCAGCAGAGCCTTACAAAGGAGAATGCTTCAGAATCTGTCAACTCAGGGTTGCATTCTGAGTGATGCACAATCAAAAGGGGTGGGGAGGACTTACGTCAAATACCAAATTCATACAATGTAGATGGTTGGTATGAGAATATATGCAGAACATAATATATTTTCTCCAGCTCCCAAGCTAAGTTGAAAAGAAATTTGAATTCGTATCCCACCTCTGATTTTATACGCCTTGCAAAACCATTTCTCAATTTGGCACCATTAGCAGCTGGATTGGAAGCCACAGTGTCTGCTCAACCAGATCCAATGAATTCAAAATCAGAGTGAATGGATATTAAGACAGCAACACATGAGCAGAGCTGCATTACAGAAATGACACCAACGAATGACAGAGTTGCTATACTAAAAATATTTGGAAGAAATAATATAGATTTATTCATGACAATGATGAGGGTTGGTTTTTATCTAGGTTAGTTGATAAAAAGCAGATTTAAAGAAGTAGTAAAATTTTAATTTAATGAAATCAAATGACAAAAATTATTGAACTGGATCTTTTGCATACTAGATGTAATTTTAGGTTGAAATAATACAATACAGGCTATTCATGAATGGCTACTTTATTGACAGCAGATATAATTCTACAGGGTGCTAAAACATTACACAGTTGTACAACCCAAATGAGTATTGATTGGAGAACAGCCTCAAACATATTTATGCCATTCTACAGCAATATAGAAAACATGAATTTTTTGAGAATGATTTGAAAACCAAGAATTATTTGAAAGGTTGTTGCACCAACCATTGCGACAGTAAATGTTCTATCTGCAATTCTGATGGCTCATTAGTTATTTTCAGATAAATCTTTTGCCAAAGAGAACAAGGTTTATTTTATGTATGCAGAAGACTTAAAGGAGGCAGTCAAATAAAAAATATACATATGGAAGAAATCTGTGTGTAAATAAGTAGATTGCGAAATAACTTAGAAATTTGTTCATGCAGAGTTCTGGAACCCAGAGGTGTGGAGTCCTACAGAAAGGATAAAAGATATGAAATCCCCACGGTCATGGAGTTGACATGTTAGTGCTGGTATTGGTGAGATGACAAAGAAATAATAAGTGAGGGCTGGGTGCGGCGGCTCACACCTGTAATCCCAGCACTTTGGGAGACAAAGGCGGGCGGATCATGAGGTCAGGAGTTCAAGATCAGCCTGGCCAACATGGTGAAACCCCGTCTCCACTAAAAATACAAATGTTAGCTGGGTGTGGTCGTGGGCACCTGTAATCCCAGCTACTCGGGAGGCTGAGGCAGGAGAATCATTTGAACCTGGGAGGCAGAGGTTGCAGTGAGCCAAGATCGTGCCATTGCACTCCAGCCTGGTTGATAAGGTGAGACTTCGTCTCAAAAAAAGAAAAAAAAGAAAGAAATAATAAATGAATTGCACAATATATTTAACTGTGAAAAATTAAATGGAGAAGATTAAATAAGAAAGAGTGGTAGGGGGCAAGGCCAGTGGTAGGAGGAGAATGGTGGTTGCTATGTTAAATGAGATGGCTATGGAGGGCAGGGCCCTGAGGCAGTGCCTCTGTGCTTATTGTATTTGGGAAACAGTGTGGAGGTAAGAATTAGTTGGAATGAAGTGAGGGAAAGTAGTCGGTTATCAAGCCACAGAGAAGAGAGGCCTAGAGTAAATCATGCTTAGTATTATGGGACATTTAATGACTTTGGCTTCTTATGAGTGGGATGAGATGCCATTAGAAAATTTTGAGAATAGGGCTTAAAATTTGGAGCCGACTCTGATTTTCAGTGTTAGTGCTGTAGAGTGAATTGTGTCTCCCCTAATTCATATGTCGAAGCCCAGTCCCTAATATGACTGTATTTGGAGATAAAACTTCTAGGTTATTAAGGTTAAATTAGGTCATAAAGGTAAGGTCTTAATCTAATAGGATTTTTGGCCTATACGAAGAGAAGGGTTTCTTTCTCTCTGTTATGTGAGGACACAATCAGAAGGTGGCTGTCTGCAAGCCAGGAAAAGAGCACTTATGAGGAACCAAAATAGTCAACACCTTGATCTTAAACTTCCCAGCATCCGTAACTGTGAGAAAATAGTTTTTGTTGTTTAAGCAGCTCACTCTATGGTATCTTGTTATGGAAGCCTGAATACACTAAGACAGTGTAGAAAATCTGAACTATATTTTGCCTTTGGAAATATTTTTTTAATGCATAGGTTGTCTGACTGTCCTTTATATGTGTAAGTGAGATGAAAACAATAATTATTTAAAACCAAGTATGACTACAGTTTACTTTGTCTTCTAAAGCAAGTGACTTAGTTTATATGTGTTATATTGCTCTCTTCCATTTTTAAAGGACATGGAGATAATTCTACTCATGGACTACTGAATTGGATCTTGTCAGGCATTTTATTCAGAAGCATTTTATTTTTAAAAAACTGTAGAGAAGTACTCTTTCATTCTTCGTACTATATTTCAGCCATTATGTGTTAAATGGGCTTTAATAGACAACCCTGAAAGTATTTGTTATTTTATTTCTACAAAAACTGCAATCTGATTTCTAGGTCATTGACTTACATATGAACTTTAGGAACACAATCCATAAATGACCTGGAATTTGCCTATACAAATAAGTAGAAACAGGTAGATGATGGTAATAATCAACCTTCAGTAGATCAAATAGTTGTAGTGAATTTTTTAAATAGGGCAATCTTTTTCATGCATTGTAAAATGACTTTGGACATTTAGTTTGCAACCTTTGAATATACAACAAAGTTTTTATTGGTTGTGGTTGAAATTCAGACTGCTTCAGAGATATCATCCTTAAACTGAAATTTATTACCTGTGTAAAGTTTGATTCATAGACGCTAGGAATAGAGAAAGCCCCTCATCCCTATCTTATCTATTTGATCTGTGAAACCATTTCTGGTGCATTTTTCTGAAGTGGCATTTAGATGGAGGAATCCAGGAGGCCTGGACTCCTAGGCAGATAGGTCATCACTTTTGGAATGATCAGTCTAGCAGTAAGGAGAAGTAGTGACACATAGCTACTAAGAGCAGGTGCTGTGGATTTAGTCAGAGTAAGCTCCAATCCCACCTCTGCAACTGTTTGGCTATGGGCTTTGGGCATATTTCTTAACTTCTCCCCAGCCCTGTTTCTTCATCTTCAAAATCAGGATTCTACCTAACAATTTGAGTTGTAATGAGGATAGTATGTATCCATTCCTGCTACTTAATGAGTATGGTGCCTTAATTGTAAAAATGACCATGATTCCGTATTCTTTACTGTACCCACACCCTTTGAAATATGACTTTAAAGTTCCTCCCATCAAGAGATAAAATAGGCTGGGTGTGGTGGCTCACACCTGTAATCCCAACACTTTGGGAGGCCAAGGCGGGCAGATCACAAGGTCAAGAGATCGAGGCCATCCTGGCCAACAGGATGAAAACCCGTCTCTACTAAAAACACAAAAAATTAGCTGGGCGTGGTGGCATGCACCTGTTGTCCCAGCTAATCAGGAGGCTGAGGCAGGAGAATCTCTTGAACCCGGGAGGCGGAGGTTGCAGCGAACAGAGATTGCACCACTACACTCTGGCCTGGTGACAGAGCAAGACTCCATCTCAAAAAAAAAAAAAAAAAAAAAAAAGAGAGATAAAATATATTTACTCACCCCTTGAGTCTGAAATGGCCATGGCCTTCTGATTTCTCTTAGCACATGTGATGTGATGATTTGAAGCCTAGACCTCAAGAGTCTTTATGTGACTCCACTTTTCCTCTTGGACCCTTGTGACTTCCATGAGAATGAGCTTGAGCTAAATTGCAGGGGATGAGCGACCACAGAGAACTATCCGAATTGTCTTATCTCAGTCCATGCTAGAACACTAGACCACTGGTGACTCATCACTGATCACACATGCAGAGTGATGAGCTTGGCCCAGATTAGTAAAACTGCTCAATCTAAAGACTTATGGATTGACTAAGCCAAAACATAACACCATCACCATCACCAAAAAATAAATAATGGTTCTTGTTGTTGTTGTTGCTGCTGCTGTTTGAGGTACAGTTGATATATAATAAATTGCACAGGTTTAAAATATGGAATTTGACAAGTTTTATAAATGTAGTGAGATGAAAGCAATATGTCTATACCAGTTAAACCATCACCAAAATCAAGATAATGAACATATCTATCACTTCCTGAGGTTTCCTTGTGCCCCTTTATAAATTGCTTCCTACCATCCCGTCTGCCCATGCCCCCATCCCAAAACATCATTTACCTGATTTGTCAGCCTGTATTTTCTAGAATTATATATAAATGGAATCATACACTATGTATTCCTCTTTGGCCTCTTTTGTGTAGCATAATTACATTCAAGTTCATTTATATTGCTCTGTGTATTTTGCTCATTAGTATTCCATTTTACAGACATACCACAAATTGTGGCTACTCATCTTTTGATAAGTATTTAGGTTGTTTCCAGTTTTTAGCTATTGCAACTAAAGCTGCTATAAACACTTGTATATAAGTCTTTGTACGAACATATGCTTTCATGTATCTGGTGAACCATACCAACACAGGCTTTTCATTTATAATGGCTGGGTCATATGTAGTTAAGAAACTGCAAAGCAACTTTCCAGTGTGGTTTTATCATTTTACATAACCACCAGCAATGTTTGAGAGCTGCTGTTGTTTCATGTCTTCACCAATGCTTGATATTGTCAGCCTTTTTTATTTTGGCCATTCTAAAAGTTATGTAGTAGTATTTCATTGTCATTCTAATTTGTATTTCACTGATGACTAATGATGTTGAATGTCATTAGATTTCAAACTGTTGTGTGGGACAAAATGAGTATTTGGCAATTAATAGCTTTCCTGTATGCAAACAATCAGTAAACAAAATTTTTAGTGGGCAAAATATATCATTTATGATGATATTCAAAAAGACAACACAGGAATCTTAACATAAAATGTTTGGATAAGCATAAAAAATATAAAATACCCCTAGAAGATATAAAATAAGCCTCAATCACAGAAAGATTCAATATTATAAAGATTTCAATTCTCCTTAAATTTACAAGTTATAAATTTAAAATGTGTTATAAAGTTATACATTGAATAGCCTTCCAATAACAAGTATCAGTTTTTAATTTTAACTAGACTAGCTCCTTATGAATTTACATGGAAAAATAACAACATGAATAATAAGGAAAACTCTGGATCAATGAAGGAAGACTAGCCTATCAGATAGTGTAACAGGTTCTCCAAAGAAACAGAACAAACTATGTGTGTATGTTTGTGTATGGAGAGAGGGGGAGAGAGAGAGAGTTTAAGGAATTGGCTTAGGTGATTGTTGCGGCTTAGTAAATCCAAAATCTTTAGGGTAGGCTGGCAGGCTAGAGACCCAGGAAAGAGTTGCAGTTTTGAGTCCAAAGGCAGTCTTCTGGCAAAATTTCTTCTTGCTCTAAGGAAATGTGGGGTGGGGGTGGGGAGTCAGTCTTTGTTCTATTAAAGGCCCTCAAGTGATGGGAGGAGGCCCACCCACATTTTGGAAAGTAATCTGCTTTACTCAAAGTCTACTCATTTAGAAGTTAAAATATTCAAAAAATACTTTCACAGAAACACCTAGAACAATGTTGGACCACAATTTGGCCCAGCCACATTGACACATAAAATTAACTGTCATGAATAATAAGGCATATTACAAAATTTCAGTAAATAAAACAGTGTAGTACTGGCCTATATATAGGCATACAGGCCAGAGAAAAAAGTACATATGAGAATTGAATAGATGGCAAGGGTTGGAAAATTATGGTCAACAGGTCAAAACCAGCCTTCAGCCTACTTTTGCAAATAAAATGTTATTGAAATACAGACACACTCATTTGTTTATGAATCATCTATGGTTGTTTTTGCATGATGATGGCAGAATTGAACAATTGGGACAGGGATCTAGAAAGTCTAAAATATTTGCTATCTAGCCCTTTATGGAAAATGTTTGCTGATCTGTGATATCCAGCATACCAAGTTAGCAGAGAAAAAACTGGACTATTTGATAAATGGTTCTGAGAGCACTGATTAGCCATCTGGAGAAGGACAAGATGGATCTATACTTCAGACTTGTACCAGAATAAACTCCAAATTGATCAAAGGTGTAAGGTAAAGTATAAAACATAAACAACTAAAATAATATATGAGAAGTCTTGTTACCAATTATTTTAAATCCAGAAGACATAAAAGATTAATACATTCGATAACTTTTTTTAAAAACCCCAAACTTCTGCATGGCAAAAACCACTATAAGTAAAGTCAAAAGAGGAGCAACAAATTGTAAAAAAATTTGCAACTCATATCACAGAACAGAGGTTTAATTTTTCTAATATGAAAAGAGATCCTAAAAATTAAAATAAAGATTAACAACTAACTCAACAGCAAAATGAGCAAAAAGATGTGAACTGTTCATAAAAAGAGAAGCAAAACATATCTTAAATATTGAGATCCTTAACTATACTTCTAATAAAGTGAAACAAAAATTAAAATGTTCTTATATACCAGTTTTCAGCAATGATATGGGCAAAAATTAAAATTTTGATAACATTTTGTTGATGGTGCTGGAGCAAACAGAACTATCTATTGGTGAAAGTGTAATTTGGAGCAATTTTAAAGCAGTTTCTCTGATATCTATGAATTTAGAGCAGTTTTTCTGATATCTACGAATACTACAAATGTATATAATCTATAACCCAGTAATTATTTTTCTAGGAATTTAGTTAGGGCTATATTTATACCCACGTGTGAAATCACTTATCCATAATGTAATAATGACATTTGTTTGTAAGTGCAAAAGAATGGAAATAACCTAAATGGTCATCAATAGGAAACTGGTTAATTAAAATAGTTACGCATATCCATTCAAAGTAATAAAATGCAACTGTAAAAAAAGAGTAAGCAAGCTCTCTATGTGTGAATATGAAATGAACTCAAAGCTAAAGTTTGCATGTATGTTTGTGTGTGAGAGAGAAAAAGTAAGATGAATAGAACAGTGTATGGTGCACTATCACTTATGTTTAGAAAGGGAAAAGCAGGAGTATACATATTGATTGTCTAACAATTAAGAGGGATATATGTACTCAGAAGAATGATTACCTCTGCATGTCTGTAGGTGGGAGATCAGGGGTGAAAGTGAGACCTTTTACTGTATTAAAATGTTTAAGGGCATAAGAAAAAAGAAACAGAAACCATAATGGAAGAAAAAGACAGAACCAAAGATTTTACACTAGAGAAATTTCCCACTGTATGGTATCATTAACTATACCAGCATCTAGCATATTGTAAGCACTCAACAAATGCCTTATTTGTATTGATTAGATGATGTGTCTTTATAAAGCAGAGGTATTACTTAATAAGATGCCATCCCAGTAGCTCTTCTAGATTTTCCTCAGATATTTGTAGGTAATTTTAAAGGATATGAACCACAGCAAGACCTCACCTTTGTGAATCCTTGTCAGGGATACTCTTGAGTCAGAAAGATCCAGGTCCCTGGCTGTGGGCTTTTAATATTTCCCCTGTCCCAGAAATATTTGCCCTATCCCAGAAAATAAGGGACATTACATGAACAGAGATCGTGTGATCTCCAATTCAATGCATGCAAGGTCATGTAACCAAAGTAAATAAATAAATAAATAAATAAATAAATAAATAAAACACCACACACACACACACACATAGAAAGAAGAAAAGGAGGAAGAAAAGAAAGAGAAGAAGGAAGAAAGGAAGGAGGAAGAGAAGGAGGAAAAAACTCACTATTACTGCCCCAGCCAGCACATTTGGCTTCCTATTCCATTTTCCAAAGCCCACTCACTTGTAGCCTGAAACTCCAAGCCACAGAGTTATCATTTAAGTAACTACCATTAAATGGGTATCATTTAAGATACCCTATTTCTTGCATATTTTCCAGAAATATCTCATGCATATACTTGTATGTAAAAGTAGCTCTTCTATATCTTTCTTTCTCACTTAAAAATGTATCTTGAAGGTCTTTCTTTTTTAATGGTTCTATGCATTGCATTGTATGGATTTGGGCTAATTATAGTTGATCATGTGTCCAAAGGGCTGAAATCCAGCCTGTGTACCACTGACATGGGACTGTGAGAACCAGGAGGAGGCAATGTTTCTAACTTTTTCATTATTATTGTATCTGGTATGTTGATCTGTGACCAGTGAGCTTTGACGTTATTTTGTAATTGTTTTGAGGTACCATGAACTGCACTCATATAAGATGATGAACTAAATTGATCAATGTTGTGTGTGTTCTGACTGCCCCAGTGACAGCTGCTCTTCATCTCTCTCCCTCTCCTCAGGCCTGCCTATTCTCTGAGAAACACAGTATTAAAATTAGGACAATTAATAACCCTACAATTGCCTCCATGTGTTCAAGTGAAAGGGTGAGTCGCATGTCTCTCACTTTCAATCAAACCCAGAAATAATTAAGCTTAGTGAGGAAGGCATGTTGAAAGCCTACATAGGTTAAAAGCCAGGCCCATTGTACCAAAAAGTTAGCCAACTGGTGAATGCAAAGGGAAAGTTTTTGAATTAAATTGTAAGTGCTACTCCAGTGAATATAAATGATAGGAAGCAAAACAGTCTTACTGCTGATGTGGAGAATGTTTGAGTGGTCTGGATACAAGATAAAACCAGCACAACATTCCCTTAAGCCAGTGCCTAATCCAGAGCAAGATCCTAAATCTCTTCGATTCTATGAAGTCCCAGAGAGATGAGGAAGCTGCAGAAGAAAAGTTGGAAGCTAGCAGAGGTTGGTTCATGAAGTTTAAGGAAAGAAGCTGTCTCAATAACATAAAAGTACAAGGTGAGGTAGAAAGTGCTGATGGAGAAACTGCACCAAGTTATCCAGAAGATCTAGTTAAGATAACTAATGAAGGTGGCTACACTAAACAACAGATCTTCAATGCAGATGAAAAAGACTTCTGTTGGAAGAAGATGACATCCAGGGCTTTCACTACTAGAGAGGAGAAGTCAATGCTAGGCTTCAAAACTTCAAAGCACAGGCTGACTGTCTTGTTAGGAAGTTATGAAGCTGGCATCTTTAAGTTGAAGCCAATGCTCATTTACCATTCTGAAAATCCTAGGGCCTTTAAGAATTATGCTAAATCTACTCTGCCTGTGCTCTATAAATAGAACAACAAAGCTTGGGTAACTGCATATTTGTTTATAGCATGGTTTACTGAATACTTTGAGCTTATTGTTGAGACCTACTGCTCAGAAAAAAAAGATTCCTTTCAAAATATTACTGCTCACTGACAATGCACTTAGTCACTTAAGAACTCTGATGCAGACGTACAAGGAGATGAATGTTGTTTTCCCACCTGCTAACACAACAACCATTTTGCACCTCATGGGTCTAGGAATAATTTCAACTTTCAAGTCTTATTATTTAAGAAATACATTTCATGGGGCTATAGCTGCTATAGATAGTGATTTCTCTGATGGATCTGGCCAAAGTAAATTGAAAATCTTCTGGAAAGGATTTACCATTCTAGATACCAAAAAGAATATTCATGATTCATGGGAGGAGGTCAAAATATTAACATTAACGGGAGTGATATGGTTTGCCTCTGTGTCCCCACCCAAGTTTCATCTTGAATTGTAATCCCCATGTGTTGAGGTAGGGATCTGGTGGGAGGTGATTGGATCATGGGGACAGTTTTCCCCATGCTGGTTTTGTGATAGTGAGTTCTCATGAGATCTGATGGTTTAAAAGTGGCACTTCCAGGCTGGGTGTGGTGGCTTACCCCTGTAATCCCAGCACTTTGGGAGGCTGAGGCAGTTGGATCACTTGAGGTCAGGAGTTCGAGACCAGCCTGGCCAACATGGTGAAACCCGGTCTCTACTAAAAATACAAAAATTAATCAGGTATGGTATGTGTGCCTGTAATCCCAGCTACTCAGGAGGCTGAGGCAGGAAGATCACTTGAACCCAGGAGGCGGAGGTTGCAGTGAGCCCAGACTGCACCACTGCTCTCCAGCTTGGGCAATAGAGGGAGACTCTATCTCAAAAAAAAAAAAAAAATGTTGCACTTCCCACTTTGCTGTCTCTCCTGCTTTGCTGTGGTAAGATGTGCTTGCTTCCCCTTTGCCTTCTGCCATAATTATAAGTTTCCTGAGGCCTCCCCAGCCATGTGGAACTGAGTCAGTTAAACTTCTTTCCTTGTAAATTACCCAGTCTCGGGTAGTTCTTTGTAGCAGTGTGAAAATGGATTAATGCAAGGAGTTTGGAAGAAATTGATTCCATCGTGGATAACTTTGAAGGGTCCAAGATGTCTGTGGAGGAAATAACTGTAGTGGAAATGTGGTAGAAATAGCAAGAGAAGTAGAATCAGAAGTGGAGCTCGAAGATGTGATTGAATTGCTACAATTTCATGATAAAAGTTGAATAAATGAGGAGTTGCTTCCTATGGAAGAGCAAAGAAAGTGGTTTCTTGATATGGAAACTACTCCCGGGGAAGATGCTGTGAACATTGTTGAAATGACAACAGAGAACGTAGAATATGACATGAATTTAGTTGATGAAGTGGTGGCAGGGTTTGAGAGGGTTAAGTCTAGTTTTTGAAGACATGTTACTGTGTGTAGAATGCCATCAAACATGCTACAGAGACATCTTTTGTGAAAAGAAGAGTCAGTCAATGCAGCAACCTTCATGTCTTATTTTTAAAAAAGGCCACAGCCACCCCAACTTTCAGCAACCGCCATCCTGATCAGTCCACAGTCATCAACACAGAGGCAAAACTCTCCACCAGCAGAAAGTGTGGAACTCTCTGAAGGCTTAGAAGACTGTTAGCACTTTTTAGCAATAAAATATTTTTTAAGTAAGAGATGTACATGGTTTTTTAGACATAATGTTATTGCACACTTTATAGATGACAGTATAATATAAGCATAACTTTTATGTGCACTGGGAAGCCAAAAAGTTTGTGTGACTCTTGTTACTGCGATATTCACTTTATTGCAGCAGTGTGGAGCTGATCCTGCAATATCTCTAAGGTATGCCTGTATATTTAATGGGTCTCTCATTGGTAGGTATATTTTTCCTAGCCTTTTTCTCCACTAATACAACCAACATCGTAGTGAACAGTCTTGTGATATTTTTAATGGTGGGTGACACCGATTAACTTGTGGAGTCTTTGCCCCAACATGGCCTGAGTTACTTCCTGGTTTTAGCAGGCTACAGTTTGGCCACTTATCACTCTTATTTCTCATTTTTAGACTTATTCTAGCCTCTTAATTACTTCGACAGGTCTAAGATTAATTCCTTAAGTTTCAGAGCCACCTTTAGCTTTGGCAGTGGCACAGAAAACTGTGCCTGCACCAACACATGCCCCTCCATATGTCTCCAGCAGAAAAATTAATAAAAGGAGAGAGGAGTGGGAAAAGCATGACATGTGCAACATGGGTGCCTTGGAAGGGAAGCTGCATTTATTGGCAAGGGTGATAAAGACAAGCAAAAAAGAAATGATACCATCTGTATCTCCTTTCTGAAGTGAAGCTGGAAAGAAGTTACAAACTCCACTGGACAGAACAGTCAAGGAAATGGAATTGTCTGTTTCCCTTAAAAGAAGAAAGCATCATACGTTTGGGAAATTGCAGTTAAATTAAATGTCAAAATACTTTCCAATGAATTACCTGGCTACTCTGCTTTAGCCGGTATTGTCCACATCTTCATCCTTTCCTCATGACTGCTATTCAGCCACACGTTGGAGGAGAGTGCTGGGCTCCCACAGGCTGATCTTTCTTGTCGGCCTCTATTTGCATTGTCTGTGACACATGTAAGTTTTCTTTTTAAAAAAATTGTGGTTAAAAAATATATAAAAAAGTATAATATATATTTTATATCTATAAAACATTTTTATATTTTTAATAATATATTTTTATAATATATTTTTATATATTATATAAATTTATTATAAATTATCATTTATCATATATAAACATAAATATATAAAAATATGTTTTATACATATAATAAATATATATGTTTATATAAAATATAAAATATATGTTTTATATAAAATTAATAAAATAAAATATATTTTATATGTAAAATAAAATAAATATTTTTAAATATATAGAACATATTATATTAATTAATTTTTTTGAGACAAAGTTTCACTCTGTCACCCAAGCTGGAGTGCAGTGGCACGATCTCGGCTCACTGCAACCTCTGCCTCCCGGGTTCAAGTGTTTCTCCTGCCGCAGCCTCTTGAATAGCTGGGACCTCAGGCACCCACCACCACGCCTGGCTAATTTTTGTATTTTTAGTAGAGATGGGGTTTCACTACTTTGGCCAGACTGGTCTTGAACTCCTGACCTCGTGATCTGCCTGCCTCGGCCTCCCAAAGTGCTGGGATTACAGGCTTGAGCCACTGAACCTGGCCTATATTTTTTATATATATTAAAAATATATATTTTACCACTATATATATATATATAATATAACAAAATTTACCATTTTAACAATTTTAAATTGATCTATAGTAATTATACATATTTATGAGGTACATGTGATATTTTGATGCCTGCATACCACATGTAATGATCAAATCAGGGTAATTAGGATGTCCGTTATCTCAAACATTTATCATTTCTTTGTGTGGAGAACTTTCCAAATCTTCTAACTTTTTCAAAATATACACTAAATTATTATTAACTTGTTGTGGGAAGTCAGGGACCCCGAACGGAGGGACCGGCTGGAGCCGCGGCAGAGGAACGTAAATTGTGAAGGTTTCGTGGAATTTATCAGTTCCCAAATACGTTGAAATATTGGGGGCGGGTTCCCCCGATATTAACTATAGTCACCTTACTGTGCTGTTGAACACCAAAATCTATTCCTTCTACCTAACTGTATTTTTGTATCCATTAACCAACCTCTCTTCACCCCCTGCCAATCCTTTCCAGCCTCTGGTAACTATCAGTCTACTCTTTATCTCCATGAGGTCAACATTTTTAGCTCCCACATATGAGTGAGAACATGCAATATTTGCATTTTTGTGCCTGACCTATTTCACTTAACATAATGTCCTCCAGTTTCACTCATGCTGTTGAAAATGGCAGGATTTCATTATTTATGATTAGATATTATTCTATGGTGTATATATGCCACATTTTTAATCCATGAACCCAGTGGTGGTGAACACTTGGATTGATTCCATATCTTGGCTATTGTGAATGATGCTGCAATAAACATAGGTATGCATCTCTGACATACTGATTTCCTTTCTTTTGGCTATATACCCAGCATCAGGATTGCTGGATCATATGTTAATTATAGTTTTGTGAGGAAACTACATACTGTTTCTGTACTAGTTTACATTCGCATCTGCTGGGTGCTAGTGTTCCCCTTTCTCTGCATCCTCACCAGTGTCTGTTATTTTTTGTCTTTTTGATAACAGACATTTTAGAAAATTGTGGGTACATAGTAGGTGTATGTATTTATAAGGTACATGAGATATGTTGATACAGGTATACAATACAACAATCACATCAGGGTGAATGTAGTATCCATTACCTCAAGCATTTATCCTTTCTTTGTGTTACAAACAATCCAATTATACTCTTTTAGTTAATTTAAAATGTGTAATAAATTATTGTTGACTTTAGCCACTCTGTTGTGGTATCAAATACTAGATCTTCTTCATTCTATCTAACTATATATATATATATATTTTTTTTTTTTTTTTTTTTTTTTTTTTTTTTGAGACGGAGTCTCGCTCTGTCGCCCAGGCCGGACTGCGGACTGCAGTGGCGCAATCTCGGCTCACTGCAAGCTCCGCTTCCCGGGTTCACGCCATTCTCCTGCCTCAGCCTCCCAAGTAGCTGGGACTACAGGCGCCCGCCACAGCGCCCGGCTAATTTTTTGTATTTTTAGTAGAGACGGGGTTTCACCTTGTTAGCCAGGATGGTCTCGATCTCCTGACCTCATGATCCACCCGCCTCGGCCTCCCAAAGTGCTGGGATTACAGGCGTGAGCCACTAACTATATTTTTGTACACATTTCCTCTCACTTCCACCTCACCCCCTACTTCCTCCTCCCCCCCACTACTCTTCCCCACCTCTATCTCCATGATTTCAATTGTTACAATTTTTAGCTCCTGCAAATACATAAGAACATATGAAGATCGTCTTTCTGTGCCTGGCTTATTTCACTTAACATAATGACCTCCAGTTCCATCCATGTTGCTGCAAATGACAGGATCTCATTCTCTTTTATGGCTAAATAGTATTCCATTGTGTATATGTACCACATTTTCTTTACCCATCCCTCTGATGATGGACACTTAAGTGGCTTCCAAATCTTTGCTATTGTAAACAGTGCTGCAACAAACTTAGTAGTGCAGATACCTCTTTGATATATTGATTTCCTTTCTTTGGGGTATATACCTAGCAGTGGGATTACTGGATCATATACTAGCTCTCTTTTTAGTATTTTTGAGGAACTTCCAAATTGCTCTCCATAGTGGTTGTACTAATTTACATTCCCACCAACAGTGTATGAGGGTTCCCTTTTCTCCACATCCTCACCAGCATTTGTTATTGCCTGTCTTTGGATATAAGCCATTTTAACTGGGGTGATGATAATATGATATTATCTCATTGTAGTTTTGATTGGCATCTCTCTGATAATCAATGACGTTGAGCACCTTTTCACAGACCTGTTTGCCATTTGTATGTCTTCTTTTGAGAAATGTCTATTGAAATCTTTTGCCTGTTTTTCATTCGGATTATTAGATTTTTTCCTATTGAGTTGTTTGAACTCCTTATATATTCTGGTTATAATCCCTTGTCAGATGGATAGTTTGCAAATATCCATTCTGTGGACAGTCTCTTTACTTTGTTGCTTATTTATTTTGCTGCACAGAAACTTTGTAACTTGGTGTGATCCCATTTGTCCATTTTTCCTTGGTTGCCTGTGCTTTAAGGATTAAAACGTTAGGGAAACACCAATGTCCTGGAGAGTTTCCCCAAAGTTTCCTTGTAGTAGTTTCTTAGGTTGAGATCTTAGACTTAGGTCTTTAATCCATTTTGAGTTGATTTTTGTAAATGGCAAGAGACAGGGGTCTAGTTTCATTCTTCTGCATATGGATATCCATGGATATCTGGTTTTCCCAGCACCATTTATAGAAAAGACTTTCTTTTCCCCAGTGTATGTTCTTGGCACTTTTTTAAAAAATGAGTTCGTTGTAGATGTATGGATGTATTTCTGAGTTCCTTATTATGTGCTACTGTTCAATGTGTCTGTTTTTATGACTGTTCCATACTGTTATAGTTTCTATATTTCTGTAGTATAATTTGAAGTCAGGTAATGTGATTCCTTCAGTGTTTTTTTCCCCCCTCAGGATAACTTTAGCTATTCTGGGTCTTTTATGGCTCCATATAAATTTTAGGATTATTTTTTCTATTTCTGTGAAGAATATTATTGGTATTTTGATAGGGATTGCATTGAATCTGTAGATTACTTTGAGTACATGGACATTTTAAGAATATTTATTCTTCCTATCCATGAACATGGACTATCTTTCCATTTTTTTGGTGTCCTCTTCAATTTTGCATCAGTGTTTTAAAGTTTTTATTGTAAAGATATTTCAATTTTTTGGTTAATTCCGAAGTATTTAGTTGTATTTGTAGCTATTGTAAATGGGATTGATTTCTTTATTTCTTTTCCAGATTGTTCATTTTTGGCCTATAGAAATGCTAATGATTTTTGTATGTTGATTTTGTATCTTGCAACTTTACTGAATGTATTTATCAGTACTAATAGTTTTTTGGTGGAGTCTTTAGGTTTTTCCAAATATAAGATCATGTGCAAACAAGCATAATTTGACTTCTTTCCAATTTGGATGCCTTTTATTTCTTTCTTTTATCTGATCACTCCAGCCAGGACTTCCACTGCTATGTTGAATAATAGTGGTGAAAGTGGGCATTCTTGTCTTATTTCAGATCTTAGATAAAAGACTTTCAGTTTTTCTGCATTCATTATGATACTAGGTATGGGTCTGTACTATATGGCTTTTATTGTGTTGAAGTATGTTCCTTCTATACCCAGTTTTTTGAGGGTTTCTATCATGAAGGGATGTTGAATTTTATCAAATGCTTTTTCAGAATCAATTGAAGTGATCATATAGTTTTTGTCCTTCATTCTGTTGATATGATGTAGGACATTGATTGATTTGCATATGCTAAACCATCTTGCATTTATCCCTGGGATAAATCCCATTTGATCATGATGAATAATCTTTTTAATGTGTTGTTAAATTCAGTTTGCTAGTATTTTATTGAGGATTTTTACATCAATGTTCATCAGGAATATTGGCTTGTAGTTTTCTTCTCTTGTCCTTGTCTGGTTTTGATATCAGGGTAATATTGGCCTCATAGAATGAGTTTAGAAGTATCCCCTCCTCCATTTTTCAGAATAGTTTGAGTAGGATTGGTATTAGTTCTTCTTTAAATATTTGGTAAAGTTCAGGGCCTGGGCTTTTTTTTTTTTACTTCCCTGGAAGACTTTTTATTATGGCTTCGATTACATTACTTATTATTGGTTTGTTCAGGTTTTGGATTGCTTCATGGTTCATTCTTGGTAAGTTTATGTTTCTAGGAATTTATCCATTTCTTCTAGGTTTTCCAATTTATTGGCATATAGTTGGTCATAGTAGCCTCTAATGATCCTTTGAATTTCTGCAGTATCAGTTGTAATGTCCCCCTTTTTGTTATCTCAGATTTATTTATTTGGGTCTTCTCTCTTTTTTTCTTAGTCTGGCTAGCAGTTTTTCAATTTTTTTTTTTTAAGAAAAAACAACGTTTCATTTCGTTGATCTTTTGTATTTTTTTTCAATTTCATTTACTTCTGCTCTGATCTTTATTATTTGTTTTCTTTTGCTGATTGGGGTTTGGTTTGCTCTTGCTTTTCTAGTTCTTTAAGATGCATCATTAGGTTGTTTATTTGAAGTTTTTCTGCTTTTTTGATGTAGGTGCTTATTACTATGAACTTTCCTCTTAGTACTGATTTGTGACTGTATCCCACAGGTTTTAATATGTTGTATTTCCAATTTCATTTGTTTCAAGAAATTTTAAATTTTTCTTAATTTCTACATTGACCTACTGGTCACTCTGGAGCACGTTGTTTAATTCCCCTGAGTTTGTATAGTTTCCAAAACTCCTCCTATTATTGATTTCTAGTCTTATTCCATCGTGATCAGAGAGGATACTTGATATTATTTCAGTTTTAAAAAATGTTTAAAGAACTTGTTTTGTGGCTTAATATATGGTCTATCATTGAGAATGATCCATGTGCTGAGGAGATACGTGTGTAGAAAATAGCCATTTTAATTGGGGTAAGATAATATCTCATTGCGGTTTTGATTTGCATTTCCATGATGATTAGTAATGTTGAGCATTTTTTATATGCCTCTTGTCTATTTGTATGTCTTCTTTTGAGAAATGTCTATTCAGATCCTTTGCCCATTTTTAAATTTGATTATTAGTTTTTATTTGCTATTGAGTTGTTTGAGTTTCTTATATATTCTGGTTATTAATTTCTTTTTCCTTCTTTTTTTTTTTTTTTTTTTTTTTTTGAGACTGAGTCTCGCTCTGTCATCCGGGCTGGAGTGCAGTAGCACTATCTCGGCTCACTGCAGCTTCTGCCTCCTGGGTTTAAGCCATTCTTCTGCCTCAGCCTCCTGAGTAGCTGGGATTACAGGTACACGCCACTATGCCCAGCTAATTTTTTGTATTTTTAGTAGAGATGGGTTTTCACCATGTTGACCAGGCTGGTCTTGAACTCCTGACTTAGTGATCCACCTGCCTCGGCCTCCCAAAGTGCTGGGATTACAGGTGTAAGCCATCACGCCTGGCCCTGGTTATTAATTTCTTATTGAAGGATAGTTTGCAAATATTTTCTCCCATTCTCTAGGTTGTCTCTTCACTCTGTTGACTGTTTGGTTTGCTGTGCAGAACCATTTCAAGTGTACAGTTCAGTGATTTTAACTACATTCACATCATTATACAAATCTCACCACCATTCATCTCCAGAACTTTGTTTATCTTACAAAACTGGGACTGTTCCATTAAAAATCCTGCATTCCCATCTCTCTTCAGCTCCTGGCAACCACCAGTGTATTTTCTGTCTCTATGAATTTGACTACTAATCATATATTTGTCTTTTGTGATGCCCTTATTTCACTTAACGTTTTCAGGGTTTCATTCACATTGTAGCATGTACTAAAATTTTCTTCCTTTTTAAGGATGAATAATATTCTATTGTACGTATATGCCAGAATTTGTTTGTTCTTTTATTTGTGAACAGGCATTTGAGTTGTTTCTGTCTTTTGGTTATTGCGATAATGCTGCTATGAACACTGCTGTACAAGTGTCTGTTTGAGTTCCTACTTTCAGTTATTTTGGGTATATTCAGAGGTAGAATTCCTGAATTCCTATAGTAATGCAATGCTTACTTTTTTGAGGAACTGTCATACTGTTTTCCATAGTGGCTATACCATTTTGTATTCCCCCCAGCAATGCTTAAGAGTTTAAGTTTCTCCATATCCTCTGGTGGCACATGTCACTTTTGACAACCACTGACAAATGGCTCTTTCCCATGTGTTTGCTTTAATTTATGATACTTAGAGGTCTATCCAACAGTTCTAGGAATTGTTTAGAGTTGCCCATCAAAGTCCTCTATTCAGAAATAGATAATGAAGGCCAGGTGTGGTGGCTCATGCCTATAATCCTAGCACTTTGGGAGGCTGAGGTAAGAGGATTGCTTGAGGCTAGGAGTTCAAGACCAGCCTGGGTAACATAGTGAAACCTTGTCTCTACAAAAAAAAAAAAAAAAAAAAAAAATACAAAAAAGAAAGAAAAGATAATGTATGTATAATACACATTCAATAACTGATCCATAAATATTCAAAAATGCAATTCCCCCCACTTTAAATTTCTTCCTTCTTCCTTCTCTCTCAATTTTTTTTGACATTACTACCATCTCTTTTGCTTAGATTGAGCATTTATACACCATATGATGGTGAGTATAAAATAGCTAAATTGAAACCTCTGGGACCCTGAGAGCAATGGCATGGAATTCTTGTTTTATGCTTAATGAGGGATGCTTTCTAATTTAGATTCTACTTAACAGTGACTCTTTTTGTCAAGAAATAAGGAAGGAAACATCCCATCATCACAAGGCATAAAACGAAGGTGCAAAATCCGAAAGACAGACTGGACTGGGACATATAGCTAGGACAGAGAGAGAGAGCGAGAGAGAGAGAAGATTGCTGTGGTTCATAAATAGGGGATGATAATTCCAACTAGCATTTGGCAGGCTACACTGGAACAAAGCCAGACTTACTTAAATACACCTATTGACACATATTCTGTACTAAGAGATCAAGATATTTCTACCATTGTAATAAACTCCCTAACAATGGAAATAAGAGTCGGTCAAGAGCAGCCTGTGACATGGAGGAGCGAAATAGTAACAACAATAATAAACACAACCATTTATTAAGCTCGAATTATGTGCAAAGAGCTTAATAACTGTTATTATTTTGTACTGTATTATTAGACACCATCTAATGATGTTGATAATGTAAGAGCTTTTAATATAATCATCTTATTTAAACATGACTACAGCCCTATTGTGTCAACTAGGTTCACCTAAGTTATGCTGCAATAATAAATAACCCTCAAATTCTGGTGGTTTAGCACACGAAATGCCCATTTCTTGCTTACATAAAATTTGTTGGAGGTCCCAGATAACTCTGTAGGGAAGTGGTGTTCTGTTTCAGCTTGGAATTCCAGCCTGCTTCAGTCATATCACATTTCCATATCAATGCAACCTGCCATGATCACCAAGGCTGGGGAAGAGAGCGGTGGAGTATCAAACGTCTGTGCTTAAATGCTCCCACCTGGAAGTGACATACATCAAAGCTGCTCACATCTCATTAGCTAGAACAAGTCACATGGCCATGACTAACAACAGGAAAGTAGGGAAGTGCAGTTCTCTGAAGTGCCCAGAAGGAAAGGGAACCAGATCTTGGAGAATATCTTTATGTCTGTCAGTGATGTAAGTACCATAATTATGTTCCCTTACAGATGGTTAAGCCAACACTCAGATTAAAAACACACATTCAAGGCCACTCTGCTACAGGGATGCATCATGACTTTTGGGTTCCAGGCACTTTGCCTTCAGTTGCCCTCTTCCTCCATTAAAAAAAAATATTCAAGGCTGGGCATTCCTGCCTTAAATATTAAGGTGGCTCATTCCTGTAATCCCAACACTTTGGGAGGCTGAGGTGGGCAGATCACTTGAGCCCCAGGAGTTTGAGACCAGCCTAGGCAACATGGCAAAACCCTATCTCTACAAAACAACAACAACAACAACAAAAAAAAAAACAAGCAAAAATTAGCATTAGCATGGCATGGTGGTGGCGCACTTGTAGTCCCAGCTACTCAGGAAGCTGAGATGGGAGGATCACCTGAGCCCAGGGAGGTTCAGGGTGCAGTGAGCCATGATTGTGCCACTGCACTCCAGCCTGATGGCAGAGTGAGACTCTCTCTCTCTCTCTCTAAATATATATATATATATATATATATATATATATATATATATATATATGTATACACATATATATTTATGTAGTTAGATTATGCTGAATTATGTTGAAGAGACAACCTAGAGAATGGGAGAAAATATTTTCAAACTATCCTTCAATAAGGGATTAATAACCAGAATATATAAGGAACTCAAACAACTCAATAGCAAAAAAAACTAATAATCAGATTTAAAAATGGGCAAATATATATGTATTTATATATACATATAATATATATATTATGAATGCATTCGTATAAAGATGAAAATAATCCAGGCTAGATTCATTTTTATTATATTCATTTTTCTTCTGATTAAAAAAATAAAATGAAAACATTGTTGTGGGCAGTAGGCCTATTGTGCCTAGAGGAGAAGTCAGCTCCATTCAAATAGTTGGGATTAGAATAAAGTCTGGTTCCTAAACCCATGCTTTTCACCACAGCACTAAAATACCTATCCAAACCAAAGAACCACACTGAATCAAAATGCAGTTCTTTTAATCACAGCTGGTTGAGTATTTTCAACATTTTCTCAAAATGAGAATAGATATTAATATGAGAATCCACTTTACCACTGTTTGAAAATTATAGGGTATTTGGGAGCGGGGTGGAAAGGTGAGATTATGCTGAATTATGTTTAAGAGTAAACCACGTGTAGTTCTCTTTCCAGAAGAGGACTATTTCATCCATGACACATCCTTAAGTCCTTGCTAATGAGAAGACAGAATGTGGCCTTGGCCAGCTCAGTTCAACATTCACATGTATACATTTTCATGAACAATAGTTGAAATGTTCTATAGAAGAAAATAAATAGTTGATATTCAAAGGAAACACTAGCTGTAACCTTCCTCTTCTTGGAGTTGCATAGCTCATCTCTAGGGTTACAAATGGCAATTTGTTTAACAAACCACCTTAATGGGTCTGTCTTGCTGTGGAAGGCTGAGACCCTAGGGTCTAGACCAGCACTGTCTCAAAGACACAGGATGCAAGCCACACATGTAACTTTAAATTTGCTAACAGTTACATTTAGAAAGTCAAAAGCAGGTGAGGTCAGTTTTAATAATACTTTTAATTTAATGCAATATATTATCATCTTATTTAACCTATTATTCAATATACTTATTTAATAAAATATATTATCATTTAGGATATAATCAATATTAACATTATTAATGAGATATTTTATTACCTATTTGAAGACTATTCAAAATATGGTGTGTGTTTTACTCTTCCACACCTCTCAATTTGGATTAGCCACCTTTCTAGCAGTGTTCAGTAGTCATATGTGGCAAATGGTTAATGTACTGGATATTGCAGGCCTAGAATAAGAAGAGGTCAGAAAAAGAAAGAGGGGAATTGTTCTGCATTCAAAAGTGTGTAAGAGGCTGGTTGTGATGGCTCACACCTGTAATCCTAGCACTTTGGGAGGCAGAGGTAAGGGGATTGCTTGACACCAGGAGTTTGAGACCACCTTGAAAAACATAGTGAGACCCCTTTGTCTACAAGAAATAAAAATAAAAATAAATTAGCAGGTGTGATGGTGTGTGCCTGTATCTACCAGCTACTTGGTGCCTGTATTCTACCAGCTACTTGGGAGGCAGAGGTGAAAGGATCACTTGAGCCCAGGAATGGAGGCTGCAGTGAGCCATGACTGTGTGACTGTACTCCAGCCTGAGTGACAGAGCAAGATCCTATCTCTTAAAATATAAAAATAAATGAATAATAGAAAAAGAAGATATATAGGAACTCTGAGTTTCCTGGAAGGCAGTGGTAGTGGTGGTGGGCACAGCCAGAGAGAACAGCTGAGGGGTCTAGAAAGAAGTAGAGTTAAGGGTGTGGACGGAGAGGAACCAATGTGAAGACAGGAGATGGCCAGTGAAATAGTGCAGAAGTGGGAAAGGCTTGCAGTGTGTTTAAGCTTGTGTTTTAATTTGTTGGCAGTGGTGCACTGCAATATATCCCTGTCTAA
This sequence comes from Homo sapiens, assembly GCF_000001405.40. Lineage (NCBI taxonomy): Eukaryota > Metazoa > Chordata > Mammalia > Primates > Hominidae > Homo > Homo sapiens. The sequence goes on from NC_000003.12 coordinate 59,182,871, forward strand.
AGCTCTCCTCCATTGCTACTTTTGAACAATAGTAAAAGTGCTATTTATACATACCCACTGAAAGTTGTCTTTGGGGGAAATCCAATAAAACTGGCTATGTTTCATCTTTTGCCATAATATGGAGTGAAGAAAGCAGCCCTAAGATGGGAAGTGCAACTCATTCCAAAAGGACCAGGGTTCTAAAAACCAGGGTGAGATGGGCCATTGGGCTGGTAATACCTGTGATGGGGGCTTGAACCACTTAAGTTTAAGTTCAAAGAACAGCCCCTCCCCTCCATTTCTATCCTCAAGGCTAAAAGATTTGGGAACATCCAGCAATCAGATTACATTTAGAGAGGGGACCCTTACAGTAAGTAGAAGAAGTAGCATAGTTTTATTTTTGTTTGTTTTTTTGGAGACAGGATTTCCCTCTGTCACCCAGGCTAGAATGCAGTGGCATGATATCAGCTCACTGTTTCTGGGTTCAAGTGATTCTCCACCTCAGCCTCCCGAGTAGCTGGGATTACAGGCACACACAACCACGCCTGGCTAATTTTTGTATTTTTTTTTTGTAGAGATGGGCTTTCTCCACATTGGCCAGGCTGGTCTCGAACTCCTGACCTCAAGTGATCTGCCCGCCTTGGCCTCCCAAAGTTCTGGGATTACAGGCGTGAGCTACCACGCCTCGAGCCAGAGGTGGCACAGTTTCAATACAATTACATGTTTGCTATTTTTCTACTGTATTATCAGATATTTGCCAGGTACTGGGGTTAAGAGGAGGAATAAAAATGACCTGACCCACAGAGATATTATATCCTATGATAAAGATATACCAACTGAAAAACAACATGGTCCCTAAAGTGTAATTTTAATGACTTTTTTTCTTAGCTAAACTGAAAATACAAACCTCTATTTGTGTTCTTTTAAGACTACTTAAATGCATTGTAATATAACTTAAAAGCTAATTCTGCAACTCTTCACTAAGTGTATGGCTTCATTTCACAATGAGATGCTTGAGTAGATTTGATTCTTGTGAGTATTCTTTGAATTAAGATGGATTGCAGTATCTGTTCTCATCCTAGTCATTTATTTGTCTTCCAAACGTTTGACTTTTTTTTTTTTTTGAGACGGAGTCTCGTTCTGTCACCCAGGCTGGAGTGCAGTGGCATGATCTCAGCTCACTGCAACCTCTGCCTCCTGGGTTCCAGCGATTCTCCTGCCTCAGCCTCCCCAGTAGCTGGGATTACAGGCCAGGCCACCACGCCCAGCTAAATGTTTTGTATTTTTAGTAGAGACAGGGTTTTGCTATGTTGGCCAGGCTGGTCTCCAACTCCTGACCTCAAGTGATCTACCCACCTCGGCCTCCCAAAGTGCTGGGATTACAGTCATGAGCCATCGTGCCCAGCCACTTTTGACTTTTTCATTTGGAGATGTTTCTTTTTATTTTTCTTCGAAGACCTTAATTTTGACATTTGTATTTTCTTCCTCAAAATACACAGAGATGTTTTAGTGGAATCAAAATCTGGATTAAGAACAAATAAATGTGATTTATTAGGAAACGAAAGGAGTCAGGGCTTTCAAGTTGGATTAACGGATTCACCCTTTGCTTTCGTGTGGTGCCTGACTAGTAGTACTTAGACTGTCCTCAACAAAGACACCCAAAGTGAAAAAAAGGAAGGAAGAAGGAAGCAAGCAAGGAGGCATGCAGAAAAGAAGAATCCATGGTGATGATAGAAAAACTTAAAAAGATAAATCCATCTCTCAACAAAATCAAGCTAAAAGGCCAATTTATTTTACTAGATAGCATCTCTCTTTGGTAAGAAATTTCCAGAGAAAGAATGTCAATAAATAGTGTTAGCTTTGAGGTTTACATTAAATTTTTGTTCATGTATGAGTAAATTTTGTGCAGCTTCATCTCTGTGACTCTGGTATGGTGAAATAAAGTACTCAGAGATGAACTTCTTTCTCTGAAAATTTTAGAGTCTTGAAAATTATTTGTATTAGAAGAGAGAGAGAATAGAGAGCTTGAGCCGGGGTGATTGGCCGACAAACAGAATGGGAGATGGCTTTGGTCTATGCATTTGCAGTGGGCTTGGGGGATACTTCCTCAGAGGTGGAATGGGTGGCCCTATTGTTCTTTTTGCTAAAGTTCTTTCTTTCAGCTGAGAGATCACAATGAAAGGCAGCTTTATTTTTTCTGACTGTTCAGATGGTCCCTTCAGTTAATTTTAGCTCTATTTTAAAAAACCTATTTTCATGTGAGTTTTTTTATCCCTTTCCTGTACTCAGACGGTCATCTGCAAAGACCCAGAGAGAGCTGGCAAAAGAGGGTACACATGCTTCAGGCCTGATCACTTCCCTAAGGTCAAATATATTATCCTTTTGGGTACGACTTGTGAACTTCTGTGTTTGAACTTCTGTGTAAGAAGAAAAAATGAAGGAAAATCTGTTCGCCTTTTGTCTTAATAAAGTATCAAATCAGAAGGAAAGCAAGCTCCAGAGAGAAACAGAAAGATCACAGTGCTTTGTTTCAACCAACAATACCCATGCTCTAAAAAAGACAAAAAAAAATTTCTAGAGGCGTATTGTGCCCACCAGGCATTTTGTTGTAATTAGGAAAAAGTCACACAAGGCCACGGGAGTGAATAAAATGACAGGTAGATTGGCTTCCCTTTTTGATGAATTTTATTTTTTTGAAATGAGTTTGGGGTGGGGGTTGTATATGTGATCATACTAAACAATGACCTGACAATGAATGATCTATTAATGCGATTATCAGAGTTGTGAGATGATCAAACTTGCCTCAAAAGGTTAAAAAGAAACCTCATAGAAAAGAACTGATGAGAGCTTATTTCTTAGAAGATCAACTCTTACAGCATAATATGTTTGTTCAGAACAGCCAAAAGGACTTTCCCAGCTCCATTTGCAGCACAAAGGGCTGGACCTGCTTGGGGCAGACAATGTCATGTTTAACAAATAAGGGAGGAAAGGCAGTGCCTCCCAACTTGGATTTTGCTTTGATTTTTTTTTTTTTCCCCATGCATGAGAACAATTTTCAAGTAAGAAGGATAAACTAAAGAATCAGTGAAAAAGAATTAAAGTCCAAGAGACATTTGGAGAAGAGCATTTTGGCCTTTACAAGAGCCCAGATCAAAAGTCATAGACAGCTCCTATTTCATAGCCCTGATCAAAGAACTGTAGTTGGTAATCTGAGAAATCATGGAGCGTGAGAGTTTTCAGAACCCTGGAGAGGGGCGAGCATTCCAATTTTCAAAAAGAAAGGATAAAAGAAACAGCTGGCTAATAAGCTTGACCTTGAACTGAAGTAATTCAAAGTGACTATTTGTGAGTAACTGGAAAAAAAGTGGTGATGATTCATTCTTAACATAGGTTTCTCAAGTCATGCCAAATTAGTATTGTTTTTTATCTCTTGATGATTATTTGTTAGACCAGTGGAGTAAGGAAATGTCATAGATAGTGTAGAATCTCATCATTCAGAGCTCCATGTGGACAGTCACCTCTTTAGAAGAGCAATTCATGAGCACCTGGTCTTAAGCAGTTACCCAGATGTAGCCATAAAAAGTTACTTTATGGTTTTTGTTAAAAACATTTGTTAATATCTAAATATCATATTGCAATGACTTTGTTGACAGTCTGGCCTCTTTCCCACTAGAATGCAAACTCCATGGAATTGAAATCCCAAGTGTTTTGGCCTTCTTTATATTTCTACCATCTTAAACAGTGTACTACCACACAACAAGCACTCAGTAAGTGCCCATTCAATGAATGAATATTGCTTAAGTACATTTTTTTGGTGCAAGTACTCTCTAAAATATTCATGTGAGAAATGGTGATTATTTCAGCAAGGCATTTGACAAAGTCTCCCATTATTTCCTTGATGATAAGATGGAAAAATTTATCATATGATTTTATAGCTGCCAATTTGTGGTATAGCTGTCAATTACAGTCATTTCAGGCCAAGTAAGGACAGTCAGGAGTGAGTTGCAAGGCAGATAGGGATAGAGGCTATCTTTTGATTCCCTTCACATCTTCACATGTGGTTCTGTCTGTGACCACATGAAACATCTCCAGCTGACATTACAAGTGAAGGGAATATGCTGATCTCAGAAGGATGCTTCATCTCATCAAAGTAACCTTCATTTCTTTACACTTTTATATTATGCTGCTTGTACTTTTGTTTAGCATTCATTTCATGCCACGTTGTTTCATTATTAGTTAATTCAACATATTTTTTGAATAGGTTCAAAATCAAAAGGTAAAGTATACAGTGAAAAGCCTTCCTCCCACTACCATTGTTCACCAATTGCCCACTTCCTCTGTCCATAAGAATCCAGTGTTATTGGCTGGGTGCGGTGGATCATGCCTGTAATCCCAGAATTTTGGAAGGCCGAGGTGGGAGGATTGCTTGAGCCCAGATGTTTGAGACAAGCCTGGGCAACATGTTGAAATCCTGTCTCTACAAAAAATACAAAAATTAGCTAAGCCTGGTGGTGCACACCTGTAGTCCCACCTACTCAGACAGGAATATCACTTGAGCCCGGGACGTTGAGGCTACAGTGAGCTGTGATTGTGCCACTGTCCTCCAGCCTGGGTGAAAGAACAAGACCCTATCTCAAAAACAACAACTCCCCCCCCAAAAAAAAGAAAGAAAGAAAAGAAAAAAACAGAAACAAAACCAATGTTATTTTTTATCCTTCCAGAAATATTTTAGCATATACAAGAATATATACATATATGTTACATATGTTAGTATCTATCTTCTCTTCTTTACACAAATGGTAACATACTATATATGTTTGTGTGCATATATGTTTAGAATTGTGATATTTTCCTGTTAGAAAAGGCCTTTTACCATTATATGATGTTCTTCTGTGTCTTTTACTGTTGCTTTAAGGTTTGTTTTGTCTGATATAAGAATAGCTATCCCTACTTGCTTTTGGCGTCCATTTGCATGAAATGCCTTTTTCCACCCCTTTACTTTATGTTTATGGAAGTCCTTATGTGCTAGGTGAGTCTCCTGAAGGCAGCAGGTTAGTTGGTTGATGAGTTCTTATCCATTCTGTGGTTCTGTATCTAAGTGAAGCATTTAGGCCATTTACATTCAATGTTAGTATTGAGATGTGAGGTCCTGTTGCATTAATTGTGCTATTTGTTGCCTGTGTATGTTGGTTTTTTTGTTTTTTTGTTTTTGCTTTTTAACTTGTATTTTTGTTTTATAGGTCCTGTGTGATCTATGCTTTAAAGAGATTCTGTTTTGATGTGTTTCCAGGATTTGTTTCAAAATTTAGAGCTTCTTTTAGCAGCTCTTGTAGTGCTGGCTTGGTAGTGGCGAATTCTCTCAGCATTTGTTTGTCTGAAAAAGACTATCTTTCCTTCATATATATGCTTAGTTTCACTGGATACAAAATTCTTGACTGATAATTGTTTTGTTTGAGGGGGGCTGAAAATAGGGCCCCAATCCCTTCTAGCTTGTAGGGTTTCTGCTGAGAAATCTGCTGTTAATCGGATAGGTTTTCTTTCATAGGTTTACTGTTGCTTTTGCTTCACAGATATTAAAATTCCTTCTGTCATCTTGACTTTAGATAACCTAATGACTGTGTGCCTAGGCAATGATCTTTTTGCAATGAATTTTCCGGATTTTCTTTGAGCTTTTTGTTATTTGGATGTCTAGATCTCTAGCAAGAGCGGGGAAGTTTTCCTTAATTATTCCCTCAAATATGTTTGCCAAAATTTTAGATTTATCTTCTTCCTTGGGAACACCAATTATTCTTAGGTTTAGTTGTTCAACATCATCTCAGACTTCTTGGAGACTGTTCATATTTCCTTATTCTTTTTTCTTTGTCTTTGTTGAACTGGGTTAATTTAAAGACCTTGTCTTTGAGCTCTGCATTTCTTTCTTCTACTTGTTCAATTCTATCGCTGAGACTTCCCAGAGCATTTTGCATTCCATAAGTGTGTCTAGTGTTTCCTGAATGTTTGATTGTTTTTTCTTTAAGCTATCTATTTCCTTGAAGATTTCTCCCTTCACTTCTTGTATCATTTTTTTGGATTTCCTTGCATTGGGCTTCGCCTTTCTCTGGTGCCTCTCTGATTAGCTTAATATCTAACCTCCTGAATTCTTTTTCAGGTAAATCAGGGATTTCTTCTTGGTTTGTATTCATTGCTGGTGAACTAGTGTGATTTTTTTGGGGGTGTTAAAGAGCTCTGTTTTGTCGTATTACCAGATTTGATTTTCTGGTTCCTTCTCATTTGGGTAGGCTCTGTCCGGGGAAAAGTCTAGGGCTGAAGGCTATTGTTCAGATTCTTTTGTCCCACGGAGTACAAACTACTACTTGATGTAGTACTCTCCCCCTTTTCCTATGGATGTGGCTTCCTGTAAGCCAAACTGCAGTGATTGTTGTCTCTCTTCTGGGTCTAGCCACCCAGTGAATTTACCCGGCTCCAGGCTGGTACTGGGGATTGTCTGCATGGAGTCCTGTGTTGTGAACCATTTATAGGTCTCTCAACCATAGATACCAATACCTGTTCCAGGGGAGGCAGCGGGGGGTGCAATGGACTCCCTGAGGGTTCTTAGCTTTGGTGGTTTAATACTCTATTTTTGTGGTGGTTGGCCTCTTGCAGGAAGGTGGCACTTTCTAGAGAGCATCAGCGGTGGTAGTATGGAGAGGAACCAGTGGTGGGTGGGGCCCTAGAACTCCCAAGATTATATGACCTTTGTCCTCAGCTACCCAGGTGGGTAGGGAAGGACCATCAGGTGGGGGCAGGGCTAGGCATGTCTGAGCTCAGACTCTCCTTGGGCGGGTGTTGCTGTGGCGGCTGTGGGGGATGGAGGTGAAGTTCCCAGGTCAATGGAGTTGTGTATCTAGGAGGATTATGTCTGCCTCTGCTGAGTCATGCAAGCTGTCAGGGAAGCCAGGGAAAGCTGGCAGTCACAGGCTTCACCCAGCTCCCAAATAGACTGAAGGGCCAGTCTCATTCCCATAGTGCCGCCGCAATAGCCCTGAGTCTGTTTCCAGGAGGTGGATCAGCTGGCCTTGAAAACTTGCCCCAGGCTACCTGCCTCCCAGCTGCAAAAGAAAAAGCCTTGGTTCTTCCCCTGCCTGTGGAGTGTGCACACCAGATTCTCACCCTACTTCGAGTTCTGGCCAGGAGGCTTCTCACCCCGTTGAAATTGTTACAAAGTTCAGCTGGAGATTTCCTTCTCCCTGGTGTTCCTTGCCCACTCCTCTGGCCACCCTCCCAGTGGATCCTTCTGGTGCCAGAAAGGAATGGCCTGCTTGGGGACACAGTGAGCTCCCAGGGCCTTCCTGCTGCTTCCTCTACCCCTGTACTTTGCTCGGCTCTTTAAATTGACTCAGTTCCAGGTAAGGTCAGAAACTTCTCCCGCAAACAGACCTTCAGTTTCTCCAGTGGGGGTGTGTGTTCGGGAGAGGAGGCTCTCCCTTTCCCACTTCTGCAGTTGGGACACTCACAGTATTTGAGGTTTCTCCCAGGTCCTGCAGGAGCAGTCTGCTTCCTTCAGAGGGTCTGTGGGTCCACTTGGGATTGCTGGTTTGTTCTTCCAGTCGATCTGGAGCTAAAATTCACAATGTGAGCCTTCGCACGCTGCTCTGTCCATCCACATCGGAGCTGCCTATCCACAATTCTTAGCAAATGGCACATAGTTAGTGCTCTGAATAGGACACAGTCAGTTCATTGAATTGAGTGCTGCAAGCTTAAAGCATTTCTTAGCCTTTTGATATAAAACATGATTTTCTCCTAAGTGAAAATGGCATTCATTTTACAAAAACATATTGAGCATCTACTATAACCCTGGCATTGTTTTAGGTGCTGTGAATATGGCAATTAACAAAATACTTAAAAATTCCTATCTTCAAAAAAGCCACTGGACATTTCTAACCGATCCTGGTTTCCTTTGGAAACCAGAGTTAAGGTGCAACCTAGTATTGTTGTCTAAATAACCATCGTTAATAAGTTATTATCCTGCAATAATTTGTGGATTAGCAGTCAGGCATTATAATCACATTATAATCATTTTTGTTAAATATGATGATATTTTAAGCATTTAAATTTATATAATCATTAATCTTCTATATGTGCACTGTCCAGTAAGGTAGCCACTGGTCACATGTAGCTATTGAGCACTTGGAATGTGAGTAGTCTGAAATGAGATGTTTCTTAAGTGTAAAACACATACTAGATTTCAAAGATTTATTTTAAGAAAGTAATATAAAATATCTCTTAATTTTACATTGATTTTATGTTCAATAATATTTTGAATATATTGAATTAAATGAAACATTAATAAAATTAGTTTCTGCTCTTTCCTTTTATTTGTATTTATGGGATCATAAGAAAGTTTGGTCCCTATATACCTTACATTATATTTCTGTTGGGCAGTATTCTTCTAGATACCTCCTTTATACTTAGCTGGTGTTTCTCAAATATGGTTTTTAGTAGACAGGAAGACAGATTTAAGTAAAGGTTTAAAGTTTATCGTTGTATTCACAGAGTCTTTAATATGTTACTTAGAAATGCGAATTTTCATGAAGATAGGAATTGTTCACAGTGTTTCCCAGATCACTTTTACTAGGAGCCCTCTTGGAACACCCTTTGCTAATATCCAAGTAAAGTGATGCACTGTGCTGCTCATCTAGGAACTTGGCACAAAGGCACTGATGGCAGAAGAGGTTTTAATTCACAAGGCCAGGCTTCCATTCATTTTCTGGATTTTTCCTTGTTTTTCTAAATAAAATCAACACTGATAGGTTTTAAAATGTAATTGTATTGCTTAAATATAATTCACCAAATCTTGAAAAGTTTGATTAAAAAAAAATTGAGATCCACTGGATTTACCAAAATGATTCATTTAAAAAATAAGTACTTGTAATGGGCTTGTCCGTTTGGGTGGTGACACAGAGAGAAATCCAGTGATGAATGGCGTAGAATTACTAGTTGATAAGTCATATTTTGACAGAAGAATATACCACTTAAAGGACCTACACTCTGGGAAATGATAAATTCCAGAAAGCAATTGAGCTGGGAGTTACTCCAGTGATAAATGCTACCATTTATTATATTCAGAAGTCCTTGTTATAAAGGCATCCAGGAGATATCTAGGTGTAAGCCACAGTGTCATAAGCCTCAAATGAGCTTTCTGTTAGTCCACCTATTCCAGAGTGTGAGTCTCTCCTCTGAAGACATCAATCTCACACTTGGAACAACAGAATCGCAGCTCTGTGCTTTGAGTAACTCAAAATGGTTCTCAGGCCTTCACCCAGACATTTCCCCCAGCACAAAATCCATTGGTTATACATCCCAGGGAAATGCCACATTGTTGACATTTTGGTAAAAACTACATGGTCTTTCTGTTAACATGACTTCTGACAGAAACTAAATAGAGTAGAATCTGTCCATTCTAATAATTCACCAAAGATAGCCATTCCCCATAGAGAGAGAAAAGACAATTGCTATGTTAAAGGCCCCTGTTTGATCTCTCCTTGTGTTGTCAAGATTTTGTAATGGAAATGAAAAAATATGTAATTCCTTCCTTCCAATTTTATTTTTTTGTCCTTTGTGGCAGCAAGCTTACCAACTAGGAATAAAGAAAGGAAAATCTAAGAAAGCAAGACTGGAGAAGCTGAGTAAGTGAGATCTTCTTGCCAAAGGTTGTATCTGGGTGATTCATCCAAATTAAATGTGGTAGAGTTGATCTGATTGTTGGGTCTACTTAATGGCAAGTTTCTGCAAAGTCAGTTGACTCAACATAGCAATGAGCTGAATTGACCTTAAACCAGATCAAACCCAGTAAATTAGCTATCCTTTGGTCCTCTGTTTTCCAGTCATAACAACATAGTCATAAATCAGATAAACAACCATCCAACTGACAAACAAAAATCAGAACAGAGTATAAAATGAATACCTATAATTGAAATACTCATTTCCCATTAGGTGTTCATGCAATAAATCAAAATAACTTTTGTTTTCTCTTTTGATTTTGTTAATGTACTAGTGATGCCCTGGTATGGACTTGTAGATACTGAGAACTTATTTGCAAGGTTGCACTGAAATTTTATTCTAAAAAAGTATTGGCTTGGCCAGGCGTGGTGGCTCATGCCTGTAATCCCAGCACTTTGGGAGGCCGAGGCGGGCAGATGATGAGGTCAGGAGTTTGAGACCAGCCTGACCAACATGGTGAAACTCCATCTCTACTAAAAATACAAAAATTAGCCAGGTGTGGTGGCTCGCACCTGTAATCCCAGCTACTCAAGAGGCTGAGGCAGGAGAATCGCTTGAACCCGGGAGGCTGAGGTTGCAGTGAGCTGTGATCGTGCCACTGCACTCCAGCCTGGGCAAAAGAGTGAGACTCTTTCTAAAAAAAAAAAAAAAAAAATTGGCTTGGCGTGAAGCCTGTCCTTTCCTCATACTTATATGTGTGCTTCTGTACACATGTAAGTGTGTATACAGATCCACTGGATGAAAATTACAAAATGCCAGCTTATAATCTAACTCCATTATGATAAGCTTGATCTAAGATGACACTGGGAAAGACATTTTTGAGTGTTTTTAATACCAAATGATATGTCTCACTGTAGAAACTTTAGAATTGTAAATAGGCAAATTAAGGGAATAATTAACTGTAATTTCACCACCCAGATAGAACCCCACTACAATGGTAACGTATATCTTTCCAGATGTTTCCCTTACATTAGAATATGAGATTATACCATAAAGACTGGTTTTCCTTTTTTCTTTTTTTTTTTTGAGATGGAGTCTCGCTCTGTGGCCCAGGCTGGAGTGCAGTGGCCCAATCTTGGCTCACTGCAAGCTCCGCCTCCTGGGTTCATACCATTCTCCTGCCTCAGCCTCCTGAGTAGCTGGGACTACAGGCGCCCGCCACCACTCCCGGCTAATTTTTTTGTATTTTTAGTAGAGAAGGGGTTTCACAGTGTTAGCCAGGATGGTCTCGATCTCCTGACCTCCGTGACCCTCCTGCCTCAGCCTCCCAAAGTGCTGGGATTACAGGCGTGAGCCACCGTGCCCGGCCTGATTTTCTAAACTGTGTTTATAATATAATTATTTCTTTTATCTTTTCTTTTTAATATATGTAATAAAATTGATGGATGTATACTTTTCTATACCATGTATAGACCAGTTTTATTTAACCAATTCCCTGTTGTTCTGTGATTGTTCCCAAATGTTTGCTCTTATAGGCAATGATTCAGGGAATATCCTTGAACATGTGTTTGTTGACTTGCTCAGTTATTCCTCTAGATAGATTTCTAAAACTAGAATAGATGAGTCAAGGAGAAAGTACACTAAAATTTTTTTGATACATTTTGCCAAATTGCCTTTCAGAAATGGTGTGCCTGTCAGTACACAATTCATTGAGTATTCAGTATGCACTATAAGAGTGAAGGAGGCATATAAATTCCTGATGCTAGGAAACTGACAAGCTAAGAGGACAATGTTTAGCTATAAAAACCTTTTGAAGAGCGAATTGTTACAATTTAGCAGCAAAATAACTTTACCTAAGCAATGCATTTGTAAAAAGCACATTTAAAATGTATTTATTTTAAAATATTTTAAAAATAAGCATTTAAAAATAGTTCTCTTTAAGTAAGTCTGATTTTTGGTCCTACTTAGTGACACATTTCTGCAAAGTAAATGGACTTAGTACAGCAGTATCTGTATTGATCATTAAACCAGGCCAAACCCATGAACTTGACTATTCTTTTATCTTGTTTGCCAGTCATAAACACAAAATGTGTAACTAGAAAAATGCACAAATTATCAATGTATGGAAGACAAGCAGCACCTCAGAAGCCCCTCTCAGGCCTTTGTTCAGTTGCTATCTCCTCACTTATCAAAGATCATCATGACTCGCTAGTGTCACATAAGACTTATTAAATAAATGTGTATGCGTTTCTCCTGTTAATCTTACTTGTGTCACCTTAATTCTCAGACTCAGCCCAGGACTCTAAGAGGGGAAAGATGGCCGGGCGTGGTGGTTCACGTCAGTAATCCTAGCACTTGGGAGTCCGAGGCCGGCGGATCACCCGAGGTGAGGGGTTTGAGACCAGCCTGGCCAACATGGCGAAACCCTGTCTCTACTAAAAAATACAAAAACTAGCCATGCGTGGTGGCACATTCCTGTAATCCCAGGTGGGAGAATTGCTTGAACCTGGCAGGTGGAGGTTGCAGTAAGTCAATATTGTGCCTCTGCACTCCAGCCTGGGTGACAGAGTGAGACTCTTTCCAAAAAAAAAAAAAAAAGGGGGGGGGGAAGGGGGAGAGATAAAGTTTTTGTCTCCCCTACAACAGGTACAATAGAATATTATTCAGCCCTATAAAGGAATGAAATTCTGAAACATGCTACAACATGGATGCACCTTAAAGACACTATGCTAAGTGAAAGAAGCTGGAAACAAAAAGGATAAATACTGTATGATTCCATTTATGTGAGGTATCTAGAATAATCAAATACATAGACATAGAAAGTAGACTAGCAGTTACCAGAGGCTGGGAGGTAGAGAACAAAAATCAAGTATTGCTCTTCAATGGGCACAGAGTTTCAGTTTGGGATGGATGAAAAAGTTCTGAGATAAAGGGTAATAATGCTTGTACAACAATGTGAATGTACTTAATGCTACTAAACTGTACAGTAAAAATGGTTAAAATAATAAATTTTATGTTATGTATATTTTACTAGAAAAAGGTGGTGATTTTCCTAACTTTTAAATTCTTTATTTGTTCTGTACTTTATGCAAATTGAATTATACAGTATATCTTCTTTTGTCTCTGGCTTCTTTGCCTCACCATTATTCTTTGTAAAATTTATCATGTTGGTGCATGTGATTGTTGTAATCTGTTTATTTTCATAGCTTTAACGTATTGGTTAATATGGATAAACTATATTTTCCTGTTGATGGACATTGATTCCATTCATTTATTCTTTGTTTGCTTACTTTGCTTTTTTCGACAAGGCTGCTATGAATATATATATATATATATATATATATATATATATATATATATATATATATATATAATTTATTTATTTATTTTTGAGACAGAGTCTCACTCTGTCGCCCAGGCTGGAGTGCAATGGCGCAATCTTGGCTCACTGCCACCTCCACCTCCCCAGTTCAAGCGATTCTCCTGCCTCAGCCTCCTGAGCTGGGATTACAGGCACCCGCCACCATGCCTGGCTAATTTTTGTATTTTTAGTAGAGACAGGGTTTCACCATGTTGGCCAGGATGGTCTTGGACTCTTGACCTCGAGCGATCCATTTGCCTCAGCCTCCCAAAGTGCTGGGATTACAGGCATGAGCCACCGTGCCTGGCCTTGCTGTGAATATTTTTGTATGTGTCTTTTGGTGTTGGTGACACAGGAACATATTTCTAGTGGATATGTGTGTATCTCTAAGAGAAGAATTGCTGATCATTGGTAGGCCTACCACAGTGTGTGAGAGCTCCAGTTGTTTCATGTCCTTATCACTTCTCGAGGATTCTTTTGTTTGTTTAGCTATTGCAGTCGGCTCATGGTGATATCTCATTGCAGTTTTAATTTAATTTATATTTTCCTAATGATTAATGATGTTTAACTTCTTTCAGTAAGTGCATTGGCCATTTGGATATCCTGTTTTGTGTGAAGTACCTTTTATTCATTTTTCTATTGGATTGTCTTTTTATTTTTCTTGTTGATTTATAGGGGTTCTTTATCCTGGAGCCTTTGTGGAATACAGGGATTCCAAAAAATATTCCCATTCAGTGGCCTTGTTTTTCTTACTGTCTTAATGGTGCCTCTTGATAAACGAAAATCTAATTTTAATGTAGTGTAATTCATCATTCCTTTTCTCTATGGCTAGTGCTTTTATGTTCGGTTTAGGAACTGTTGGCTTATCCCAAAGTCCTGAAGATATTTGCCTGTGTTATCTTCTAGTACTTTTATGTTTTTGCCTTTTGCCTGTAGATCCATGAGGTATTTATAATTAAATTTTGTGTATCATGTGAATATGATGAGTGGGGAGATGCTGAAATTCTTTTTTTTTTTTTTTTTTCTGTGAGGATAGCCTTTTGACACAGCATCATGTATTGGAAGAACTGCTTTTACCCACAACACTTCACTCCTGACCTTTGTTATAAAAGAGGTATATGCCATGGTTTAGATTCCAGGCTCTCTATTTTGTTATATTGGTCTATTTATTCTTGCACTAATATCACCCTATCTTAATTGCATTAGCTCTATACTTGGTCATGTATCTACTGAGATATATGATTTCTTTCCTTTCCTCTGTTAATGTCATAATTTTATTGATTGGTCTGCAAATGTTAAGTCAACCTCAAATTATTGGAATAAAGTCAATTTAATCACAGTATATTTTTATTTCACATATCACTGGTTTGCTAATCTTTTGCTAAGATTTTTGTGTGTCTGTGCCTGTGGATGATATTGGTCTTTAATTTCATTTCTTGTAATATTTTTAAAATTGGATTTTGTCATCAAATTGGGAAGTATTCTCTGTGTTCACTGTAAAGATTTGTGTTCTATGGCTCAATTTCTTTAATATACAGGGTTATTGAGATATTTTATTTTTATGTCAGGTTTTTTTAATTTTTTTTTTGAGGCAGAGTCTCGCTCTGTTGCCCAGGCTGGGGTGCAGTGGCGTGATCTTGGCTCACTGCAACCTCACCCTCCCGGGTTCAAGCAATTCTTCTGCCTCAGCCTCCTGAGTAGCTGGGACTACAGGTGTGCACCACCGTGCGCGGCTAATTTTTGTATTTTTAGTAGAGATGGAGTTTCACCATGTTGGCCAGGCTGGTCTCGAACTGACCTTGTGATCTGCCCCCCCTTGGCCTCCCAAAGTGCTGGGATTACAGGCATGAGCCACCGTGTCCAGCCTTATGTCAGTTTTATAACTATCCTTTGAGAAATGTGCCCATTTTATATACATTTTCAAATTTATTGGCATAAACTTGTGCATCATAACTTCTTTATCATCACTTTAATGTCTTAGGATCTTTAGTCATTTCTCCATTTTCATTCTTGATAGTGCTGATTTATCCTTTTATCTCTTTTTACATGATTAGTCTTTCTGGGATACTGCCAATTCTAGTCTCTTTAGATAAGAACAACTTTTGAATTTGTTGATCTTCTCTATCTTAAAATTGCTTTGTATTTTGTTGATTTATGCTTCTATCTTTACTATTTCTTTATTTCTACTTCCTTTCACTCTAATTTGCTATTTTAAAAACTTCTTTTTTTGAAAAATTTTTTCAATGATAACTCAATTTGATAGAAAATATTAAATATGAAGATTTTTGTTAAATTTGAAGGTATAAATCTTCTGGCTCTTCAAATATATGCACATTTGCAAATAAATTAAAAAATTTAAGTTATATAGCTTAATATAGTTTAAAACACATAAGACTTTCTATTATTTAAGAAATATTAATGTCACACTATAAACATTCATTGTTGATGTCACCTTTATTATATTCAATTTATAAATTCCCATTCAACATTATAATCAGAACTTATTCTGAGGGATAAAAAAACAGATATTTTAATTCGAAGGACATTACAAATACTATATCTTTCATGATTCTCAAGACTATACAAAATACCTTCCAAACTGTTTAAGAACTTAGTATTAAATATAAGATCTGATGGTTTCTTAATAAATACAAGTCTAACCATAATTACATCTTAATATTTCTGTGAGTATCTGCCTTCTCCTTAGCATATTAAACACTATATTGTGTCTTTTAGGATAAAAAAATTTCATTTGTAAAAAAATGAAGAAAAGATAAAATTTACAATATACATAGACTTTTTTATATTGTTGTGTTTTGAGATGAGGCTATTACTCCTGAGAAATTCACAGATATTTTTTATTTTCAAAAATCTCAATTTTGAGTTATCCAATCTTTGGTGGAATTCCAGGCATTGTGAGTTCAGGCTGGTAGTTCCCGGGGATGATTTGGGGACCTGTGTGCATGGCTGATAGGCTGGAAATGTGTATTTCCAAGTAGGTGAGCCAGGACACCCTTGAAAGGTATGATGAGCTGCTCTGGAAAGCAAAAGTTCTCCTGGTATATAAGTGCACTGACTCTGAGGATCCAGGGTGGGTGGAGCTGGTGTTTCCCCTGCTTTCTGAAATAGATGAATGATATTCAGTCTTCTTTTTTAAATATGTGAGTTTAAGGCAAAAGAATTCCCTGTAAGTATGGCTTTAGCAGCATAATAATCTTTTTTTAACATGCAACATTTGAAGTACAATAAATTTTAAGATATTTTTAAACTTCCACTGAATAGATTCAAGGAAAAAAAAATTGACGAAATCCAGTATTTATTTGTGATTAAAAACTCTCAGCAAACCAGGACTAGAAGGGAGCTTTCTCAACTGGGTAAGTGGCTTGTAAGAAAAACCTCCAGCTAATATCATACTCAGTGGTAAAAGAATAAATGCCTGCCTTCTAAGATCAAAAACAAAGCAAGGATTTCTACTCTCACCACTCCTGTTCAGCATTGTACTAGAGGTTCTTCCCCGTGCAATCAAGTAAGAAAAAGAAATACAAGTTATCCAGATTGGAAAGGAAGAGGTAAAACTGTTTTTATCCACAGACGATATGGTTATCTATGTAGAAAATCTGTAGAATCTACATTAAAACTACTTTAGAGTTACAAATACATTTACCAAGGTGTCAGGATTCAAGATTATATGCAAAAAAGTCAGTTACATTTTGTGTCAGCAAAATTTTTCATGGCTCATTTTTTTCTCTTATTTCTCTTATTCTCTCATTTAAAAAATTAGTTATATTTTTATTTATTTTATTTAAATTTATTTTTAATCTTTGTGGGCACATAGTAGATGTGTATATTTATGTAGTACATAAGATGCTTTGATACAGGCATGCAATATTCACATCAGGATAAATGAGGTATTCATCACCTCAAGCATTTATCCTTTCTTTGTGTTACAAACAATCCAATTATACCCTTTAGTTATCTTAAAATGTACAATAAATTATTGTTGCCTGTAATCACCCTATTGTGCTATCAAATACTAGATATTGTTCATTCTATCTAACTACATGTTTGTACCCATTGACCATCCCCACATTTCCCTCCCCTGCTACTATCCTTTCCAGCCTCTGGTAACTGTCCTGCTCTCTATCTCCATGAGTTTAATTGTTTAAAATTTTAGCTTCCACAAATAAGTAAGAACATGCAAAGTTAGTCTTTCTGTGCCTGGCTTATTTCATGTAATGACCTGCATCCATGTTGTTGCAAATGACAGGATCTTATTTGTTTTTAAGACTGAATAGTACTCCATTGTGTATACGGGCCACATTTTCCTTACACATTCCTCTGTTAATGGACACTTAGGTTATTTCCAAATCTTGGCTATTGTAAATGCTGCAATAAACATGGAAGTGTAGTTATCTCTTCAATATACTGGTTTCCTTTCTTTTGGGTATATACCTAGCAGTCAGATTGCTGGATTATATGGTAGCTCTATTTTTAGTTTTTTGAGGGATCTCCAAACTCTGCACCATAGAGATTGTACTAATCTACATTCCCACCAAGAGTGTACAAGTGTTCCTTTTCTCCACACTCTCGCCCATATTTGTTATTGCCTGTCTTTGGATAAAAGCCATTTTAACTGGGGTAAAATAATACCTCATTGTAGTTTTGATTTGCATTTCTCTGACGGTCAACGATGGTGAGCACTTTTTCATAGACCTGTTTGTTTGCTGTACGTTGGTCTTCTTTTGAGAAACATCTATTCAAATCTTCTGCCCATTTAAAAATCAGATTATTAGATGATTTCCTACAGAGTTGTTTGAGCTCCTTATGTATTCTGGTTATTAACCCCTAATCAGATGGATAGTTTGCAAGTATTTTTTCCCATTCTGTGGGCTGTTTCTTCATTCTGTTGATTGTTTTCTTTGCTGTGCAGAAGCTTTTTAACTTGTTGTGATCCTATTTGTCAATTTTTGCATTGGTTGCTTGTGTTTGTGAGGTAATAATCACAAATTTTTGCCCAGACCAATGTCCTGGGGCTCCCGCAATATTTTCTCTTAGTAGCTCCATAGTTTGAGGTCTTAGATGTAAGCCCTTGATCCATTTTGAGTTGATTTTTTGTATATGGTGAGAGATAGGGGTCTAATTTCATTCTTTTGCATATGGATATCCATTTTTTCCAGTACCATTTATAGAAAAGATTTCCCTTCCCCTAGTGTATGTTCTTGGCACCTTGGTCAAAAATACATTTGCTGTAGATGTATCAATTTATTTCTGGGCTCTCTATTTTGTTCCATTGGTCAATGTATCTATTTTAATGCCAGTATGATGCTGTTTTGGTTACTATAGCTCTGTAGCATAATTTGAAGTCAGGTAATGTGATTCCTCCAGTTTATTCTTTTTGCTTATATATATATATATATATTTTTTTTTTTTTTGAGACAGAGTTTTGCTTCTGTTGCCCAGGCTGGAGTGCAATGGTGTGATCTCATCTCACTGCAACCTCTGCTTCCTGGGTTCAAGCGATTCTCCTGCCTCAGCCTCCTGAGTAGCTGGGATTGCAGGTGCCCACCACCATGCCTGGCTAATTTTTGTATTTTTAGTAGAGACAGGGTTTCACCATGTTGGCTGCTCTTGAACTCCTGACCTTAGGTGATCTGCCCACCTCGGCCTCCCAAAACGTTGGGATTACAGGCATGTGCCACTGTGCCCGGCCTCTTTTACTATTCTTATAGTAGTTACTCTATAAATCACAACACAAATCCTTGATTTATTACATTTAGTATGATTTCATATATTTACGATCTCCTGGACAATGCAGTAACTTTAGAACCTGCTAACTCCATTTATCTCCACCTGTTGTGAATATATTTAATGTTGGAGATATTTTAAGCCCTATATTTTTATTATTGTTTTATAGAGATGCTATTCACTTAGATTTACCCCAAAACTAATTCTTTCCATTGCTGTTCTTTCTTCTATCTTCTTGCTCCTAAATGTGATCATTTTCCTTCACTGAAGAATACTTATTAGTGCAAATCTACTGCACAGTACTCATTAGTACAAAGATGCTGCTGACAAATTCTCTAGTTTTTGTTTGTCTGCAAATTTTTATATTTTATTTCAACTTCATTTTTGAAGAATACTTTGGCTGGGATTAGAATTGTACATGTGGTAAGCGCTTTTATTTTCCCCATGGCACTTCAAATACCTGTTACCACTGTCTTTGGCTTTTATTGTTAATAAGCTGTTAGTGTTACTGTTGGTCTCCCATAAGTTAGGTGAATTTTTTCCTCTGATAGTTTTCAACTTTTCTCTTTGTCATTGGTTTTTAGCAGTTTCACTAAGATATATGCAGGCGTAATTTTCTTTGTATTTATCCTGCTTCAGGTTTGTAACACTTTTTTAGTCTATGGGCTTAATGTCTGCATCCAATATTTTTTAATCTCAAATATTATCTCTCCAAATATTGTTTTTGCCACATTCTATCTCTTTCTTTCTTTTAGGACTGTAATTATACATATTAGACCTTTCCTCATGTTCTACATGGCTCTTATTCTCTTTAGTATTTCCCCCTTCTCTTCTTCAGTTGGATTTTTTCTTCTACTTTATCTTCCAGTTTATCGATTCTCTCTCTCTTTTTTTTTTGACTGGGTTTATTTTGCTTTTTAGCCTATTAATTGAGTTCTTTATTTTGTTGAATTTCTTTTTTTAGTTCTACAATTCCATTTGGTTTTCTCTTTATGGTTTTCAGGTCTTTGCTGAAATTCCCTCCCTCCCTCCCTTCCTGCCTTCCTGCCTTCCTGCTTTCCTGTCTTCCTGCCTTCCTTCTTTCCTTCTTTTCTTCCTCAGAATCTCACTCTGTCACCCAGGCTGGAGAGCAGTGCTCTGATTACAGCTCACTGCGGCCTTGACCTCCAGACAGGCTCAAGTGATTCTCTCACTTCAGCCTCCTGAGCAGCTGGGCACTAACATGCCCAGATAATTTTTGTATTTTTTGTAGAGATGGGGTTTTGCCATGTTGCCCAGGCTGATCTTGAATTCCAATATGATACGTAGAATATCTGTATCTTTTATGGATCTATTTCTATTGTCTTTTGTTATTTTGATTTTTAGCTAATATTTTGGCATGCTTTGTTACTTTTAATTGAATGCTGGTTGCTGTGTATGAAAATTATAGAGACAATTTATATCTGGATCATATCTTACTTTAGAGAGGATTTCTATTCGTTTCTAGCAGGTGGGTAGCATAGGAACATATTAATTTAATCCGTTCATGAGTTGAGTAGATTCAAAACTGGGGTTCAGTTTCTGTGAGGGCTGCTCTGTTTAGAGTTCATACCCCTAGTTACAGCACTTCAAGGGTAACAACTTAAAACCCAGGTTTTCACTTGAGCCTCTTCTCCTGTATGAACTCAATCCCCTCTTCACCCCCTCTCCCAAGCCTGGTGAAATTTCAGTATACTCTCAGCTCTACAGCCTTTCAGACACTACTTTCTGCACAGTTTTTCTCATCTCAGTTGTTCCTTAAAAATTTGCAAATGCCTCAAAGGGAAAAGCGGTGTCAAATACCAGTTCAATATTCTGGGTTTCTCCTCTCTCTAAGATCTTGGCCCTATAAATCCTATTTGAGCAGCTCTCTGATGTCTTTGACAGGTGTTTGCTTCCTTGTTTTAATTTTCTTCAGCCTTACTAATGGTTAATAGCAGTAAGTTTCATTTCAAATAAGCTACTCTGCCATTTTTGGGAAGGGAAAAGTCAGCACTGCTTAGATTTCTATGTTGTTCCCATTTCTGTTATTTTCTCATACTTTTATCTCTGTTTGATGGTAAAGAAAACAGAAATAGAAATTTTGCTTCAGGTTAAATTCCTAGTTAACGACCCAGCTGAATTAAGAATCCAGTTTTTGGACTACTGATACAGAATCTATTGCTTTCATCTGATATACACAGTAGAAATACTTCAGTCTTATCAGGAATCATATTCTTTTGATATTGCAGATTCTGCTTAGAAGAAGCATTCTTTTCCATCTATAAATATTTAAATTCTATTTATGCTGGCAA
This sequence comes from Homo sapiens, assembly GCF_000001405.40. Classification (NCBI taxonomy): domain Eukaryota; kingdom Metazoa; phylum Chordata; class Mammalia; order Primates; family Hominidae; genus Homo; species Homo sapiens. Next base: position 59,203,967 of record NC_000003.12, read on the forward strand.
GCATGCTAGATTTTGTTTGGGCTCAAAAATTTTAAGTAATCCACACATATTGGGTACTTAGTTGGTCAGATATAGTGCCATGGATTTTATGTGCATCAACTCATTCAGTCCTCACGGCGACGCTCTCAGGTTAGATATTTTATCATCTTAATTTTGAGACAAGGAAGCTGTGTTTCAGAGAGGTTCATTAATTTGCCCAAGTCACACTATTAGTAGTGACAGAACAAGCACTTGAACCTGTGTGATGCAGCAGAATGAAGAGTGATATTTGGAGTCAGACAGACCAAGCCTAATATTCTGGCATTGTCGCTGATTAGCTGTGTGACTTGGAGCAAGGTCCTCTCTGAGTCATAGTGTCTTTTTTTTTTTTTTTTTTTTTTTTTTTTTTTTTGAGACGGAGTCTCGCTCTGTCGCCCAGGCTGGAGTGCAGTGGCGTGATCTCGGCTCACTGCAAGCTCCGCCTCCCGGGTTCACGCCATTCTCCTGCCTCAGCCTCCCGAGTAGCTGGGACTACAGGCGCCCGCTACCACGCCCGGCTAATTTTTTTTTGTATTTTTAGTAGAGACGGGGTTTCACCGTGTTAGCCAGGATGGTCTCGATCTCCTGACCTCGTGATCCGCCCGCCTCGGCCTCCCAAAGTGCTGGGATTACAGGCGTGAGCCACCGCGCCCGGCCCATAGTGTCTTAATTTAGTAATGATGAGACTTCAGTAACAATGCAGTGAAGAGAAAATAAAACAATGTATGTGAGCACACTTGGTATATGTGAGGCACTAAGTAACTACTAGAACCCTTTCATCCTTCCTGAACAAGGAACATTCCAAAAGAACTTTATATAAAACACTTGCAAAAATAAGATATATTTAACACAGCAACTCTGAGTGGTATTCTGTGCAGGTAGAGATGTGAAAACCACGTATCAGAGAAATTCACACTTGCCTCCAATTACACAGCTAACATGTAGAACAGATAAGCTTTGCTGATTGCAGTGTGCCTAGATTAACATCATATGTACATCCTCAAAATGGAGTTTGTATAAATTAGTTAATATTTCAAATGCACAAAACGAATCTGCTATTTAAAGGATCCCTGCAGTGAATGCTTTTGTAAAGTCAGGAATAATTCTGGAAACGTAAGTTATATCCTGCTAATTCATCTGTTTTATACATTCGGCTTTTAATGTTTTCTTAAAGTTAGTCGTATCTGATATTGACTTTACCATCCTCAAAATGTCTTTCTGTTGATAAGATATTGTTACTTCATTTCTAGAATCTAATTAAAGTTGATAGTACTCTAAGGGACAGCGAATGTCAAAATCCACCAGGGTTAATTATTTTGAATGTCTTTTAAAAGTAAAGGAACATAAAAAATCAATGAAACTGTGGTAGTAGAATTAAATTTTCCTGAGACTGTTTTCCCCAAACATATGATTTATTTGAACATTTGAATGTCTTGTTCAAGAGAGACATTTAGCCTATAGCAAATGTCCCCAACAGGACGCTGCTATGGTCACATATATTAGTTCAGCTGCCCTCCGTGCACAGGTAGGGCGGTCTTCTGGTCAGGCAGGTGTTTTGGGATATTCCTTGACTTTCATAAGAGGATGCTAACTCTCTCTGCCTGCATCCAGTTGACTAGAAGATTTATCTTCCAGGCTCCTGGAAGAGGACATACGCTCAAATTCCCCATTACCCTGGTCTTACCAAGCTCAGTGGCTTAACTATACTCACACTTATGAATGCCCAAAGGGTCTCTGTTCCATCCATTTTTCAAGATCAGTAGCGTCCAGGCTTTCTGCTCACAGAGAAGCAGAGGAAAGCATGGATGGTGCAACACACTTGCATGGCTGAGGGTGCTGGCTGTGTGTAATCTGTGGCACAGCGAGTAGGTGTCAATCTTGAAGTGCTGGCTGGAAATCCACCCCTTTCACTGACACTCACCTGCAGCCATCCATTGTATTGAGAACACCATCATTAAAATGATTGTATCTAAACTTTTACCATTTTATTCTTGGATGTTGCTGATCTTGCAGGACTGCATGGTTTTGACCCTTCATAAAATCACTCCCTTTGAATTGCTCTTTGGTGTTGGACCATAAGCCTACGTTGAGGAACTTTAAAGGAATAACCATGAGAAATGTACTATGTAGTCTAGGATGTTCAGTGGTGTGCAATCTGGTTGCTAAGCCATTATTAACAAATAAATTATATGAAGTTACCATTAAATACATTATATCAAAAAGAAAGTTAATAAATATGTAAAATGCATCACTTCCTAATTATTTGACTACATTTTACTCTTAACTATGCTCTTGAGGTTGTTCATGACTATTGTATTAGTGTGAAGGAAATGTTATATAAAGTAAGCCACTGTCCAACTGCAAGTTCAGAGGTGTCATGTTGGTAGCATGAAATTGGCCAAGGTTGAAGTATTCACACTATAGTGCATCGAATCAGCACCCTGCCCCACACCCCAAAACCCAGTTGTGAAATATCTAACAGCTCACTACTGTATGTTATTGAAGATATTATGTTACAGCGATTAAGAGAATCTATGGAAGAGATTCCCCTTAGGGCTCAAAAGCAAATAAAGATGTACTTCTCTTCAGGTACGTGCTTATTTTTATTTTTAGAACCTCATGCTTATTGCTAACAGTTATGTTTCATCTTCATGTTCACTGCTAAGTAGCTCAGAACCAAATCTTCAGCACCTTTTACAAAAAGAAATGTGTTCCAGGAACCTTCTTATTTCCTTCTTGTTGTTTTTATTTAGCCTCTTCCTTCCTTCCTTCCTTCCTTCCTTCCCCTCCTGTCCTTCCTTTCCTTCTGTTTCCTTTCTCTCTCTTTCTCTTTTCTTTTTCTCTTTCTTTGGTTCTATGTTGTTGCATTAATGGATTTCTTTTAGCTATCTCTAAACATGTTAAGAATGATGTGGGGGTATAAAAATAAGAAGTATACTTTAATGTGTGCAAATACTCTTAACAGTAATGGATTATTAAGACTTCCTACCTTATTTATAGATTTTATCTTGATATAATATTTAAGCTTTCTTCCTGCTTTAATATGAAAAAATGTATGAAGTTAGAATATAATTTAGAACGGCATATATGCTTCATTTATTAAGGGCCTGTGAAAAAATTCTTGGAGAGAAGAGTAGTTCACTTATACGTATTTATTATCTTTCATCCTTCTCTTGAATGTAAGTTCCAAGAGGACATGGTGTATCTTAAAGTGTTTAAGCTACATCTCACTGAGTTCAATGAGTATTTTTGAATGAATAAATAAATAATTCACAAATTTTCTAATGCTCAATGGTTATGAATATCATTCAGTTTTTAATGATGATATTATACAACATACATACACACATGTTTAAGAACTTTCATTCCATACTTATCACATCCATTTAGGCTCTGTTTCTCTAAATTTTAATTCTTCAATTAAACATTCATTGCTAATGATATTTTTTCATTAGTTCTTTATAGAAATATGGTCACACATAAAAAGAAGCAACATGGCATCTTCTACCCATGTGGAAAGACCAATTATCCTAAACTAAGTCTGAAGTTTAATACCTCTGCATTCCTTAGATGGTTCTCCTGAATCTTTTACTATAATTCTACTGCTTTATTTTTTTCTTGTACTGAGAAAAGAGAACTAACATTTATTGAATGCTTACTTTGTGATAAATGCTTGCTGTGTATTATTAACTGACACAACAATCCAGTGAAGCAGGTCCTACTATTGTCCCCTTTTCAATAGGCAAAGTAACTGGAGCTCAAAGAGATTATGTCACTTTCCGATGTCACAGCTCCCAGTGATGGAGCTTGGCTCTAAAGCCACAGGGTGGCTGTCTGCCCCTCTCAACTCAACTCTGGATCACTGCCTCCCACCCATCGCTCCTTCACCTCTGCCTCGTCTTCACCTTTCACAGGTCTCCCTTAGACACTACTTTTATTATTTTATTTGGTTGGTAAATGAGTGTTTCCAGTTATTCGACAGGAATGCCAAGCTAAGCAGCTTGGTGTTCAGTGAGTGGGAAACGATTGGGGTTTTTGAGCAGAGGATGGTCATCCAGGAAGTAGGGAGAACGATGCCTTACAGATATGGAGACTGGAGATACATGAGTGGCCAGGTGATATTCAAGAGTGTGGTTGGCAAAATAATGGCTGCCCCAAATATTCATGTCCTTATCCCTGGAACCTATGAATATGTTACCTTACATGGCAAAAGGGTCTTTGCAGATTTGATTAACATTAAGCACCTTAATCACAGGAAAGATGAGTTTGGATTAACCAGATGGCCCCAATCTAATCACACAAATGCTTGAAAGCATGGAACTTTGACAGCTGTAGCCCAAGAGACACGTGACTACAGGAGAACAGTAAGAAAGGTGCAGTGTTGCTGCCTTTGAAGATGAAGGAAGGTGGCCAGAAGCCAAAGGTAGGTGAGTGGTCTCTAGAAGCTGAAAAAGGCAAGAAATTTTCCCTAGAGTCTCCAGAAAGGAATGCAGTCCTGCTGACACCCCGATTTTAGTCCAGTGAGACCCATGCTGGACTACAGACCTGGAAGAGGTAAATTTGTGTTGTTTTAATCCACTAAACTTATGGTAATTTGTTACAGCAACTTCATAAAACTAATATAGGGAGAGATTTAGACTACATGAAGGCAGTACGAGTTGCACCTGCTCAGAAATCTTTAGCATCCTCTTTCCCACTGCTTTCAATCTCAATTTTCCTGCCCAGCTCTTCAGATTATGTGTACCCTTCCCATGTTGTTCTCAATAGTGGCCCCTCCTTGCTGGGTGATCAGGCTACTCCTCTTCCTGACCCCTGACTTCCTGAGGCTGTGCTCAGTTTTCTAACTGCAGGAGATGTTCCTTTCCCAGGAAACTATCCCCTCTTCCAGTGCTTTTCTTGATTACCTCTGCCCTCTCTGTTCTTCATCTTCTCTGATTAGCTCCAGCATTGATGTCCAGGAGACACAATTAGCACTCCATTATATTCATACATTTCATCTGTGCTACATAATACTAGCTTTTCCCCTTGCCTCCCGTCCTCTCCCCTTTTCTTTTTCCTTTTCTTTTCGAGACAGGGTCTTGCTCTGCCATCCAGGATGGAGTACAGTGGTGTGATCACGGCTTACTGCAGCCTTGACCTCCCACGCTTAAGTGATCCTCCCACCTCAGCCTCCTGAGTAGCTGGGACTGTAGGCGCTTGCCATTACATCAGCGAAATTTTCACATATTTTGAAGAGATAGAGTCTCCCTAATCTTGCCTAAGCTGTTCTCGAGCTGCTAGGCTCAACAAATCTTCCCATCTTGGCCTCCCGAAGTGTTAGGATTACAGGTATGAGGTACCAGTTTTTCTTAGTGTTTAATGTATTACTTGCGTTTTGTATTGTTGCTACTTTAAAAAATGCCACCTAGTATTCTGAAATCTATCAGAAAGTGTGATACAGTGAAAAGATCATGTATTTTGGATTCTGGGTAAGCAATTTCCTAGCTGTGCATTTTGGGCAAGATACTTAACCTCTCTGAGCCTCAGTTTTCTTATGTGTAGAATTCAGATGATATCTACTTCACAGGATTTTTGTAAGGATTACATCACTGTACTTTTCTTACTTCCTAGGTTGCTGGAGGGCAGAGAAAGTGTCTTACTCCTTTATGCTATTGACATCTACCACAGTGCTTAAGCACCCAGTAGGCATACAGATTGACCTCAGTTTATTGTCAGACTTTTGCATCTTGTCAGATATTTTCCCATTGTTTCTATACTTGCACACCCCTCTCAACTTACCTTTCATGCAACATTCTATTAATAGAGTATTAAAAGTCTATTAAGTCTTAATAAGTCTTATCAATTAAAAGTCTTAAGCATCTATTATCACTGTCTTAAAAGTCCTAGCTTATTGTATTGTCTGTTTAACTTCTGACAGACCTCTAAGTTAATTTTACAAAATATTTCCTGAGCATGACCTCTTTGAAATAAATCTCCCCCACCTGTCCATGGCTATTCCCCATAGACCCACTTCCAGTCGCCCATTTTATATTATTTCCCGATCACAACACTCTAACTCCACAAAGCCGGCTTGCTATTTTTTGATGCTCTTTTTCAGCTTTCACTTGCTATGGACACCACTTCAGGTTTGTTGCCCTTGGATGCAGGTGTTTCTGAGATAGGCAGGGTGTTTTATAATATATGAATACTTTCACTGCCTGCATTCTGAAGATTTGGAGATGCAGGTTATCTGCTCTTGAAACCTTCTTTGCTTTTTTCATGGTTCTAAGTTTCATCGCTGTTTCAATAAGCATTAACTCTTGATTGCTCTCTTTGGCTGCATTTTTCAGCTTTAAATGTGTTTTTTTTTTCTACTGCCCTTATAAGCCAGGGAGCAGAGGCTTTCATGTCTTCAGGAAGTCTCTCTTCCTCCTTCTTCTCTGATTACATCCTGCTGATATCCTTATGAAGTCTGGATCTTTTGTCAGATGAACTTTGCTTCCTACCATTGCACCGTGATACATTTTTATGCTAGCATTATAGTGTCTGATATCTGCTTGGCTTGGACTTGCTGGCAGTAATCTTTATAGGTGAGATGATTTATTGTGGAAAATTGAATCCCAAAAGTGTCTTAAGAAACTGTTTTTTTCTTTTGGTGTAGATTTTAGGAGAGACCTTCTTTCCTGCTTTCATTGATTTCCTGTGGCTGAGTGATATTTGCAAAGAGTTCCAGCCTAATATCTCTTTTTGTAAATCAGCAGTCAATTCTTTGAGACTATTTTTAGCTCTAGAATGTTTAATAAGCCTTTCTCTTTATATATGATCAATATGGTGGTTCTAAACTGGTGCGCCTGGACTTCTTACAGGAATGTCCTCAAACTTTGGTCAATGTTTAAAATTTAATTTTGCTAACATTGAGTCATACAGTTTTGCTGTTAGGGTGTTGTTTGTCACATGAATTGTTGACCTGAACAGATCGTATAATGCACTATACTTTGGGGTGCTGCTTGTGGCAAACGTGCATTTCAAAGTATAGCATAATGTCAATTTAGTGTCAAAGAAAGGGTTTCCATTTACTGGAACGTTGATTCTTACCTTCCTTAATTCTAAGGGATTGTGGTCAAGGCAGAAAACAGTTCTCAGAGAGAGTTGTGTAAGGTGGCTAAGGGTAGTAGGATGGCCATAGACACTCCTATAGGGGTGTGAAACATGATTATTTTTTGTGATACTTCATGTTTTGTAAGTATTTCTGTCTTTTTACAATCTTGTCTTTAGACTTTTGATATTTTCATTTATATCACCAAAAAAGTATAATATGTGAAGGAATACATGCCGTGAACATACTAAGGTTTATTCTGGGCAGGCCTAAAGAGAAGGAAGGCTTACTATGCTGTCTGTATTATTTTCATTTGGGTTAGGGAGGAAGTGGACCTTTCACATTATTAATGACTCTTCAGGAAGTAGTGTCCTCATTGCCCTTTAACTTTTTGAAAGTAGGTGGCAGCATACCTATAGCTACTTCCAAAAATAGGACTGTGACTTTCTGAAACGCTCTCCTTTGTTCTTCGGAGATGCTCCATGATCTCCCTTTGTGCCCTCCATCACCTACAGATTGCAGAAGTGGGCAGGTGGGCTGGAAGCAGCCTTTTTCCCACAAAGCTGTTTGTGAATTTCCTTGCACGGTTTCATCAGGGCAAGTATTCAGAGTTTTCTAGTAGTAATTAATGGTGTCCTTCCCTTGCAGGATAATAAGGATAACAACCAGACCTATGTAGACCAGATTCTGTTGCTCATAAACTCCATGCTGTTGTTAATACATTTGGTTGGATTTGTAACAAGAAGGGCTAGGCATTTTCTTACTTGCTTTTTCATCGTACAATACTTGGAGTCCCTTTATTGAAAGTTCCAGAGCTATTGTACTTGTGACAAAATACAGTAGGTTATCAGATTTTACTGAGGACCATTTTCAGAAATTGGTAATCTTGCCTGATTAGTATATTAAAAAATACTTAATGAGTATTTATCACCTTCAAGTCCTCAAGGGAAAGCTCCAAGAAAGTCAGTGGAATGGGGATCCAGATACCTATATTAAATCAATACAGCATCGTAGATTTCTGCAGTTTTCTTTGGTACCGTGTTTGCCTCATTCAGAGCCAAAAAGATCCCTTATGGAAACAGGTTTATGTATTTGAAAATCTCTGGCATTCTTTACTTTAAAAAAGGCTGCAAGTGAAGTAATTGCTATGAACTGTCTTGCTATATGAGGAAACTAGGAACTCTTTTGTTGAAGTTCTCCCCACACAACTACAGACTAGTAACTAGACCCTTATCTGAGTGTCAGTTCTGTATTTCAACCAGAAGGGTGCACTGTTGTATCTTATTTATTGCTTGGGGTTGGTGGGGAGGAAGAAAAGGAACAGAACAATGTTCTTTCCAACCATTATATGTCCTGGTAATTTGCTTTTTCTTTTGAATTTTATTAGCACCCTAGTTCAATTCTTGAATTCCTGGATTCTCTTCACACCTTTCTTAGTACAAGTGAATAAACAGAAAGTTCACAGAGGAAGAAGTTGCCAGCATGTTGAAAAACTGACTAAGGAATATTGCCTTACCTTTTCCAAATGTTCTCTCCTCTGAGGGAGGAGTTTATCACCTTTGTTACAGATGGGACAGGTTTGGCAGTAGATGCCTGCAGATGCAGAGCTCTGGAATGTTCCCAGCCTTAACATCTGGGGTACAGCTGGCTTATTCCCAACTTTCTTTCCTGCTTTCCTGGACTGGGGTTATTGTTTTGGGGCTTAATTACACTCTGGCTCTAAGGAGGAAGACACGATCATCCTCTAGATGTTATTTAGGCCCCCAAATTGGTACTGTTGAGGTATTAGATTTTCACTGGAAAAAATATGTATGTGTTGTCCTTTCTAACTAATTCTTTAAAAAGTCACACATACAACCGAATCAATAACAATAACAAAAAGCCCTTTATCCTGAAAGCTTATTGCTAATGAATCATCTTACATAGACCATGCAAGGAAAGAGCAAGACATACATGAAATACTTGTCTGAAACTTCTTTGGAGATATATTTGTTTTTGGTTATAGTTGCATAGATACAGAAATACATGTTCAATGTCAGATTTCTCAAGTGTGGAATTGACATGGTAAACAGCTAGGAGTTTATTGATACTCTCTTGTTAACACCGTGCATTTCAGATTTCAGATTTCAGAGTTTTCCCATGAATCTTTTTTGTTTTTTCTTTTCTTTTCTTTTTTTTTGAGATGAAGTTTTGCTCTTGTTGCCCAGGCTGGAGTGCAATGGCATGATCTTGGCTTACTGCAACGTCTGCCTCCCAGGTTCAAGCGAGTCTCCTGCCTCAGCCTCCCTAGTAGCTGGGATTACAGGTGGCTGCCACCACACCTGGCTAATTTTTTGTATTTTTAGTAGAGACGGGGTTTCACTATGTTGGCCAGGCTGGTCTTGAACTCCTGACCTCAGGTGATCCACTGGTCTCGGCCTCCCAAAGTGCTGGGATTACAGGCTTGAGCCACTGTGTCCGGCCTTCCATGAATCTTTCTAATTATATACTATCATGATTTTTAATTAACAACATCTGAAAATATGAAGGGTTGCCTCTTATATAAGAAAGTAAGTACAAAGAAAATGGTAACATCAGCCTCAGGATGTGTGAATGGCTCATCATAATTTTATCTATGTTTAAAATGTAAGGAAAAAGATGAGAAGAAAATATGCCTAAATGAACAATGCCATTGCCTCTGGATGGTATGATTATGGGAGATTTCTTTCTGCTTTTTGACACTTCTGTACTGTTCAAATTATTTACAATGAGAATATGTTATGTTTATAATTAGAAAAGAAAAAATAGCTTGTCCTGTGCAAACTGAAATAGTCAAAGCAATTTAATAGGAAGTTTCTCAACATCATCTTGTTACAGATACCAGATTTTAGCATTTAAAGGCAAAAGTTTTAAAATGTAAATGGTCATATGCATTTATGGATTTAACATTTAAAAATCAACTTCAACTCAACAGTGTCCAATTTCTAAGGGTTGCCTTGCTACATACACATGAATATTGATTTGAATCCTGAAGTTACCATTTTCATAGTAGTGTCCATCCCTATTCAGCATTCTGTAACCACAGCTAAAGGGCTGACACCTATCTGACTACAATTCAATAAAATAGCTAGTATCACTCTTCTTTCTTTCTGTTTTTGGGTAAGCCAATTCTTGGACTAAATTAACCCAGTCAACTGATGACCTCTCTATCATGAAAGCACAATGCAAGTAACTAAAAATATTTGGATCAATTAATGACCAAACAGACTCTCCCTAGCACCTGTGCTACCATTTTAGTTTATTTTGTTTTAGTTTTTTTAAGGTATGCACAGGAGACTGGGCCTGTGCAGCTAAACAAGAACAGTAACCCTTGTTATTGGGATGGTGCCCACTAGGTAGATGGTAGAAGTTTGATTTTGCCTCTGTGGATCTAGTAGGCAGGCATTTTTCAGGCATGGATCTGGGACTAGGATAAAGTTAGTGAGGTGTTTGCCTCACATTAGTCTCTGCCTTATCGGTAACTCTGGGAATAGTTAAGCCATGACTGTTTATGTTTCCCATAAAAATATAACTCCTGGCTGGCCGCGGTGGCTTACGCCTGTAATCCCAGCAATTTGGGAGGCTGATCGCTCCCAAATGGGTGGATCACCTGAGGTCACGAGTTCAAGACCAGCCTGGCCAACATAGTGAAACCCCATCTCTACTAAAAATACAAAAAATTAGCCAGGCATGGTTGTGGGTGCCTGTAATCCTAGCTAGTCAGGAGGCTGAGGCAGGAGAATCACTTGATCCTGGGAGGTGGAAGTTGCAGTGAACCGAGATTGCACCACTGCATTCCAGCCTTGGCGACAGAGTGAGACTCCATCTCAAAAAATACAAAAATTAGCCAGGTGTGGTGGTGGGCACCTGTAATCCCAGCTACTCAGGAGGCTAAGGCAGGGAATCGCTTGAACCCAGGAGGCAAATGCTGCAGTGAGCTGAGATCACACCACTGCATTCCAGCCTGGGTGACAGAGTGAGACCCCATCTCAGGAAAAAAAAACCAAAAACAAAACTATATATATATATAAAATATATATATTTAATATATGTAATATATATAATAAAAAATATATATTTAATATATGTATATAATATATAATAAAATATATATTATGTGTATAATATATAATAAAATATATATTATATGTATAATATATATAATAAAATATATATGTATTATATATATAATAAAATATATATGTATAATATATATAATAAAATATATATTATATGTATAATATATATAATAAAATATATATTATATGTATAATATATATAATAAAATATATATTATATGTATAATATATATAATAAAATATATATTATATGTATAATATATGTATAATAAAACATATTATATGTATAATGTATGTATAATAAAATATATATTATATGTATAATATATGTATAATAAAATATATATTATATGTATAATATATATATATATATAAACTCCAGTGAATAATGTGTGCTTGTATGTAAATACCACAACTTATAGAAACAACTTATCTCTCCTGGAAATTGACTTCTACAACATGTGGCAATTCAAGGTACAGCCAGTGAGCCAGGATGTTGCTGTCCCAAAGGTCTCCAGGGTCACTCAATTAACTGTGACCTAGGTTATACATTTTGCTCTATGAAGGTAACCCCCGCCAAGGTCTATTTAAGTCATTTTGCCTGTGGATCTATACACATAGTTTGGATATTCCTAAGACTTTTATACAAACGTTAATGGGTCAGTGGTTGGTATTAGTGCTCTGTTGAAAATGTAACCATGGAATTTGAGTTAAAGGAGTAAAAAATTCAAAAGGGTAAATGCCCATTTTTACTGCATCATAATTTTTTCTGTATTACTACATTGTATTTCATATGAAACTTCAGTATACTATTAATACATGTGTATTTAATTGGAAAATTATTATATATGGCTGACATTTTCACCATTTTTTTTTTAGCTCTGTCAAACATGAGGGATATGAAACTCTTCTTTTAAAGGTAGTAAACCACTATGGTAGTTATTCTCTCCATCTCTTGGTGGGAGATGAGGATGTGGTGGGCATATCCGACTCTCCAGTGGAATATGTTTGGGTTAAAAAAGACATATCCTTCTGCACCCACAGTTGAAAATCTTGGGTACTGAGTGTTATGGTGCTTCATATATAATATAAAATTTTTATAATTGGTATGTACTTAGCTTATTCTTACTAGATACCAAGCAAAGGGGAACTTCATTCTTGTTTATTTCTTGTTTCACAAAGGTTATGAAATGATTTCCTTAGTCATCTTTCTAGCCTTATAGACTTAGTACCTGTAATATTATGATATAATAAATATATATTTGATCTTTATTCCTAGTTTCTGGCACAGAGATCCTAAAACCCTTGGAATTAAGAAATTAATGATAAGGAATATAGGAGCATCTTTTATTATTCATAATAAGCCCCTTCCAACCATACCTGAGCTAGTGCTAATGAAGTACTCTCGGGAGGATGGGGGCCGGTAGCCGAAGGAACCAACCGTGTGATTGGAAGCCTAGAACTTTTAACCCCACCCTCTGACCTCCTTAGTCACTGGTGACCAACAATCTAGTCAACCATGCCTATGTAATGAAGCCTTCATAAAAACCCCAAATGAGGTTTGGAGAACTTTTGGCTCAGTGAAAAAGTGTGCATCTATGTGCTGGGAGGGTGGTGCACCCCAGACTCCATAGCGACAGAAGCTCCTGTGCCCAAGACCCTTCCAGACCTTACCTTATGTCCCTCTTCATCTGGCTATTCATTTACATCCTTTAAAATATCCTCTATAATAAATTGGTAATAGTAAGTGAGCTATTCTAGCACATTTTGGTACCTGAGGAGGGGATCATGGGAACCTCTGATTTGTGACCAAATTGGACAGAAGTTGTGGGTAACCTCGGGACCCACTACTTGTGATTGGCATCTAAAGTGAGAGGTAGTCTTATGGGATTGAACCCTTCACTTGTGGGGTCAGTGCTAACTCTGGGAATTTAGTGTCAGAATTAAGTGATAGGATGCCCATTAGGTGTTCCCTAAGAATTGGAGAATTTGTTGGTGTGGTGGAAACTCTTAAACATTTGGTGGTGTGTTTTTTGAGTGAGTATAGAAAAAATTTGTTTTTCCTTTAGTGCTCCTTTGTAGCACTAAACCTTGGGCACAGTTGATGCTTACTGAATATTTTAGAATTGAATTGATATTTGATATGTAAATGATTCCAAAGATTACCAGAATAAAGAAAATGCTTTTGAATTTCAAAGACATTTCAGGCATGAATTCAAGTGTGAACTATCACATTTGGAGTTTAGGGACTATCTGATGAATTTGAGGCTGGTGGTACAGGGCAGATCACCATGTACAAGAGCTGTCCCGATCGACCTCATGCAACCACCTCCTGAAGACAGGATACCATCTTGTTGGAACACTGCTCTTACAGACAGGCATCCAAAAGCTAGCCATTCCATCCTTCTTGTATTACTGTTTACCTGATAGATTTTTTTTTCAAGCATTTACTTTCGACCTCTATGTGTCTTTATATTTAAAGGGCATCTTCTGTAGGCAGTATATGTATGTGTATATATACATATATACACATGGGTTTTGAAAGAAAACTTTCTGATACTCTTTCCTTTTACGTTGGAGTGTTTAGACAATTAATGTCTAGTGTAATTACTGATGTGGTTGAGGTTAGACCTACCATTTCATTATCTGTTTTAACTAGTCTGCTCTATTTTTTTGTAACTCTTATTTCTGGTCTTTTTGAGGGGATTACTTGAATATTTTGTAGAATTTTGCTCCATTTGGATTTTCTTATTAATTTTTAAACAATACTTATTTGTATTATTATTTCAGTGGCTGCTTTGGGAATCATACTGAAACTCCTTTGGTGTTCACAGTCTACCTACAGTTAACCTCATAACTCTTTGTGTAAAATGTAGAAATCTTGCAACTCCATATCCCTCATCTTTCATGTTTTATGTTTTTAAGCAAATATTTTATTAGTTAGATATATATATGTGATAAACCTTGTAAAACAATGTTATTATTTTTGCTTTAAACACTTGTATGGTTTATTTAAATCAGGAGGAAAGCAAAATGAAAATAAAATTTTTTGCATATACATAGGCATTTACCACTTCTAATGCTTCTTCTTGTTTTTTTGAGGCTCTAAGTTTTCATCTGGTGTGATTTTTCTTTAGCCTTAAGAACTGTGAGCTTTTAAAGTGAAAATCTTTTGATAATGGAGTCTTTTCATTTTCTTTTATCTCCAAATGCCTTTATTTCACCTTCATTTTTAAAAATAGCTTTATTGACTTATAATTGATATGCAATAAACTGCACATATTTAATGTTTAAAATCTGAGTTTGGACATATATGCATACACCCATGAAACCATCACCACAATCAAAGTAATTAATAGATATATCCATCACCTCCAAAAGTTTTTTTTTTATTATACTGTAAGTTTTAGGGTACATGTGCACAACGTGCAGGTTAGTTACATATGTATATATGTGCCATGTTGGTGTGCTGCACCCATTAACTCGTCATTTAACATTAGGTATATCTCCTAATGCTATCCCTCCCCCCACCCCCCACCCCACAACAGGCCCCGGTGTGTGATGTTCCCCTTCCTGTGTCCATGTGTTCTCATTGTTCAATTCCCACCTATAAGTGAGAACATGCGGTGTTTGGTTTTTTGTCCTTGCAATAGTTTGCTGAGAATGATGGTTTCCAGCTTCATCCATGTCCCTACAAAGGACATGAACTCATCATTTTTTATGGCTGCATAGTATTCCATGGTGTATATGTACCACATTTTCTTAATCCAGTCTATCATTGTTGGACATTTGGGTTGGTTCCAAGTCTTTGCTATTGTGAATAGTGCCGCAATAAACATACATATGCATGTGTCTTTATAGCAGCATGATTTATAATCCTTTGGGTATATACTCAGTAATGGGATGGCTGGGTCAAATGGTATTTCTAGTTCTAGATCCCTGAGGAATCGCCACACTGACTTCCACAATGGTTGAACTAGTTTACAGTCCCAGCAACGTGTAAAAGTGTTCCTATTTCTCCACATCCTCTCCAGCACCTGTTGTTTCCTGACTTTTTAATGATCGCCATTCTAAATGGTGTGAGATGGTATCTCATTGCATCACCTCCAAAAGTTTTATTGTATCTCTATTGTGTGTGTGTGTGTGTGTGCACATGCTAGGAAAACTTAACATGAAATCTACCCTCTTGGCAAATGTTTAGGTGTATAATACAGTATTGTTGACAGCACTATGCTGTACCTCTAGAGCTAATTTATCTTGGATAACTAAAACTTTCTACCAAGAGAGCAACTCCCCATTTCCCCCTTACCCTGGGCACTGGTAACCACCATTCTATTCTCTGATTCTAAGACCTTGACTATTTCACCTACCTCATACACGTGAAATTATACAGTATTTGTCCTTTTGTGACTGGCTTATTTTGTTTAGCCTAAAATCTTTCAGGTTCATCCATGTCGTTGCAAATGGCAAGATTTCCTTCCATATGGAAGATGCATCTGACAGCAATAGCGTAACTTAAGCAAACCCTGAGGATGACCCTATGGTCTAAAAAGAATGGTATTGGGATTTCTGAATTAAGGAATGTGGGAGTGGCCACCCAGAGATTCACTCCGATATATGAAGGACATCCTGGCCAACCCTTTGGAATAAGGACATACTGGGAATTGAGGCTTTTGTTTTGAATTAAATGAAGGTTGCTAGGTGGAGGGCGCTAAGTAAAAAATGCTATATAAAACAGCCTGTTTTTTACAAACAGTAGCATTTCTCCTGTCTAGCTCACCACCACTGGACTATCTTTGTATGTAAGCCCCTACAATAAACCCCATGTCTCATTCACTGTCTCTGGGTCTCTTCTTCGGCCTCTCAGACATGAGTCAATAGGGGTCCAGCATGACACCTTCTTTTTTAATACTGAATAATATTCCATTTGATGTACATATCACATTGTCTTTATCAGTTGATGGATATTTGGGTTATTTTTACAACTTGTCTATTGTAAATACTGCTGCCAGGAACATGGGGGTGCAGATATCTTTTTGAGATCCTGATTTCAATTATTTTGGGCACATTCCCAGAAGCAGGGTTGCCGGATAAGGTGTTAGTTCTATTTTCATTTTTTTGAGGAATCTCTATACTTTCTCCACAGCAGCTGTACAATTTTACATTCCCACCAACAGTGTAGAAGAGTTCTAATTTCTCCACATCTTCACCAAACTCTTATTTTCTTACCTTTTTATTTTTATTTTATTTTTTAATGGTAGCTATCCTAATTGGGGTAAGATGATATCACATGTAGTTTTGATTTGCATTTTTCTAGTCTTAGTGATGTTGACATATTTTTGTGTATTTCTTGGTTATTTGTATGTCTTATTTGGAGAAATGTCTATTCATCATTTGCCCATTTTTAAATTGGTTATTTGTTTTTTGCTATTCAGTTGTGGTTGTCGCTTTGTTATTTTAGATATTAACCTATTATCAGATATATGGTTTGTAAATCTTTTCTTCCATTCCATAAGTTGCCTTTTCATTCTGTTTATTGTTTCCTCTGCTGTACAAATGACAGTTTCATATGTCTATTTTTTCTTTTTGGTGTCTGTGCTTTCGGTGTCATCACGTAAGACCAATGTCAGTAGCTTTCTCCCTATGTTTTCTTCTAGGAATTTTACAGTTCGGGGTCTTTTTAAAAATTTTTTATACTTTAAGTTCTAGGGTACATGTGCACAACATGCAGGTTTGATACATAGGTATACATGTGCCAGGTTGGTTTGCTGCATCCATCAACTTATCATTTACATTAGGTATTTCTCCTATTGCTATCCCTCCCCTTGCCCCCCAACCCCCACACACAGGCTCCGGTGTGTGATGTTCCCCTCTCTGTGTCCAAGTGATCTCATTGTTCAGTTCCCACTTATGAGTGAGAACATGCAGTGTTTGGTTTTCTGTCCTTGTAATAGTTTGCTGAGAATGATGGTTTCCAGCTTCATCCATGTCCCTGCAAAGGACATGAGCTCATCCTTTTTTATGGCTGCATAGTATTCCATGATGTATATGCGCCACATTTTCTTAATCCAGTCTATCACTGATGGACATTTGGGTTGGTTCCAAGTCTTTGCTATTGTGAATAGTGCCGCAATAAACATACATGTGCATATGTCTTTATAGTAGCATGATTTATAATCCTTTGGGTATATACCCAGTAATGGGATTGCTGGGTCAAATGGTAATTCTACTTCTAGATCCTTGAGGAATTGCCACACTGTCTTCCACAACTGTTGAACTAATTTACACTCCCTCCAACTGTGTAAAAGTGTTACTATTTCTCCACATCCTCTCCAGCACCTGTTGTTTCCTGAGTTTTTAATGATCGCCATTCTAACTGGCGTGAGATGGTATCTCATTGTGGCTTTGATTTTCATTTCTCTGATGACCAGTGATGATGAGCATTTTTTCATGTGTCTGTTGGCTGCATAGATGTCTTCTTTTGAGAAGTGTCTCTTCGCATCCTTTGCCCGCTTTTTGATGGGGTTGGTTGTTTTTTTCTTGTAAATTTGTTTGAGTTCTTTGTAGATTCTGGATATTAGCCCTTTGTCAGATGGGTAGATTGCAAAAAATTTTCTCCCATTCTGTGGGTTGCCTGTTCACTCTGATGGTAGTTTCTTTTGCTGTGCAGAAGCTCTTTAGTTTAATTAGATCCCATTTGTCAATTTTGGCTTTTGTTGCCATTGCTTTTGGTGTTTTAGACATGAAGTCCTTGCCCATGCCTGTGCCCTAAATGGTATTGCCTAGGTTTTCTTCCAGGGTTTTTATGGTTTTAGGTCTAACATTTAAGTCTTTAATCCATCTTGAATTAATTTTAGTATAAGGTGTAAGGAAGAGATCCAGTTTCAGCTTTCTACATATGGCTAGCCAGTTTTCCCAGCACCATTTATTAAATAGGGAATCCTTTCCCCATTTCTTGTTTTTGTCAGGTTTGTCAAAGATCAGATGGTTGTAGATGAATGGTGTTATTTCTGAGGCCTCTGTTCTGTTCCATTGGTCTATATCTCTGTTTTGGTATCAGTACTGTGCTGTTTTGGTTACTGTAGCCTTGTAGTATAGTTCGAAGTCAGGTAGCCTGATGCCTCCAGCTTTGTTCTTTTTGCTTAGGATTGTCTTGGCAATGTGGGCTCTTTTTTGCTTCCATATGAACTTTAAAGTAGTTTTTTTCCAATTCTGTGAAGAAAGTCATTGGTAACTTGATGGGGATGGCATTGAATCTATAAATTACTTTGGGCAGTATGGCCATTTTCACGATATTGACTCTTCCTATCCATGAGCATGGAATATTCTTCCATTTATTTGTGTCCTCTTTTATTTCCTTGAGCAGTGGTTTGTAGTTCTCCTTGAAGAGGTCCTTCACATCCCTTGTTAGTTGGATTCCTAGGCATTTTATTCTCTTTGTAGCAATTGTGAATGGGAGTTCACTCATGATTTGGCTCTCTGTTTGTCTGTTAATGGTGTATAGGAATGCTTGTGATTTTTGGACATTGATTTTGTATCCTGAGACTTTGCTGAAGTTGTTTATCAGCTCAAGGAGATTTTGGGCTGAGACGATGGGGTTTCTAAATATGAAGTCATGTCATCTGCAAACAGGGACAATTTGACTTCCTCATTTCCTAATTGAATACCATTTATTTATTTCTCTTGCCTGATTGCTCTGGCCAGAACTTCCAACACTATGTTGAATAGGAGTGGTGAGAGAGGACATCCCTGTCTTGGGCCGGTTTTCAAAGGGAATGCTTCCAGTTTTTCCCCATTTGTTGACTGTGGGTGTGTCATAGATAGCTCTTATTATTTTGAGATGCGTTCCATCAATACCCAGTTTATTGAGAGTTTTTAGCATGAAGGGCTGTTGAAATTTTCAAAGGCCTTTTCTGCCTCTATTGAGATAATCATGTGGTTTTTGTTGTTGGTTCTGTTTATGTGATGGATTACATTTATTGATTTGTGTATGTTGAACCAGCCTTGCATCCCAGGGATGAAGTCAACTTGACCGTGGTGGAGAAGCTTTTTGATGTGCTGCTGGATTCGGTTTGTCAGTATTTTATTGAGGATTTTTGCATCGATGTTCATCAGGGATACTGGTCTAAAATTCTCTTTTTTGGTTGTGTCTCTGCCAGGTTTTGGTATCAGGATGATGTTTACCTCATAAAATGAGTTAGGTAGGAGTCCCTCTTTTTCTATTGATTGGAATAGTTTCAGAAGGAATGGTACCAGCTCCTCTTTGTACCTCTGGTAGAATTCAGCTGTGAATCCATCTGGTCCTGGGCTTTTTTTGGTTGGTAGGCTCTTAATTGTTGCCTCAATTTCAGAGCCTGTTATTGGTCTATTCAGAGATTCAACTTCTTTCTGGTTTAGTCTTGGGAGGGTGTATGTGTCCAGGAATTTATCCATTTCTTCTAGATTTTCTAGTTTATTTGCATAGAGGTGTTTATAGTATTCTCTGATGGTAGTTTATATTTCTGTGGGATCAGAGGTGATATCCCTTTATCATTTTTTATTGCGTGTATTTGATTCTTCTCTCTTCTCTTCATTAGTCTTGCTAGTGGTCTATCAATTTTGTTGATCTTTTCAAAAAACCAGCTCCTGGATTCATTGATTTTTTTGAAGGGTTTTTCATGTCTCTATCTCTTTCAGTTCTGCTCTGATCTTAGTTATTTCTTGCCTTCTGGTAGCTTTTGAATGTGTTTGCTCTTGCTTCTCTAGTTCTTTTAATTGTGATATTACGGTGTTGATTTTAGATCTTTCCTGCTTTCACTTGTGGGCATTTAGTGCTATAAATTTCCCTCTACACACTGCTTTAAATGTGTCCCAGAGATTCTGGTACATTGTATCTTTGTTCTCATTGGTTTCAAAGAACATCTTTATTTCTGCCTTCATTTCCTTATTTACCCAGTAGTCATTCAGGAGCAAGTTGTTCAGTTTCCATGTAGTTGTGTGGTTTTGAGTGAGTTTCTTAATCCTGAGTTCTAATTTGATTGCCTGGTGGTCTGAGAGACAGTTTGTTGTGATTTCCATTCTTTTACATTTGCTGAGGAGTGCTTTACTTCCAATTATGTGGTCAATTTTAGAATAAGGGTGATGCAGTGCTGAGAAGAATGTATATTCTGTTGATTTGGGGTGGAGAGTTCTCTAGATGTCTGTTAGGCCTGCTTGGTCCAGAGTTGTGTTCAGGTCCTGGATATCCTTGTTAACCTTCTGTCTCGTTGATCTGTTTAATATTGACAGTGGGGTGTGAAAGTCTCCTTTTATTATTGTGTGGGAGTCTAAGTCTCTTTGTAGGTCTCTAAGGACTTGCTTTATGAATCTGGGTGCTCCTGTTTTGGGTGCATATATATTTAGGACAGTTAGCTCTTCTTGTTGAATTGATCCCTTTACCATTATGTAGTAGCCTTCTTTGTCTCTTTTGATCTTTGTTGGTTTAAAGTCTGTTTTATCAGAGACTGGGATCGCAACCCCTGCTTTTTTTTTTTTGCTTTCCATTTGCTTGGTAGATCTTCCTCCATCCCTTTATTTTGAGCCTATGTGCGTCTTTGCACGTGACCTGGGTCTCCTGAATACAGCACACTGATGGGTCTTGACTCTTTATCCTATTTGCTAGTCTATGTCTTTTAATTGGGGCATTGAGCTCATTTACATTTAAGGTTAATATTGTTATGTGTGAATTTGATCCTTTCATTATGATGTTCACTGGTTATTTTGCCTGTTAATTGTTGCAGTTTCTTCATAGCATCGATGGTCTTTACAATTTGGCCTTTTTTTTCAGTGGCTGGTACTGGTTGTTTCTTTCTGCGTTTAGTGCTTCCTTCAGGAGCTCTTGTAAGGCAGGCCTTCTGGTGACAAAATCTCTGAGCATTTGCTTGTCTGTAAGGGATTTTATTTCTCCTTCACTTATGAAGCTTAGTTTGGCTGGATATGAAATTCTGGGTTGAAAATTCTTTTTAAGAATGTTGAATATTGGCCCCCACTCTCTTCTGGCTTGTAGGGTTTCTGCTGAGATGTCCACTGTTAGTCTGATGGGCTTCCCTTTGTGGGTAACTCGACCTTCCTCTCTGGCTGCCCTTCACACTTTTTCCTTCATTTCAACCTTGGTGAATCTGATGATTATATGTCTTGGGGTTGCTCTTCTCAAGGAATATCTTAGTGGTGTTCTCTGTATTTCCTGAATTTGAATGTTCGCCTGCCTTGCTATGTTGGGTAAGTTCTCCTGGATAATATCCTGAAGAGTGTTTTCCAACTTGGTTCCATTCTCCCCATCACTTTCAGGTACACCAATCAAACGTAGATTTGGTCTTTTCACATAGTCCCATATTTCTTGGAAGCTTTGTTCATTTCTTTTTACTCTTTTCTGTAACCTTGTTTTCTTGCTTTATTTCATTAATTTGATCTTCAATCATTGATACCCTTTTTTCCACTTGATCGAATCAGCTACTGAAGCTTGTGCATTCATCGCGAAGTTCTCGTGCCATGGTTTTCAGCTCCGTCAGGTCATTTAAGGTCTTCTCTACACTGTTTATTCTAGTTAGCCATTCATCTAATCTTTTTTAAAGGTTTTAACTTCCTTGAGATGGGTTCGAACATCCTCCTTTAGCTTGGAGAAGTTTGTTATTACTGACTTTCTGAAGCCTACTTCTGTCAACTCATCAAAGTCATTGTCCATCCAGCTTTGTTCTGTTGCTGGCGAGGAGCTGTGATCCTTTGGAGGCAAAGAGGCGCTCTGAATTTTGGAATTTTCAGCTTTTCTGCTCTGGTTTCTCCCCATCTTTGTGGTTCTATCTACCTTTGGTCTTTGATGTTGGTGACCTACAGATGGGGTTTTGGTGTAGATGACCTTTTTGTTGACGTTGATGCTATTCCTTTCTGTTTGTTAGTTTTCCTTCTAACAGTCAGTTCCCTCAGCTGCAGGTCTGTTGGAGTTTGCTGGAGGTCCACTCCAGACACTGTTTGCCTGGGTATCACCAGCAGAGGCTGCAGAACAGCAAATATTGCAGTACAGCAAATATTACTGCCTGATCCTTCCTCTGGAAGCTTCATCCCAGAGGGGCAGCCTCCCATATGAGGTGTCTGTCGGCCCCTACTGGGAGGTGTCTCCCAGTTAGGCTACATGGGGGTCAGGGACCCACTTGAGGAGGCAGTCTGTCCGTTCTCAGAGCTCCAATGTCATGCCAGGAGAACCACTGCTCTCTTCAGAGCTGTCAGACAGGGATGTTTAAGTCTGCAGAAGTTGTCTGCTGCCTTTTGTTCAGCTATGCCCTGCCTACAGAGGTGGAGTCTAGATGCAGCAGTCCTTGTTGAGCTGTGGTGGGCTCTGCCCAGTTCGAGCTTCCTGGCTGCTTTGTTTACCTACTGAAGCCTCAGCAATGGCAGATGCCCCTCCCCCAGCCAGGCTGCCATCTTGCAGATTGATTTCAGACTGCTGTGCTAGCAGTGAGCAAGGCTCTGTGGGTGTGGGAGCCACTGAGCCAGGCACAGGAGAGAATCACCTTGTCTGCCAGTTGCTAAGACCTTGGGAACAGCACAGTATTGAGCGGGAGTGTCCCGTTTTTCCAGGTAGTCTGTCATGGCTTCCCTTGGCTAGGAAAGTCTTCCATACCTTCTAGATTATATAGGAAGACCCCAAGATTTATGAGTTTTATTTTTTATATTTTAGTCTTTATCTAAAATTCCACCTATATTTTGTTTCAGATGGATAGTTAATTTGGTCTGTACCATTTAAACCATCCATCCTTCCTAGCTGAATTGAAATAAAATTTCTAGTATATCTCTATATATCATATATCTGTAGATCTATATTTATACCCATCATATTTTATATATAATATCATGTGTGTGTGTGTGTATGTGTGTTTAATATTTGTATTTAGAGGACTTATAGGGACCTGGCTCTGGAGTCTATTTATTACACTGATATCCCAGTATATATTCTAGTGTCATTATGATATGATTTTGATGATGGTAGAAGTGAAGTAAGTTCCAACATATAATAAGACAAGTCATCCTTCATTGTTCTTCTTCATATTTTTCTTAGTTAATTCTGGGGTATTTCCCCTTAGGTCTAAGTTTTAAGATGAATGGGTCTATTTCTTAAAAGTGTCTCATGTCAGTTTTAATTGCATTGAATTTGTATATTTATTTTGGCAGTCTTTTGTTTATTTTTAAGTCTTCTCATTCAATAATATAATAGTTCTTTCCATTTGTTCAGAAAGATCTTGACTTCTATGTATTTATATGGTATCTAGTTCTTTGCTAAATTCTCTCATTAATTTTAATGAGTAGTTTAGTAGAGTCTCTTGGATTTTCAAGGCATAATCCTATAACCAAAACATATTATTTCTTATTTTCTAATATTTATACCTATTATTTTATTTTCTTGCTCTGTTATATTCTCTCAAACCCCAACATTACTATTAAACACTAAAGATGATAACAAGTATCTGTCCAGTTCCCAACTTCAATTAAAATGCTTTCAGTGTTTCATGATTTAGGATGATATTTTTCAGTCATTGGTAAATCATCTTTATTCTACTTAAGGCATTGGCTTGCATTCTATTTTTATGTAGCTTTCATGTCAGTGATGGCTGCCCTGTTTTATCAAATGCCTGCAAATATTGGTATAATCATATGGTTTTTTCCCTTTATTTAGTGATATGTTGCATTCCTGGACTATGCCTTAGTTGATTACTTGGAATTATTATTTTTTGGTCAATTGTTGAATTTCATTGCTAATATGTTATTTACCAATTTTAATCCTTATTCATAAATTGTATTGCTCTACAATTCTCTGTTGTTTTTGATTTGGAATCATGCTCAGTTGTTTTAAAAGATGAATGGATGAATTTTTTTTTTATTCTATGAATTGTGATAATTTACATCACACCAGAACAAACTCTTCTTTACCTAGCTGAATTTAGCTGTCAATCCCTCTAGTCCTGGTAACTTTTAAAATATCCTTTTAATAATAAATACATTATTTTGTATGCCAGTTAATTTAAATTTTTTACTTTATCTTATGATAGTTTTGATAATTTATATTTTGATATAACATAATTTTATAGCTTCAAATGAAGGAATTTAATGCTATATGTATTTCTTTTACTGTGTCCAGTAAAATGTGGATTTTTGGCTACAGGTGTTCTAGCCTTGTTATCTAGATAATTTTTAATCTCACTTTTGATTTATTCTTTGACACAAGGCATTATATGGGTTTGTGCTTCTTGATCTCCAAATATTGAATATTACTTTACTCTCTGCTTCATGATTTATTTTCAGTATTATTGGGTCATGGTCAGAGCAAGTGGCTTATATATGCTCTACTTTAAAACATTTGTTAAAAAATATTTTCTTAAAAGTTTTTAAAATCAAGTATGGAGTCAGATTTTATGAATGAAAATATTCATTCAACAAATGTTCATTGAACTCAATTCCATGACAGGCTCTTTTCTTTTTCTTTTTTTTTTTTTGAGATGGAATCTTGCTCTGTCCCCCAGGCTGGAGTGCAGTGGCTTGATCTTGGCTCACTGCAAGCTCCGCCTCCCAGGTTCATGCCATTCTCCTGCCTCAGCCTCCCGAGTAGCTGGGACTACAGGTGCCCACCACCATGCCTGGCTAATTATTTTTGTATGTTTAGTAGAGACGCAGTTTCACTGTGTTAGCCAGGATGGTCTCAATATCCTGACCTCGTGATCCGCCCGCCTCACCCTCCCAAAGTGCTGGGATTACAGGCATGAGCCACCACGCCTGGACCATGCCAGGCCCTTTTCAAAGTGCTGGTGATACAGCAGTGAAGAGCACAGACATATATCTCACCTCATGGAATTTACATTTTAATGAAGTTACAGTATTCCATTGAGAAAGAAATATATGATCAAATTTATTTTTTCATTCAATTCCCCCATGTTTATACTTATTTTTTAAATATAACTACATCTACTCAACTCTAAAAAGTTTTTCACTGTTTTTCTTGTTCATCAAGCTCTACTTTATTTGTAATATTTTTGCTGTATATTTTAGGTGCTTTGTTTTTTGATGACTACTGATTTATAACTGCTAGAGACTCTTCATAAATTATACTTTTAATAATTATGTGATATCCGCTATATTAGATTTAGTCTCTGTATTAAGTCTGTTCCCATGCTGCTAACAAAGACATACCTGAGACTGTGTAATTTATTTAAAACAAGAAGTTTAATGGACTCAGTTCCACATGGCTGGGGAGGCCTCACAATTATGGCAGAAGATGAAGAAGGAGCAAGGCACATCTTACATGGCAGCAGGGAAGAGGACGTGTGCAGGGGAACTGCCCTTTATGAAACCATCAGATCCCATGAGACTTACTCACTATCATGAGAACAGCACAGAGAAAAACCACCCCCATGATTCAATTACCTCCCACCAGGTCCCTCCCACAACAAATGGGGTTTATGGGAGCTACAATTTCAGATGAGATTTGGATGGAGACACAGCCAAACCATATTATTCCACCCCAGCCCCTCCCAAATCTCATGCCCTCACATTTCAAAACCAATCTTGCCTTCCCAACAGTCCCTCAGTCTGAATTAGTCTAAGTCGAATTTCAGAATTAACTCAAAATTCCAGGTCCAAAGTCTCATCTGAGACAAGGCAAGACCCTTCCGTCTATGTGCATATAAAATAAAAAAAGCAAGTTAGTTACTTCCTAGATACAATGGGGGTACAGGAATTGGGCAAACACAGCCATTTTGAATGAGAGAAATTGGCCAAAATGAAGACACTACAAACCCCATGGAAGTCCAAAATCCAGCAGAGCCCTCAAATCTTAAAGCTCCAAAATGATCTCCTTTGACTCCATGTCTCACATCCACATAACAATGATGCAAGAAGTGGGCTCCCATGGCCTTGGGCAGCTCTGCCTCTGTGGCTCTGAGGGTACAGCCACCCTCCTGGCTGCTTTCACAGGCTGGCATTCAGTACCTGGGGCTTTTCCAGGTGCCCAGTGCAAGCTGTCAGTGGATCTACCATTCTGGAGTCTGAAGGATGGTAGCCCTCTTAGAGCAACACTCAGTGGTGCCCCAGTAGGGACTCTGTGTGGGGGCCCCAACCCCACATTTTCCTTCCACAGTGCCTTAGCAGATGTTCTCCATGAGGACCCCAACCCTACAGCAAACTTTTGCCTGGACATCCAGGCATTTCCATACATCCTCTGAAATCCAGGCAGAGGTTCCCAAACCTCAATTCTTGACTTCTGTGTACCTGCAGGCTCAACACCACATGGAAGCTGCCAAGGCTTGGGGCTTGCACCCTCTGAAGCCACAGCCTGAGCTGTACCTTGACCCGTTTTAGCTATGGCTGGGGTAGCTGGGATGCAGGACACCAAGTTCCTAGGCTACACACGGCAGCAGGGGTGCCTGGGCCCAGCCCAGGAAACCATTTTTTCCTCCTAGGCCTCTGGGCCTGTGATGGGAAGGGCTGCCACAAAGATCTCTGACATGCCCTGGAGACATTTTCCCCATTGTCTTGGTGATTAACATTTGGCTTCTTGTTACTTATGCAAATTTCTGCAGCAGGCTTGAATTTCTCCCCAGAAAATGGGTTTTTCTTTTCTATTGCATTGTCAGGCTGCAAATTTTCCAAACTTTTATGCTCTGCTTCCACTTGAATGCTTTGTTGCTTAGAAATTTCTTCCAGCAGATACCCTAAATCATCTTTCTCAAGTTCAAAGTTCCACAGATCTCTAGGGCAAGAGCAAAATGCTGCCAGCCTCTTTGCTAAAGCATAACAAGAGTCTCCTTTGGAACAGTTCACAACAAGTTGCTTATCTCCATTTGATACCACCTCAGCCTGGAGTTTATTGTCCATATCACTATCAGCATTTTGGTCAAAGCCATTCAACAAGTCTCTAGGAAATTCCTATCTTTCCCACATCTTCCTGTCTTCTTCTGAGCCCTCCAAAAGGTTCCAACCTCTGCCTGTTACCCAATTCCAAAGTTGCTTCCACATTTTCAGGTATCTTTACAGCAATGCCCCACTATCTGGTACCAACTTACTATATTAGTTTGTTCTCATGCTGCTAATAAAGACATAATTGAGACTGGGTAATTTATAAAGCAAAAGAAGTTTAATGGACTCAGTCCCACATGGTTGGGGAGGCCTCACAATCATGGCAGAAGGCAATGGAGGAACAAAGGCACATCTTACATGGTGGCAGGCAAGAGGGCATGTGCAGGGGAGCTGCCCTTTATAAAATCATCAGATCTCATGAGACTCTTTCACTATCATGAGAACAGCACAAGAAAAACCTGCCCCCATGATTTAGAACACTGAGTCCCTCCCATGACATGTGGGGATGATGGGAGCTATAATTCCAGATAAGATAAGATTTGTGTGGGGACACAGCCAAACCATATAAGTCTCCTTGCTAATACTGACATCGCTGCTGCTGCTTTTGCCTTTGTTTGTCTGCATTGGTCTAGTATAAAGTGATTTTTAACCTTTTTTTTATTTTAGTTAGGCAAATGTTTTAGGGTTTTGCTTTATACCTTATTATGACAGTCTCTTTTTTTTCATGTGAGAATGCAGTTCTCTCATATTTGGTATCACAACTATGTAGTTGATTTCATTCTTTTCATGCATTATTTATTTATTCATTTATTCAACAAACAAGTGTTAAGTGACTACTAAGTGTCAAATGTACTAGGGGTTCAGCAATGAACAAAACAGATGAAATCCCAAACTCATGACATTTATATTGAGAGGTTAAAAATACTAAATATAATAAGTAAGTAAAATATTGAGTATATTCGAAGATGATAAAGTTTATACAGAAAAATAAAATAGGGTAAGGTTACGGGCAATGTTGTGGGGTTACAATTTAAGTAAGGTGGGCAGAGTAAGCCCTCACAGAGAAAATGACTGTTAAGAATAGAAGGGAGTGAGAAAGTAAGCTGATTGGGCATGTGAGATGATAGTTTTGTAGGCAGAAGGAATGGCCGTTGTGCAAGGTTTTAGTGTGTCTGGCATGTTCAAGGCTATCAAGAAGGCTAATATGGGAAGTTTGACGGAGAAGAAGATGAAAGAAAGAAATGAGGTTAGAGAGAAGCTTGATAATCATTTAAAAGACTTTAATGATGGTTATAATTTTTTTAATTTAATCAAATTTATTGAGGTATACATTGATATATAATGAAATGTACACTGATGAGTTTTCATAGATTTATATAATCTGTAACTACCACTATTATCAAGATATAGAAAATTATCATTACCCAGTAAATTCCTTGTGCCCTTCTTAGTCAATAATCAGCCCTCATCCCTGACTCCAGGCAACCACTGATCTTCTTTCTGTCACTAATGATTAGATTTGTCTTTCCCAGACTTTCATAAAAATGGAATTATACTGTTTCCTTTGGTGTCTGGCTTCTGTTGCTCAACATAATGTTTTTGAACTCACCCATGTTGTTGTGTCTATCAGTAGTTTGTTTCCTTTTTATTGCTGAATAACATTCCATTGTATGAATATACCTCAATTTAATTAGCTACTTACCTGGTGATGGACATTTGGGCAGTTTCTAATTTTTGACTATTATAAATAAAGCTGTCATGAACATCCATCTGCAAGTCTTTGTGTGGACATCTGTTTTCATTTGTCTTTCATTCAGGATAAATACTTCTATGGCTTGAATGATGGTGTTCCCTCCCAATTCATGTTGGCAGTGAATCTCCAATGCAACAGTATTATGAGGTGTGGATTTTGAGAGGTTATTAAGTCATGAGTGTTCTACCCTCATGCATGGAATTCGCATCCTTATAAAGGGGCTTGAGGTTGAAAGGAGCATTTTTTTAGTCCTTCTGTCCTTTCTGCCATGTGAGGACACAATTTTTGTCCCCTCCAGAGAATACAGCACAAGGCGCCATGTTGGAAGCAGAGAACAGCCTGCACCCAACAACAAACTTGCTGGCTTTTTTATCTTGGACTTCCTAGCCTCCAGAACTCTGACACAATACATTTCTGTTCTTTATAAATTACCCAGTGTGTGGTGTTTTGTTATAGCAGCACAAGAAGACTGAGACACATATATCTAGGAGTGGAATGGCTGGATCATATAGTAAGAGAATGTTTAGCTTTATAAGAGAGAATCAAACTATTTTCCAAGATGATTGAACTACTTTATTTTTCCACCAGCAATGTTGGAGAGTTCCCATTACTTCATATCCTCATCAACACTTGGTATTGTCAGGCTTCTAAATTTTGGTCATTCTAACAGATGTGGAGTGATATCTCATTATGGTGTTAATGTGCATTTCCCTGATAACGCGTGATGTTAACTACCTCTTCATGTGCTTATTACCTATAAGCATGTCTTTTTTTGTACAGATTCTGTTCAAATCTTTGTCTATTCTTTTTATTTGTTTGTTTGGCTTTTCTTTTCTTCTCTTTCTTTTCCTTTCTTTCTTTTTTTTTGAGATAGGATCTTGCTCTGTTGCCCAGGCTGGACTGCAGTGGCACGATCATGACTCACTGCAGCCTCAACCTCCTGGGCTCATTTGATCTTCCCACCTCAGCCTTCCAAGTAGCTGTGGCTACAGGCGTGTGGTACCATAACCTGCTATTTTTTTTTTTTTTTGAAGAGACGGAGTTTCACCATGCTGCCCAGGCTGGTCCCAAAATCCCGGCCTCAAGCCATCCACCTACCTTGGTCTCCCAAAATGTCGGGATTACAGATGTGAGCCACTGTGCCTGGCTGTTTGGCTTTTTTAAAAAAATTGAATCGTAAGAATCCTTCCTTTATTAAATTGTAGGAATCCTTATATATTCTAGACAAAAGTCCTTTGTCTTGTGTGTATGTATACTTAATATATGTACTTATACATATATACTCATACATATATAGTAATAATAGTTAACTATACCCAATATCAAAATAAATCAAATAATATGTAACACTATAATAATGTGTAACAGTACATCAATTTTCAAAAAATGCTAACACTTGTTTGGAGTTGTGTTTTTTTTGTTTTTTTTTTTTTTTGAGATGGAGTCTTGCTTTGTCACCAGGCTGAGTTCAGTGGCATGATCTCAGCTCACTGCACCCTCTGCCTCCCGGGTTCAAGCGATTCTCCTGCCTCAGCCTCCTGAGTAGCTGGGACTACAGGAGCATGCCACCACGCCCAGCCAATTTTTGTATTTTCAGTAGAGACGGGTTTTCACCATATTGGCCAGGATGGTCTCGATCTCTTGACCTTGTGATCTGCCCGCCTTGGCCTCCCAAAGTGGTGGGATTACATGTGTGAGCACCTGGGCTGGAGCTGTATTTTTAAAATAAACAGTTTAAGGGTCAGGACAATAGAGTGTACGAGGTATAGCACTTTAACACTGAAATTCCGGACAGAAGATTACTGTGCAGCACTCACTGATGTCTAAATATTTTGTAACTCACCGTGCAGAAGTATTATTGCAAATTCTTTAATTTCAAATTATATCATTAACTCTCCACTGGTTGCAGACTGAACAGCTTAATTTTACTTGGCACATTTCTTCCATTCCTTTTGGCTTGCTGAAATCACATAGCCTGGTGAACATATTAAACCTATAGATGTTACATACTGCTTCACAATTCAGATGGTTATTAACAATCCTTCTCTCAGCTCTTCAGCTCAATTCATCTAGAATTACCCTGATTATCTAGCATGACCTTCTGAATTCTCATAAGGATGAAGATACATGTCAGGGGATTAAAAAGATGCAGTTTGCAGTTTAGCTTCCTGGTGGCAATAGGAAGATCTATTTTCCCAACAGTTACTTAATTCCATCATAATATCTCCTTTACCTATAGGGAGAACAGCAGTATATTTCTTTGTGCTCAGCTTAGCCTGCCAGCTGAGTACTTCTCTTTTTCCTCCTCTACACCCTCCTTCCTGTGTTTCTCTAGTGTCCAAATACCAGAAACCAACCTTTCTATTTCCTGTGAGTTAGGAAATATTATCACAGCCAGGGTATTGTTGAGAAATTAAATTTAACAAATAAAAGTGCAGTGAAGTTTTAAATAAAAATCAGGCACATCGCTAGAATTTGCTTTTAACTGCAGACCTTCTAAGAAATTATATTTTTACTCCTAGCAAATTACCTAGGAGAAAAAAATGACAAGAGTAATCTATTTTTTTCACAGCTGGTCGGTTGGCCAGAGTTTCTCATCAAGGAGTACATGCTGTTTGCTCCCCAGATGGACAGCCTGGATGAGCTACAAATCCACAGAGCCTGGGACACAAGGTGGAAATTACACTGCCAGTACTTTTAATCTTGCACAGCTCTGCACACTTGAAATTGCAAGTGGCCCATTTCCAAATGAGCATCTATTGGGACAATATCCTATATCTTGTCAGAATGAGTCCCATTAAATCCTCAGCTGGAATTAGACCAAAAACTTGTAATAATTACAGTAAACTTATTAAAAAGTTGAAGCCCTAGACTGTGACAGTGAAAACACTCAAGCGACATTAACAGTAATTGAAATTTCTGTGAGTTTTTCTTTTTCAATCAGTCCTTGTTTATGGCTAAGCAAAAACACCGAAATGAGAAGGTGTGAAACCACAACACCCAGCTTCTCAGGGGGGGAATTGTCTTTTGTTTCATTATAAAACGTAGTGTTAGAATGGAAGTGAATTGCTCATTCTCAGCCTGGGGCACCTGCCAAACCCATGCCCCCACTCCCAGAAGGAGCTCTAGTCACCATCAGGAATGAATGACCCAGCCTCTCCCCAGTAGTGTGGCCCCCCTTTCCTCTCTCATCTGCTATTCTACCTTCAACATTCACTGCCTCCCCTACTAAGTTCTGAGAGTTAAAGACAAGAGTAATAAAGAAATGATTTGGAAACCTGGCCTAGCAAATATTTTGCTAGTACATTTCAGAGTTCTTTTCAAAAGTTGAAAATATTGGCCGGGTGCGGTGGCTTTTGCCTGTAATCCCAGCACTTTGGGAGGCTGAGAGGGGCAGATCAGGAGGTCAGGAGATCGAGACCATCCTGGCTAACACAGTGAAACCTGTCTCCACTAAAAATACAAAAAAAAAAAAAAATTAGCTGGGCGTGGTGGCGGGCACCTCTAGTCCCAGCTACTCGGGAGGCTGAGGCAGGAGAATGGCGTGAACCCAAGAGGCAGAGCTTGCAGTGAGCCAAGATTGCACCACTGCACTCCAGCCTGGGTGACAGAGTGAGACTGTGTCTCAAAAAAAAAAAAAAAAAGTTGAAAATATCAAAATAAACTTTTCTGAGCTTCAGTCACAAAGACGACTTTACTTTCAATCTATCTCCAGATGGGAAAGTTTTTAAAAGGAGCTTTATCAAGTTAGGAGACGCTCCCCAGCTCCCCAGCCTGTTTTTCAGGGACTGTACACTGAGCAAGCAGTACACCTGATTGTGCTTGTTTTTTTTTTTTTTTTTTTTTTTTTGTACTTCTGTATTTCTAGGAGTAATTCTTAGGCAACTGTAGTTTTGTTTTGTTTTGACTTTTACAACTCAGGATGACATGAAAGACAATTTGGACTCTTGAGAGAGGCACAGTAAAAAAAAAAAAATCTGAAAATATGGGTCATTGGAGGGCAGGCTATTCTCAATGGCAAGTGTGAATTAGAAGTCGTGTCTGATGAATGTAATCATATCCTTTTTTAAAAAAAATAGAAATTTCTAAGTTCAACCAAGTGCTCCAAGTAGGGGCCAAACCACAGCTGGAGTACCAGGTTGAGTTGTGGGTGTCAGATGGCAGGAGAGACAGAAACAAATTGGAGTAGACCCAGAGTAGAGTGACAAGGATGGTGAGGAGGTTCACATCCAAACCTCATGGGCAAGGTCAAAAGAGAGAACTCTTTGGAGACCTCACTTGGCTAAGAGGGAGTCACATTATTCTGCATGGCTGTAGGGGACAGAGGTGTGACCCAAGGGTGAAAGGTAGGAACACCAAGATAGAGTGTTAAGTCTTTTCTGACTGAGGACGAACTGTGCTGGAGAGGCTGACTGCATGGCTGTCTTCGCAATTTCACTTAGACCTGACCCTAAGTGAAGAAAGGAAGGAGAGGAAAAATGAGCCGTCAAAGATCAGAGTGCATTCCATTTCTGTGGAGGTGTCCAGGGAAGGGCTGGGCATTAAATGGAGTTATTGTGGCAGGGACTTACTCATGCCTGAACAATTGAAGAATAACTCTAGGTCCCTCCCAATTCAAATGTTGTGTGGTTTTATGGGACTGGATTTAT
Organism: Homo sapiens; assembly: GCF_000001405.40. Taxonomy (NCBI): domain Eukaryota; kingdom Metazoa; phylum Chordata; class Mammalia; order Primates; family Hominidae; genus Homo; species Homo sapiens. The sequence goes on from NC_000003.12 coordinate 59,237,414, forward strand.
TTCTTCAAGAGGATGAGACATATTTTGTCATTAGCGTCCAAACGAATGCCAGTACTCCATAGGAAAATCATTTTTCTTAAATATTTCACAGATTCTACTGTTACGATCTTTACAACCCTTTTCTTCTTAGATATTATGATGTAAACCTCATTCTAGTCAAATTTAAATGTATCAGGGATTCTGCGGTAGCTAAAATTTAATGAATTTGCTTTTGAAATGAGAAAAGGGATGATGATGATGATAATGATCATCGCCACTTTAAACACTTGTTTAAGAGTAAGATGTCATATTTTAAAGGGTTTAAACCATCTATAGAATGGATTCAGAATTGCCTATGCAGCATTTGTATTCTAAATATTCTGTGTTGTGAGAGGATAGTTATGGTGTCACTAGAGTTTTCATAACTTAAAATAGCCTCCTGACATGAGATGATTTTAGGCTCTAGAACAGAATTAGCATCTTTACCTGTTAGGTAATACATTATTTTTTGATTATTAAGTGATAGCTCTAATGAAAAGGCACTTCAGGGCCCCGGAATAGGTTCTTACTCAAATGCTGATGCGAGGTGCAGTGAGAAAGTATTGAGTGACAACATAGAACACGTTAGCTCTATTTTTATTCAAGCCCATAGCGGTGAAATCCTTCCTTGCACAGTGGACCAGTGTATCCTGGCCCAATTGCCTGCTCGGGAGGACAGTAAACCTAACAGAATCAGAGGACAGATAATTGAGGACAATTTAATCCTGCCTCCCAGGGTAGGTAGGGCAAAGAAAGCCCAGAAAGCGGTGAAAATGGCAGAAGGGTGGAGAAGAGAATTCCAGGGCAGCAGGATACACCACTACTTGTTGCTAGATAGCATTTAACTTACACATAATAAATCAACTTTCCTCCGTGGCTGTCTCCCTGTCAGCCCATGTGATCTCTTATTTGGCTTTTGCATGCATCTTGCCAGACCCTAGGGTGTAATCGTTTTTCCTAGTTTCTTAGGGGATAAAACAACAAAATGGCGGTGCCTGAGATGCATTTTCTCCTGCTTTCAGCACAATTATCCCAGAGTCCGCTTGGCCCTTAACCTGATTTCCTGCCCAAACCCCTCAGCCAGGACCAAGAAAAGGACTTCCTTCACTTGCCTGGGTGCCCTTGGCCTTGCCTGATAGCCTTTGTCGATTTCAGTGGGGATGAGCTCCGATTTGGGAGGATTTGCCTTAAGTCTTGAGTGCCCTCAGAATCTGCTTTGTTCCCCAGAGCAATCTTGGGGGAGCCTCACTTACCCAGGGAATGTAAATGCTGGAAAAAAAGTTTGAGGGCAAACTTCCAGATTCAGAGGGAGGGTCAGCATCCCCAGGACAATGCTGCCCCATCCAGTTTCACTCTCTTCCAGCTGACTGCTCAATGGACCCCAACTTCCTTTTCTTCTGTGCCAACCCCCACTGGCTAATGAGCAACCCAGGACTTGCACCCAGTTCCATTCCCCACAAAGGGCCTTCCGGTGGAGCCTCCTTCTGGCCTCCTCTGCACTTCCACATCTCCCTCTCTTTCCTCCACTGAACTCTATCTCTGTTTTGCTCACAATCTGAGAGCCTGTTTGGTGATCACAAACGGATCTGCTTGCCAGAAAATACAGTGGGAAACGTGGAGCTAAAAATCATTCTGTGCAAGTGGATTAAGTAGTGTACACTAATATACAATAGATAAACCCCCTTTTAAAAGAATAAAACAGCTGCTATAACAATTTACCACAAATGTAGTGGTTTAAAACAATACACCGAGTTCTGGAGGCCAGAAGTCTAAAATCAAAGTGTTGGCAGAGTTGTGTTCCTTTTGGAGGCTGCAGAGGAAGACCTATTTCCAACCCTCTTTTATCTTCTAGAGGCTGGCTGCCTGCCTTGGCTTGCGGACCCTTCCTTGTGTCACTCCACCCTCGTGTCTGTCCTCACATCTCCTACTGTGCACTCTGATCTGTCTCCTCCTGTGAGGACCTTAATGAAGTAAGGGGACTTCATACTAGCCCTTGTGGGGGGCTAACCTCCTGGCCACAAAATCCTTAACTTGATATCTGCATAGTTCTTTTGGTTACAGAAGTTAACTCATTCATAGATTCCAGAGACAGGATATGGACATCTTTGGGAGCTGTTATTCAGCCTACTACAAGTACTATTCAGGGTAGATACTTCTTAAATCAGTGTTTCTGGAAGCTGACTAATATATAGACCCCCTTTCAAAACAATAGAATTTTATAGAACACCCTCCATACTGACTTATGTTTATTAAATTGTTATGTACATATAAGCATTAAACTGCATATAAACTCCTCATGTTTGTAACTCTTATACAACAATAAAACTAAAACAAGTTTACCACTTAAATACAAACAAGCCATAAAATGAACAAAATTTAAATTAAGTACATTTATTTAATGTGACTGAGGATGTGGTTTTATTGAAAATGGAAATGATCAGAAAATATAAGTAGGGTGCTGACCATAGGGGTTCAGTTTCTTCTGAGTTTAACACGCCTATGCTATTGTCTGTTATGTAAGAACTCAATTCATCCTTCTTTCCCCTTCCAAATAGTGATAAAATTTTTGTACAGATAGGATGCTCTGACATAATTTGGCTTTTACTTGCCTTGAAATCTTGCTAATTTCACATCTTTTCTCATTTGTTTAAGACAGTGAAAATGTTACTACTTGGTCCCAATGCAGATACTGACTCTGAATTCACATAGCAGGACTTAACTAGAAAATGGTCATCTGGGTGATTACAGAATATGCTTTTTTTAAAGAAAGATTATTTTTAAATAAAAAATGCAATTATAATTCTTGCAGAGAATTTATTAGAGAAACTGACTTATCTCTGACTTTAATAGTAGAAATAACAAGAAGTGTAGGAAATATTTTTTATTGAGAATATTCTTTCAGGTTAATCTTATGTCACTTAGGTTTTAATTTTTAAAAATCTATGTGAGTTATACCAAAGCTCCTTAAAGAGGCAGTTTAGAATTCTGCTCTTTCAATAGTCTGTTACGATATACTTGATGGGAAAAAAATTGGAAAGGAGAGAGCAAGAGAGAAAGAAAGAGTAATGGGTTTGGCTCACTCCTGTAATCCCAGAACTTTGGGAGGCCGAGGTGGGTAGATCACCTGAGACCAGCCTGGCCAATAGGGCAAAACCTCATCTCTACTAAAAATACAAAAATTAGCTGGGCATGGGGGCACAAGCCTCTAATCCCAACTACTTGGGAGGCTGAGGCAGGGGAATTGCTGGAACCCAGGAGGCAGAGGTTGTGGGAAGCTGAGATTACACCACTGCATTCCAGCCTGGGCGACAGAGCAAGATTCCATCTTAAAAAAAAAAAAAAAAAGGGAATGGGTAAGGGAATGAGTGAATAAGAGGTTATAAACATATGAAAAAGCTGATTTAAATTATGGTAAAGAGTTTGACTATTGGGTTCCATAGTCACTCTGGAATGGATAAAATGCGAATGTATACACAGTCTGGAGAAGGCATGGGCTCCTGATCTTGCTGTAGTTCCTTCTGCAGTCTAACCCTCACCAATCTATTATTTATTCAGTTTTATCCTGTCAGTGAAGTGTGGTAGGAAATGATTGCAGGACTTCTCTGAACTCAAGTCATCCTGTTTATTGAGCTTCTTGTTCTGCAAACATTAGTCACAACCTTGTCTGCTCTCTTCTGAGGAAATGCTAGTTTTCAGTGGGATTGGTGCAGGTGTCAGAAATTCTGGGCAGGGAAACATGCATGCACACCCCCATTCTAGTTCTGCTGAAATTCATTAGCTTATATATTTATTCTTTTGTTTTGTAAAAAAAAAAAAAAAAAAAAAAGGACAAGTTTAGCAAGTGTACATTTCCACTAATATTTCTTTCCTCTTCCTTTGACTAGCCATAAAAGCTGCTACTGTCGTTCACACTAGAAATAATTTTATGTTCTCTTTCTGAATCAAAACAATGACTTTTATAATAGAGGAGAGAAATGTTTTAAAAATCAGCAAGGCATATACAATTTTTTCCTTGAATTTCAATTTGTCAAGCTAATATATACTATAATTACGTGTGGAAGATTTATCAAAAGTCCTAATCTCATCAAAATCCTATATGTTGTGCAGAATTTCCTGAATTTACCTTCTATTGATAAATTCACTCACTTTCATTTCTTTTATGTTCTCAACTCCAAGTTTCTGAAGGGCATATGACATTCGTTTTCTGAAGTTGTTTATCCTGATCATTACAATATAGCTACAGCTGAAAGACCTTGTTTGCATATAAGTGAGAACATGATTAATATTTAGTGAACGAATGGATGAGTGAGAGAATAATGCTAAAAAGTTGATTTTGTTGATTTTAATTTAATGAATTACTTTGATGCCATCATATGATTTTATTATAAGTATATTCTATTGGAAACCAAGAAAAGATTATAAAGAGATGGGATGGGATGAGGATGTGGTGTGGGAAGAATATGTTTGATTTTTTGGTGCAAGTTCAGAGAGATTTTTTAAAACATGGTAAATAATATTTAAAAAATTTTAGTCACTATGCAGGCCTGATTATTTTTACATTTAGTTTTTATATTTGCTTCAGATCTTTGATTTTTGAGCAAAAAATGAAAATAAAATCATTTCTTATTTCTCCATGCCCAGGCCAAAACTCTTTTCCCACAATCCAAAAGTAGCCATGGTTGTGGATTTGATGCAAATCCTTCTAGTTTATTCTTTTAAGCTTTGGCACCCATAGCTATAGTATTTGTATTAGTCTGTTCTCACAATGCTAATAAAGACATGCCTGAAACTGGGTAATTTATAAAGAAAAGAGGTTTAACTGACTCACAGTTCCACAGGGCTGGAGAGGCCTCAGGAAACTTACAATCATGGCAGAAGGGGAAGCAAACATGTCCTTCTTCACATGGAGGCAGCAAGGAGAAGTGCTGAGCAAAATGGGGAAAAGCCCCTTTTAAAACCATCAGATCTCATGAGAACTCACTATCACAAGAACAGGATGGGGAAAACTGCCCCAGTAATTCAATTATCTCCACCTGGTCCCTCCCACAACATGTGGGGTTATGGGAACTACAAGTGAAGATGAGATTTGGGTGCGGACACAGCCAAACAATATCAGTGTTATTTTACAGTGTGGATTTTTAATGTACGTACATGTTAGCATGATATGCTTCATAGGAGGGTTATGGTTTCCCCTCCTTTTTCTCCTCTTTTTCTGTTTTTACTTCTGTTCTAATTTCCTAACCCCCTATCTTTGGTATATTGTACAGATAGCCCCTTTAAGTCAAGAAATCATATTTTTCAGGATTTAGTATTTTCCACAAAAGGGTGGGGGGCCTGGGGAAGGGAGATATTTACTCAAACTCCCACCAGCTGAAACCAATCCCTGTTAAGGTTTTGTTTCAGTTGCTAGAGCCCACATCTCACACCACTCCATTTCCTACCTCTTCCTGGTGAAAATCCCCAGAAGAGCCGTCTACACTCACTCTCTGCTGTCCCTCTGCCCCCATCCTCCCTTCAGTCCTCTTCAGTCAGGGCTTCTTCTCCACCATGCCATCTGGGTCCTCACATCCAATGACAGTTTTCAGTGCTCTTCCTACTTGCCTTTTTAGGAGCCTTATTAGGACACCCACACCTTGGGGTCACCCTGGACTCCTCTCCCTCACATTCCACATTCTTCACCAAACCACATCAGCTCCACCTGCAAAATACGCCCAGAATCTGACCCTTCTCATCCCATGTTCTACTACCATCCAGGTCCAAGGCATCCCACTGTTGACTGAGATGATTGCAGTAACCTCCTAACTGCTCTTTTGCTTCCATCCCTGCTATTGTCTCAACGTTTACATTCCCCAAAAATTCCCGTATTGAAACCTTCACTCCCAAGGTGATGGTATTAGGAGGCGGGGCCTTTGCCAGTTAATTAGGTCATGGTGATGAAGTCCCATGAATGGGATTAGTTTCCCTATAAAAGAGACCCCAGAGAGATCCCTCACTCCTTCTGCCTTGTGAGGTCAGTGAGAAAATGGCCGTCTATAAGGATCCAGGCCCTCACCAGACACCAAATCTGCTGGTGTCTTGATCTTGGACTTCCCAGCCTCTAGACAATGAGAAATGAATTATGTTGTTTATAAGCCACCAGTCTATGATATTTTGTTATAGCTGCTTGAAAGGACGAAGACAAGTCCTTACCCCTTTCCAGCATATTCCCAACATAGTAGCCAGAGTGACTCAATCTTAAAACAGGTCACATCCACATTTGTTCAACAAACTGCCCACAGCCTTCCAAGAAAGCCCTGTGATTAAATAATGATTTCCATGAACTGGTGTGATCTGGCCATTTGCTACCTCACTTTGACCTCACTGCCACTTTCCCTCATTTACTCTGTTCTGGCCACTCTGGCCCCTTTGCTCTCTCTTGAATATACCAAGCACTCTCCTGCCCACCAAAGCCTTTACTGTTTGCTGTTCTCTCTGCCAAAGCTTTTCTCTAATCATCAGTATGGCTCCCCACCTTACTTTCTTCTGTTCTGTTAGCAGTGAGTCTTGCCTTCTGTGCTGGGAGTTCCTGGAGTGCTTCTCCCTGTCCTGCTCTGTTTTTCTCCATGGCACGTATCACTGTGTAACATACTTCATGTTTACATGCTCATTTGTTTATTTTCTATAGCCTGTCTCTAGAATCTAAGCTCCGTGAAGCAGGGAACTTATTTTTCTACTGTTATGTCCCACGTCCAGAATTATGAAATGGACCCAGTAAGAATTTGTGGTTATGAATAAATAAATGAATGACTCTAGTATTCTTTATATTATATATCCAATTCACTTTTAATAAAATGGCATCATATAAACATAGCTTGCTTTTTAAAACCTAATAAATTGTCAACAATTTCCCATATCAAAAATATTATTCTATAACATTTTGCATAATGACTTCTCGATATTCTATTTTAGAGATGCACAATAATTCATTTAATTCTCTAATGCCCCTTTTGATGGTGTGCAAAATTTTTATAACAAAGATGACCACTTGAACGCACATCCCTTTCTGATGCACTCTCTCTTTCATTCTGTGGACTAACACTGCAACTGGAAAGCTGGCAGGCCTGGAGCTCTGCTGGCACGTACAAACTTGTGGCATTGTCTCTGGGCCTTTGGATTCCTTGCTTTATAAACTTCCCATAGCTACCCAAATGTTGCGCCTCTGGTTTCCTTTCCTTTTCCAAACCACCATCCAGTTTTGTTGAGTACTGCATTTCAATACTTCGCCTAATAGGACGTGCATCCTGGGCTGAAACTGCAAACTTTTTTCCCTTAGGAGATTTTGGTTGATAATATAGGAATATAGCTTATTTTATTTTGCTAATTTTATGGAAGCTCCTGCCTATGACTTAATCTTTAGCACCTCTCAAATCAATTGATCAGAGGCAATTTAGAGAAAACATCTGTTTTCATTTCCTACCTAGTGACCAATAAGTGACTGTTTAGGAATAACTAAGTGTTCTCACTTTTAGCATGCAACAAGAACTGCGTGCCTCAGTTACTAGCATAGGAACTTGCTGTGTCCTGAGGGGAAATGTTTTTCTCTGTAGGAGGATAAGCTCCTTAGTAGCATGAACCTGAGCATAAATCAGAGCTTCATTAGCTTCAGGGACTATCCTTTTCGTCATCTAGAGAAATACACTTTTTAATTTGCTTGCCACTAAAAGTTTAAAGAGATCCCAATTATTTTTATTTATTCATCCAAGTCAGCTAGCCTAAGATGGCCTTACTCAAAGTCTCAGAATAAAATAAAAAAAAATTACCGGAATAAAAGCTGCTGTACAGTTTCCTAGGAAAGGTAGGTTATCTTTATCTGTAAAACATACTCAATTTAACTATTACATATGATTGACATTATGGTAATACTTAACTATTTTTATAAAAGTCTTCAGTATGCTCTGTCATTTGACCTTGCAGCCGGAATATCTTTATTTTATTGGACATTGGAGAGGAAGTTCTTAGAAAGGGCAGTGTTTTGTCTGTTGTCATAGAGTTAATCAGTGGTGAAGCCAGAATTTGAATCCCAGCCACAGACCTGTTTCTTATCACGAAGTCGAGGTGCTTGGCATTATCCAGTGTTCTGTACCCTCCTGCATATTTGAATTACCTGGGGAGATTTTTAAAAATACAAATTCCTGGACTCATCTCTCTCAGATATTCTGAGTCCTTAGGTCTGGGGCAGGGCCAGGAATCATTTTTTTAAAAGCTCCCTGGGTGATTCTACCATGCAGCTTAGGGGTTCTCCATTGCAGTTTCCCTCGGCAGAGAGGAAATAATATGCAATTAGCCACTAATCAAGAGAAGGAGCAGTTTAGCTCATAAGATAGAAAAGAATTATGTCTTTGTTTTGCTGTCCTGTCATGTCGTTAGAAAAAAAATCATGGGAGTTTAAAAGTCATTGCAGAGGAATTTAGCTTTTTATGAAGAATTATGGGATGGCAGAGCTTCTAGGCCCCCTGAGGAAATAAATCTGCCCACTTTTGGCTGGCGCATGACTCCTTTAACAGCTGTGTGTGGTCAGCAGTTTACCTTACAATTACCTTATCTTGACCTATCTCCTTTTGATGATGCAAAAGGATGTTAATCAAGGTTGACTCTTTTTTGGTTCATCCTAAGAATTGACCCCAATCAGTGAATCTCCGCTCTTTGTTTAAAGTTTTGAAGCACAAAGTTTTGACTGTTCCATTTATCTTTTCTGCCTCATCTGCAAAGGAATTGGCACGTCTCCAGGTCTCCAACTGTGTGGCTACTTCTCATGCTCGCATCTCAGAAAAGTGATGGAATTGTCTGTTGTACGCACATCAGCAATGTTCAGTCATGAATTGACTTCTTCGGACTCTAGTAGTGCCTCTTCATCAAGTCTGTGTGTATTTTTTCACCAGTGCTGATGCTTGATTTGTTATTCCTTGTCTCTGCTGCCTCAGACAGGCCTTCCCGGGATTCTAGTCCTATGTTGTTTGTCTCTATTCATGTGCGTCATTATTGTGTAACTGCCCACATTTTAAATAATTGGCTTTGAGGAGGTGAGAGGCACCCAGGCAAAACTAAGCCCAGTCTTTCAGACCCACTTGCCGGTGTTGGAGTTGGCAGCACAAGCTGGGTATTCTGAGCTAAAATACTTCATCTCTTTGAGCCTCAGTCTCCTCATTTGGTTTGAGGACTAAATAAAGCAATTTAAGTCTCTGGCACACTATGGGTGCTCAATGTTAGTCTCTTTTTCTTGGTTTTTCTAAATTTGGTGTAACATGATTCAAATACTATTCACTACTTAGATAAACCTGACTGTGTTATCTTTGTTCTCATTAAATAGATCTGGTTACCCAACAATGCAGTTTCCTGAGCTCTGTATATTCTGACCAGAAACTACCCAGAATGTGGCCAGCCCTTAAAACTGCAAGTCACCTGGGAAGGGAAATAGTATTTATTAATACTCCACCCCACCCCATAAAACAAGATATGCGTGTGTGTGCACTCATGCATGCATGCACACACACACACACACACACACAATACTCAATGAACTGTGCTACTAGGGACTTTCCTCACAAAAACTTCATGAGGTAGGCAGCATTAATATTCTAACCTTATAGATTTGGATTTGAGACTTAGAGGATCTAATTTGCCCACGGATACACGGCCACTAATTAGTAAAGCTGGAATTCCAACCCTTATCTCTCTGATTCCAAAAATGGTTACCTCTTCAGTAGGCATCTTTTGGCTTTTTGGTAGGATATCTATTCAGAGAATAGTAAAAGAGATACTTGAACTACAAAGTGCAATTCATCATCTGCTTTCACAAGCTCCAACATTTCCATGAAATATTTGGATAGGGTGAGGTATGGCAACTTTGGGGGTGTGGGTGATTTGGTTCATAACTGTGTGTTTATGTGTGTGTTGGCATGGGTGTGTATCTGCAGCATGAATGTAATTATAATAACCCACTCACAAAACTCCTCACACTAAGGGGCAGAACTCTGTATGTTGAGAAACCACAAGTCTTTAAGTAAGAAATGTCTCACAGGAGTCAAATATCAACCAAACATCTGTGTGGCTAATCAAGGAGCTACAAGGCCACACTTAGTCAACAGGAAGAGTCCCTATAGAAAGACATCACTAAAAGCAGTGCCATATGATTTATTTGCTATAACTCAATTTCCATCTGTCTCATAAGGTGGATTGTGTACACACTGCACTGCAGGCATTCAGCCACGGTGGAAGCATACCAAGGAGCAGAAAACCTTCTCCTCCCTCGGGCTATTGGTGATATGCTCTGCTAAGAACCAGGCAGGGCCAGGGTGGCCTACAAGGAAATGCCTTGGGCCGTCTTGCCAAGACTTCATACCTTTAGGAGCTGGCTGGATCATGGGCCTTTGAACAAGGTTCTGTAGCAGTAATGGGGCCAGGTGGGTTTTAAGCATTCTGCTTTTCTCGGAGATTCCTTTGACTCACATTTGCAGACTCCAGATGGTAATTTTGCCACTTCAGGCAAGATGCTGTTCATAGTCCCTTAAATTTCTTACATAAATAAAGAATGAGCCAAATAAATACTTTCTTGCTATTGTGTGTTGAAGAAAATCAGGTGAAACTGAAACCCTTTCGCATTCTGTAAACAGTATACAAAATGTAGGAATGCTTAAGGCTGAGTAAAAACCAGTGTGATCCTATAAAACCAAGCCATTGCATAAGAACCAAAGAACTTCTAGAGCCTTCTGAAAATTAATGATTATTTTAGACAATATTAACCTTTATTTTTTGTAGGTAACAGGAACCTCATCTATTTTGTTTCAAAAGCTTCCTTGTTTAGGTTACTATAATATCCTCAACAGCTTTGAAGGAAGAGATTTTAAGAAACTATTTCTGTAGGAAAATTTCCTCCTTTGGCATTCCTTTTTGTTAGGCAAACCTATCTTATAGAAAGTCAGCACCATGACACATTTGCTGTGGAGAGAGAGGAAAGGAAGTCAAGGAGAGGGTACCCTCAGACAGGGTTATATGTTCTCCCTCCAGGACCCATAGTGATGATATGGTTTGTCTGTGTTCCCACCCAAATCTCATCTGGAATTGTGGATCCTGTAATTCTCACCTGTCGTGGGAGGGACCCAGTGGGAGATAATTGAATCATGGAGGCGGTTGCACCCACACTGTTTTTGTGGTAGTGAATAAGTCTCATGAGATCTAATGGTTTTATAAGGGGAAATCCCTTTTGCTTGCTTCTCATTCTCTCTTGCCTGCTGCCATGTAAGATGTGCCTTTCACCTTCCACCATAATTGTGAGGCCTCCCCAGCCACGTGGAACTGTGAATCCAATAAACCTCTTTTACTTTATAAATTACCCAGTCTCAGGTATGTCTTTATCACAGCGTGATAATGGACTATTACACAGAACATTTCTGAAGTACACTGTAGCTAGCTGTGTGACTTAGGGCAATTATTTAAAGACTCAGAGATTTAATTCCCTCACCCATGAAATGAAAATAATAATATATATCTTTTGGGTTTCTCTTGATGGATAACATGAAATTACAGAAAATCATGTTGTTACTCCAATGTGCTGAGTAGACAGGGTTCATTAAATATTACTTACATCTGAATCTGAATGTTAAAGTGTAATGCTGGAATGGGAAATGCAAGAGGACAATTCTTGTTTTGTGGGGTTGGCATATCTGCTGGGTGAGGAGGGCACTTCCTCATTAAATTACTCAGCAAACTTCACTGAGAGCCCATTGTGTTCCAGGCACAATGCTGGATGCTGGGGAGAGGGATGAATAAAAGAATCTCAGCTCACATGGAGCTCATGGCCTGGTTGGGGAGAGGGACATTTAAATAAATAAATCACTATCTGGTGCTGAGTGCAGCAACTGAATCATGTGCAGGGTAGAGAGATAACACAAAGAAAGTAAGGTCAACAATGTAAGGTCATGGGTTCAGTCTGATCTGCTGTCTGTTTTGGTAAATGAAGTTTTATTGGAACATAGCCTGCTCATTCATTTACCTATTGTCTATGGCCACTTTTACCCTTACGGTGAGTGCAGTCGGTTCTGCTCTAAGGATGCACATGCGTTTCTGAAAATCACCACACTATACACGATTGTGTAATAAAAAACACAAGGCCTATGGGGGAAATGGCACTGGGCACAGCACTCAAGAACTTGGCCAGTGACACATAAAAAAATGGATAACCTGAAAAAGATGACAACATATTTCTACACATGTAAAATGGTTAAGAAACATATAACAATACTACCACAAATATGGCCACTTGCCTTGAAAAAGCCCTGGCATTAGCCTGTAGAAGTGGGAGTGAGAAGCGCTGCAGCTCATGAGCTATTGTGGAGCGGTCAGAGGGGGTTATCTGGAATCCCAGGGAAAGTTGTAGCAGTGGATGTGCATGGTGTGGCTTATACACTCATGCTGAAATGAGGGTGGATGGCAGATGTTTGATGGGGGTGTGTGTGTGTGCATTGTATAATTTCTTACGTGTCTTGTTACAGATGTGTTCAGTTTTTTTGCTTTTACTTAGTGTTTCTCACAGAGGAAATTGCACATAAGCAAACGTGAAATTCATGTCACGCCCATATTGTTCCCTAATATATTAATCGTATTGGAACAAATGCACATTTCTAAACAAGTGTTAGAGCAGAATTGATTGTTGTTGCAACAGAGACCATATGGCCCACAAATTCTGAAACACATACTATCTGGTCCTTACCAGAAAATGTTTGCTGACTGCTGGCACAGAGGAAGGAGGGGTCAACTCTGAGGGAACAGGAAGGCTGCCAGAGGGTGCTGTGTCTGAACTGTGTTTAGGAGGTTGAAGAAGGCAAGTCTGAGAGGTAACACAAGGGACTGGGAACATTTTGCCATTTTTATTGTTATTCCCTCTCCCATGCATATACCTACATTCACTTATCCTCCTTTCTTTCCCAAGAGTATAGCTCTTCCAACTTTTGTATAGAGTGAACCAGGATGCAATACACAGCCTTATGGGTCAGAAAATGCTCCTCTGATTTAGGAGCACTCAAAATGCTGAAAAAACCCCTCCTCTTGTCAGCCCATATCTGGGAATGGCACAGGCCTTGCCTGGGCCATCCCTTGCATGTGGAAAAGCAGTGGTTCAGTAGGAGAGGCAGCAGAATGGCCCATCAGTGGGTTACTAGGATACCATGTGGTCTCCCCTTTTACAACCCTCTTTGTGAGGTCCAACTCCTCCCTGGGGTCTGGCCTCATCAGAGTTTTCATCCCTATCTCCCTAAATCATACTGAACTTTTTTCTAATTCCATATGAGAGTTATGAGTCTGAACAGAGATATGCAAAACCATTTCAAAAAATTGGCTGTTTTCCAGATCAGCAAAATCAGTAGGAGGTGATTAAAATAACTGACCTCAGGAAAAAATACAGAGATGACATTGATGAGAAGGAGGTGTGTTAGTCAACCACAAAGAAAAGAAGGAGAGAGGACATTTTGGTCCATCTCTCTAAGGCCTCTGTTCTTATCAGAGGAAACAAAGGCATATCAGACTACCTCAGTTTAATGTCAGAAAACAATCGTGTTACATAACTCTCCTTGATCTGCTTTCATGTCCAAGTATCTTCTTTTTAATTATAATTTGCCTTCAGGGAAAACATGATGGCCGTACTAATTTACTCTAATCCAAGTTACTGCTCATAGGAAACAATATATTGACCATCTGGTGTTATACATCAGGCTCCTGAGTGTGGTTAGTTAGAGTCTACCCTGAGTCTATTTGATTCTCAGGCTCCAGAATATAATAAATCTGGTTTCTGGGTTAGCAGAGTGGAAGACTGGATTGAGCTCCAGTAAATATAGCAACATAATGTTCATTCCCTGTGAGCCTCTACCGTGCTTGCAATGTTCTTTCCGTCAACTGTGTATCTTCGAGCCTTGCTTTAGGGTCAAGCCCAACGCATGCTGTGTTTTATGATGCTCTCTTTTTCACTCCCAGACAATACCGTTCTCACTGGCCTGTGAGAACCCACTGCACGTTATTTACACAAACCTGTTCAGAACACTTGTAACACTTTATCTTGCACTACAGTTATTTGCCCATGGGCTATTTTTGCCTAAACTTGGAATTCTGAGAAAGCAGAGTTTGTGTGCCCTGTTGCACCCAGCACAGTAAAATGCTTAATGAACTAGTAGCATCCTGACAGCATTGGTAGGCACAGCAGTTATGGTGTGTGCACACGTGTGTGTGTGTGTGTGTGTGTGTGTGTGGAGAGGTTTCATCTGGAGCAAAGGGACTTTGCTGAGGGAGGATACCCCCAGTTAAAATTTATGTGGGTGGAGGAGGAAAAGCTCGATAGTCAGGCATAGAATGAGAGCCCAGGTCTCTGAGTAAGAGCTCCCATTGCAGACTCTGTTTTGAGCACTCTGCACACACACCATCTCTTCAATCCTCTTAAGGATCCTGTGATAGTGGTGAGGTTTACTTTCCCACTTTTACAGCTGAGGAAACTCAGGGAGATTAAGGAATTTCCTCAGCATTAAGTAAGTAGTAGCTAGGCTGGCTCTATGCTTCATCCTCTTAACCACCATGCAAAAGCTTCTTGTCAAGCCTGGCCTTGGACCAGCTCCTTATGAAGGGAGGGTGGTTTAACCTGCACCAATCAATGAGTCACTAGCACGAGAATACAAAGGAACGGATTCTGGGCTTCAGACTCTCTGTCCAGTGCATTGCCAATGGTCCTTTTGTGAGGCGTGTCCTGCAAGATGACCTTGGGGCCTGAGCCACATCTATGTGCCATCCAGCCTGGCTCTCACTTCTTTGTAAGGCACCACCTTTGTGCAGGCCCCAGGATTCATTGGGTCCATTTTTGGAAATAGATCCTGGAGAGTAATGCCTATGTGTGGGTTAACTTGTAGAGCACAGAGCTCTAAGTCCCTGGAAATATCTTTGCAGGGTGACAATGCTCAGGTGACAAGAATGCTTGGCCAGAAGGGCACATTGGTGAAGAAGGGTGAACCAGGGTGAACTATATGATCTCTCTTTCAAATGATGTAAAAGACCTAAGAGCCTTTGATTCCTTGTTTTTTCTTACACAATGCTATAATGGAAGTAGGTCTGACAGGTTGTCCTGAAATGGGAAGAGAAGTGGACAACTGTCCAGAGGTGGGCTGGTCCTATTCAACTGCTGGTGACTCATCAGGGGAATGGGGGGCAGGGTTGTGCTCACGTCAGCAGGCTGTCTCCTTCAGTCTTATCTACAATTTGGGATAAGTTGCCTTTTTTTTCTAACAAGATATCTTTGGAGGAGAAAATCAGATAATAGGTGTGAATGTGTTTTGAAAACATTATAAAAGTGGCACCAAGGCATAGTCTGCTTTTTTTTGGAGTGGACAATTTTTAAAAGCCATTCCTGGGCTGGGCATGGTGGCTCACACCTGTAATCCTAGCACTTTGGGAGGCCAAGGTGGGTGGATCACGAGGTCAAGAGTTCAAGACCAGCCTGGCCAAGATGGTGAAACCCCCAACTCTACTAAAAATACAAAAATTAGCCAGGCGTGGTGGCAGGTACCTGTAATCCCAGCTACTCAGGAGACTGAGGCAGGAGAACTGCTTGAACCCAGGGGGTGTAAGTTGCCGTGAGCCGAGATTGTGCCACTGCACTCCAGCCTGGGTGACAGAGTGAGACTCCGTCTCAAAAAAAAAAAAAAAAAAAAAAAAAAAGACCATTCCTGCAGCACAACTTGAAGTTCATTCGATATCAAAATGGCTTAGAGGTTCTACTATGGTGTATGTTTCACATTCAGTTGGAAATCCCTCTTCTTTTCCTTTTTAAATGTCTGTGGGAGGCTGAATAATGGCCCTTAAAGATGTTCAGATGCTAAGGCCTGGAACCTGTGCATATGTCACCTTATATGGCAAAAGGGACTTTGCAGATGTAATTCAGCTAATCTTGAAATGGGCAGATTATCTGAGTGGCCCCGTGTAATCAGAAGGGTTCTTAGAAGAGGGAAATAAAACCAAAGGTAGAAGAAGGAGATGAGAAGAAGGAAGCAGAGGTTGGAGTGATGTGCTTTGAAGATGGAGGAAAGAGCCAGGAGCCAAGGAATGCAGGTGGCTGCTAGAAGCTGCAAAAGACAAGGAAACAGATTCTCCCCTGAGACTTCCAGAAGGAGTGCAACCCTCCCAGCACCTTGATTTTACGTTTCTTACCCCCAAAACTGTAAGGGAATAAATTTTAAGCTGCTTACTTCCAAAACTGTAAAAGAATACATTTTGTTTTAAGCCACTAAGTTTGTAGTAATTTATTACGGTAGCAATTGGAAATGAATAGAATATCCTCCCTCCCCTCCCCTTTCCCTTCCCCTTCCCTCCCCATCCCCCTCCCTCCCTTCCCTCCTTCCTTCCTTCCTTCTTTCCTTTTCCCTTATTCTTCTACCCTTTCTGTCTCCCTCTGTCCACTCATTCCCTCTCTCTTTCCCTAAGCCCCTTCCTTCCTTCCTCTTCTCCTTCCCCTTCTTCTATTTACCCTTTCCCTTTTGGGAGTAAACAAACCAAGTAGCAGTTAGTAAAATACCTGATGATTTAATAGTGATAGGTTTTTGGTTTATGTTATTTTAAAGTTTTCTGCTGATTATTAAGAGCTCTGGTGAAGAGATTAATTCAGCCACCATGATTTGTTTCCTTGCCTTGACTTCATAAAAATCACAGGGATACAATAATATAGTTATACATCCCTTGGGCTCGAAAATGCCCAGTAATTACAAGTGATTCACGAGAACAGCTTAACTTGTAAGGGATTGTATTGTGCTCTATAGTAAGCAGTCATTTATTAAGTTTAAAAATGCCTTTAGAAAGGATATAATGGAATCATCAATTAAAAGTAGGTTAGGAAAAAACTCCGGGGCTGTCTGTTGTAATTCTTCTTCACCCAAACCCTCCTTTTTAAGGCTGCCAAGTTGCACATTGTGTGTGGAATGCCTGCCCTCCTTTCCTAATGTTTCCTGATGCCACCTAGGAGCATGGTGCAGCCCCACTCAGTGCCAAGTGAGGTTCAGATGGCCAGGACTTCCAGGTCTGAGGCACTGCAGTTCTCCTTCACAGCTTGGCCATCCATCATTTGATTAGAATGAGGTTACCCGGCTAACACATCCTGGCAGTGGAGAAGCACTGGCCGGGCCTCCTCAGGCAGCTGGGTTGCTGTCCACGTTACTAATGCTCAGCCCTGCCACTAACAGATGGCCGAGAGTGACCTTCCAGGGGAACTCGGCTCTTTTGTAGCAACTGGTGCTTCCAACACATGACTTCTAAAAGTTCTTATTTGTCTCTGGCATGGACGAGAATAGGCCTTCACCTTCCAAGTTCCGTTGGGTGGGTTGATTCCTGTCTTCTTCTGCAGAACAAAACATGAAAAGCATATGCTTCACGCTTCCTTTCTTGGTAACCTGCCATCCCTTTCCTCTCCCCAGACTTGATTTCCAGCTGAAGTCCTTGTCTCTTCCTGTAAAAGGCTAAGTCTATGCCATGATCTGCCCATTGCTTCCTCTGGCCTCTCCTGCTTTCTCTTGCCTCTCCTTGCTAGTGCTTTCCTGGGAGGCAGCCTGCTTCTTCTCACAGCCAATCCTTCCATCGATGTCTATATCCTGTGGTTTCCTGAGGGACCTTGCTGCTCCCTATCTGCTGCGTGGCCAAACAGCCTCTTCATAGATCCACCTCTTCCATCTTGAAACACTCTTTCACTTAACACTATGCACCTGGTAAATATTGGCTGATTCCCATCTCTCCGTATGTATCCAGATGCTTTCATTTTCCTACCTCTTATTTCCTCCAAAGTCCTTGCAGTCTGGTTCTATCCCCAATATTCTGTCAAAAACTGCAGTCAAGTTGGCCTTTCTCTCTCTCCCTTTTAGACAAATTCTCTGCTCTTTCCTAAGCCATTCTTCTTGGTTCCTTCTATATCAGACACACAGGTACTACCCCCACTCCTCTCATGATTTAAAACTCATTTTCCACCTGGTTTCTAGGCAATCTGTCCTCAAAATCCTTCATACTCTTTCATCCTTGTTGATCGTTTTTTGAAATAGTTATAATTTAGCCCATATTTTTAATGAATACCATTTGTTCTTTCCTATCTACATCATTCGGTCTCTAACCAGGCCCCAATATACTAACTCTATTTTGATCTTTCAATTCCTGCACTCTTCTCTTATGCATGATGTTTATTTTTACTTTTCTGACATGGCTTATAAGTTCATGCATTCAGAAATATTCATTGAGCACCTACTGTGTGCCAGTCATTGTGCTAGTCATAGGGATAAAATGGTGAGTAAAACAAATGAATTCCTGCCTTCATGAAGATTATGATTTGCTAGGGAAGACCAATAATCACACAAATAAAAGTCGAATTTGCAAATGTGGTTAGGGCTTTGAAGGGGAGGACCATAGTATCCTGAGAGAATATCATGGGTGGGGCAGTGAGGGGAGAGTGAGGAAACTAATTAGGGAGGTCAGAAGGGAAATGAGTTGAAATATGAAGTCTGGTTAGATGTTAACTAGTTGCAGGGGCTAAATGAAGGGCTTTCTGAGCAGCAGAAAGAGCATGTGCAAAGGCCCTGTGGTGAAAGAGATCAAGGAACTTGGTGTCAGAAAAAGCCAGGGGTCGGCAGAGATCTAAACGTGCAGGGTTTGCAGACCACCCTGCTAATGAGGGAGTTTTAAAAAGGGTGGAGGAGGGAACCATGGTCACACTGATCTTTTGAAAAGATTCTGTTTATTTAACCTGACTTCACACAGCCAACTCCCTCTCATTGAGCATACACTTTTGAGATGTGCCAGGGAAGAGAGTTGGCTGGACTAGATTGTGAACTCCAAATCTGTGGAGGGTTTTCAATGAAGATGCATAAGGCCCTAGGGAACAGGCCTAACAGATGTTATCAGTAAGGCAGGAGGAGGAGAAGAGCTTCAGTTTAGCCACATTCCTCTGGAGACCTCTCTGACTGGGCTTCTCTGGCTGAGTTACATCGCCCTGATCTGATGCTCAAGAGCAACAGCTGGCACTGAGGGAAGGAGACAGTGGTGGCTGTGTGCATGTTGCTGTGGATAATTGGAGGTAAAAAAGGAAAAGTGGCTCACCTAATTGTATTCTAAATTACATCCATTGTTCAATTTCTTAAAAGTACTTGATGCATTCAAGAAGGAAAGTCCTTTCTGGAGTGGGGGATCGATGAGGGGCAGAAGGAGGGAATGGATGCATAGGTACTCTTATCACCTTACTCAGGGTGTTGTAAGTGCAGATTTGAGTGGCTTGCTCAATTACTTTCACTGTGTGCATGCTAACGGTAATAAACTTGGAAAACTGAAACACATGAGTCTATAGTAATTGTTTTTTAGATAGTGTAATAATTCATGATAATTGCTTGCAAAGCATTTTCCCCCTCCTTGTCTACAGGGGTAAATACATTAAAGCCGCGTTCTTGTATACTATTTTACAATCTATTAGCATAATAACCCATCGTAAAATAAGCCCTGCTGCTGTGGGAAAGTGTGTGATATTGGTCCATTAGACACCTTTATTCTTATATACAAGCAACTAATGGCACTATTTATGGGCTCATGTTAGTTTTGTATATGCTTGTTACCAACTAATAGATTCAGAACATGAAGTACTGTTTGATAAAAGTTATCCAACACTAACAATCCACCATGACTCTAGCCTTTTGCTTGCTTGAAAATTGCTTTTAGCCCCATGTGAATGGGAAAGTCATCATGATAAATTTAGCTGCAAGCCAAGCTATAACCAATGTTCAGAGAATGTAATCAAATTAGATCTTAAAGCCTTTAATTTCATTATTAGCATGTATTATTTCTTCCCCAAACCTTGTAATTAAATAGCATATTAGGAATAGATAATTTTTTCCCTTTTATACATTTATTAGGTATCTGGGGTTAAATTTGGATCTCTGTTATGATACACATCTGCTTATTCTTAAATTAGGATGGCTTTAATGATACCTGAAGAATTAGAAAAGTAATTGGTTAATGAAACTAAGGGAATCTGTTTCAAATACGATATCACTATGTTTACCCAAGCACTGTTATAATCTGAGAGTTGTATAATTAGCCAAATTATACAGAGGAAAATTAGACACTCATTATTTACTTTTCTTGGACATTCTGTGGGTTTGAGCAAAAATTTTCACTACACACATGAGATTAATTCTTCTTGATGTTTACATCTGGTTTACCACAAGTCAAGAATTTCAGATAAATGCTGTTTTCTTACTCCCAGTTAGTAGTAAGAAATCCGAGGCTTTGTCATTACTGCAGGAGCTATTGCTGTGGAGAATGGAGGTTGCATGGGCTGTACACACTGGCCGAACCATGAATTCAATGACTGCTGACACACAGAGAACCCCCTTTTGTGGCCCGGTGGACTGGTCTGTGTCTCTGGGAAGGGTTCTGGTCTAGGCCAACTTAACTTTCTCCCCTTTAACTCATTCCTCCTCCCATCTCCAACAGAGATTGTTGCTGGGTTTAGCTAAATAAATTCCCAAGTAGCTGGTAGTTCAGTGGTTCTCAACCCTGGCTGCATGTGAGAATCACCCAGGGAGCTTTAAAAACTGCAGATGTCTGGCCCCACCCCCAGAGATTTCAGGGCAATGTGCTACCAGGATTGCACTGACTGCAGAGGCAAAAACAGGGGTAGAAGATAGGAGTCGTGGGGGAATGCTGTCCCGTTCTTGTCCCCAGAGCCACACCTGCCAGGAATTTGGGATTGCAGCATGCTTTTCCACTGAGCAGAGATTCACCTTCTCCTAGAAGCTGCTGCTGACTGATCAAACCTGACATACAAAATGAAGCAAATATGTCATCCCTGGCTTACGGTGTTACTTTATAGGTACTCTAGATAGAGAATTCACTCATTCCTTTGACAAATATTTAATGAACACATACTTGCTGGGTGCCAGGCACTCTTGTAGAGCCTAGAGATACAATAGTAAAGAAAACAGACATTTTTTGGGGAACCTAGTTGGGGAAATTAACAAAAAGAGAAATAAAGAAAATGCGCACCATATAGAAAATCATTTCCTAGGGAGGTAGGAGTCATGAAGCTAAGACAGAGAATGACAATTTCAAGTCTTGCAAAGACTCTCTCACAGAGGTGGATCCTCCTTGTTGGAAAAGGCTCTGGTACAAGCCAACCGAATCTGAGGAAATCATAGCAGACGGCCAGGGGCTGAATCCTCCCTTTCTCATCTTGCCTTTTTATTTGCAATGCTAAGTTTTTATCCCGCTTGTGACCTGAGGATGTTGGTATAATTGGCCTTCCCTGGAACTGGTCCTTTGCTGTGTCCACCTGATGGCCACTTTAGGTATTGGTCATCTTCATGCCTGGGGTCTCCTACGTCCCTCTCTTCTCGGTGGCCAGCTGGTTTTCAACTCTGTCTTCAGAGCAGCCACCTGGAAAAAGGCCCTTAGATTATAAAATACTCCCTCCTTCGCATTATTCCTCTGTCTCCAGCCCCCAGCAGAGTAGAAGCCGCTAGACTCAGCTGCCTCTGCCAGAGGATTCCCCCACAAAGCACAGGCTGTACATGGGAGTAAAATAATGATGTGTTGAAGGACTCCTTTCTACTCCTGCAAGGGAAGCCCTCAGTGCCAAATTGTTGACACTGCCTCATTCTCTCTGCCACACTGAATAAATATATTTAAAATGGGATTCGTTTGTGAGTCCTTGGCTTGATTTATAATACATTTTCTATCCAGATATGTGCTGCTACTGTTTATCTCCACAAAATAAATATTAAAATTGCATTTGAACCTTATATTAAATTTATATTCATGCTATTACAATTTTATTTCTGTCAAGCGATATTCACTTTTCAGACATAAGGCAGAAATAAGAGCACATAGGCAAATAAAAGTAGTTTTTATTATTTCATTTTCTTCTAATTTTCTCCTTAACATGTTACTCAGGGCCTGCTCCTTTTCTCACACACAATCTATTTAGTAAATACTGGGGAGATGAATAGGAGCTCCTTGGTTTTTGCGGTGTATCTAGGTGAGCAGTTTCTATTAATAAAGTGTTTTCCATTACTTGAGACCCAGACAGCAGCGGTGGGTCTTTTGTCATGTGCAGTTGTTGGGTGTCCAGTGGTGTCAGAGGCCCACAGTTGGTAGAACATGGCTTTGGGCTTGTATTTCCAGTAGTAGGAATGGTTACTGCCAATATCCACACACTCTTTAACGAGTTGCTCTTACAATGAATGGCCAGTGACACACATGTGTGGAATGGCTAAAGCTAGAGTCCAGCTTTGTGTCCAAAATGATGCTCCAGCCTGGTTATCATACTGTTCCTTAAAACCATCCCGCAGTGTCACACTTTAGCCCATGGCAGCAGTAATAATAATAATAACAATAATAATGGTGAGTAGACATTATTATTTTTGAAAATTTGATCGTAGAAGTAGTGTGGGGAAAGGTAATAAAATTATTTGCAAATTGCAACAAGCTTCTATCTTTAAAAACGGACACTATTCTAACTTTAGGAGAATTCAGTAGTACAACTTTGGTATTCTTTTCTTTTTATTTTGCTCTACGAAATTGGATATTAATGATCTTTTTAAGAGAATTTGCTAATATAACCAAATTTCTTTTTTTTGGTATTTTTTTCTTTTTTTGTTCTACAAAATTGGATATTATGATCACTTTAATTTTTTCATTCTAAAAGATGAAAAATTGTATATTGTTAAAGTGTGCATTTTCCTCTTTCATATTGATATTGAACATATTCAGTGATTAACTTTGGACAGTATGGTCCAAAAAGCTGGCTCTCCCTAAGGGTTGATTTTCACATTTTATTTGCTTGTTGTTTATTTAATGCAAGTAATTTAGTCAGAATAATGCCCAAAGAAGTAATGCTTCTTGCCTTTAGTGGGCTACTTGACAGCCTCTTGTGAATAATAATAAAAACGAGGATGATCACAATTACTGTGTAATGAGTGCACAAGTACTATGATGATCAATCAGTCCATGTGATTACTTCATTTCACCTTCACAGTAAACCTATGAGCTAGGCACTGTCATCATATCCATTTTACAGATGAGAAAACTGAGGTTGAGATAAATTAACATGTTCAGAGTTGTCTTGGTGACTCAGTGGCAGAACTGAGATTTCGATGCAGATCTTTATCATTCCCATCTCAACATTCTCAACTCAGTATCCTTTATTCCCTGTAAGAAGATTTTACAAAATGCGGGAGATAAAGTTGATAAGAATTTTTAGCGGTTTCACCAAGAGTAGCCAAAGGACAGTAAGGTAAAAAGGAGAGTTAGGTTTCAGTTTAGGCTTACTCACTCACTACTTTTGTGTTCTCAAACAAGCAGCTTCACAGTTTGGGGTCCTAATATCCTCATCTAAAAAACAGGGCTAATGATTCGTAACTTGAATGAGATGATGGGAAAGCATTTTATAATTAAAGATACTCTGTGAATGGGCTTCATCAGCGTGCTGCAAATTCTCTCCTTGGTTCTATCTTATTCAATGTTTTCATTATCTTAAAGACATGTAGGTCATAATCAACAAATTTCTGACACACTCCTGGGAAGGATAACTAATTTGTTGAGTGAGGTAATCAGGACATATAATGATATCTGTAGGCTGAACTAACAGATTAAGTCCTTCAAGATAAAATGTAACCACTTTAGAAAGTCACATAAAAGACAATGGTAGTCAGTTCATTCCAAACTAATGCCTAACACTGATTGAGCACTTACCATGTGCCAGGTACTATTTTAAGCTCTTTACATGAGTTATATAATTTGCACAGCAACTATCTGGAGTAGGCACTGGACATAGTCTCCCTTTACAGGTAAGAAAATTGAGTTGTAGAGAGACTTTTTTTCCCCAAAGTCACACAGCTGGTAAATGGAGGAGGCAGCCTATGAGCCCAGGCAGTTTGGCCTGTTTAATGCTACCCCATAGTGCATTGCTCAAAAAGCTAACACAGTTTTTGGCCATGTCAATAGAAATATTGCATCCAGGTGAGAATTAATAAGAGTCTCAGTCAACATCCCTGTGGATATTCTACAAATTTTAAACTGTCATATCCAAGTATTGAGGAACCCTGACAAACCAGAGAGCAAATAGAAAAGGATCATCAGGATGATGTCATCTAAAGGGATGTCCGGGGGACATGAAAATGTCAAGATTGGAGTAGAGGACATATGATGAGACAGCCGTCTTCAAATATTTACCATCTAGAAGTTAGAATTGGATTCCTGTGAACCCCAGAGAACAGCCCCAAGTGTTTGAATGGACAGTGGAGGGAGACAGTTTCTGTACAATACAAGTAAGACCTGCCTGAAGGTGAAATCTGCCCACCAGTAGAATGGACCTCTGCCAAAAAGTAAGCACCCAGTTATAGAACATATTCAAGCTGAGAATGCTTCTGTGGCTTTCCATCAGGAAAGCTGAGCTGATGGGGAATTTCTACATTGGTGGAAAAATCCACTGGATGACTTCTAGTGTCCTTTCCAACTTTAAGATTCTACTACTTCATTCATTAGGTATTGTGTCTCCTACTTTATCCTTAAACATAGATATTTGTCTTTAAGGTATCACCAAAGGGTTAATGATTAACTGGATTTAAGGTTTGTATGTTTCACTGGTGAAGCAGCTATAGCTGCTTGGGTCAGGAGTGAACACCTAAACCAAGCCGACTCAATCAGATTCTCTCTCAGAGTGTGGTACCAGTGGTCTTTCTGGAGCTAGGAGGTACCCGAGCTGTGAAGCTGGGGCAGCCACTTTCATGCTGTAGTGGGGAAACTGAAAACACCAATGGGCAAAAGAAAAGATAAAGCAAATGCAAATAAAGAATACAGAAACATGAAATCATATGATCCAAGGGAGGGAAAGAGAGAAAGTGAGAGGTGATGAGGTTGGCTATTTTGGTTCCCATTGGCTTGCAAATTCTAACTTCCTGTTCTCCAAGCTTGGCTGAACTTGCTGCTTCTGGGTTCAATGAGACAGCAGTGGATGCCCCAAGTTAGTTCTGTTTATTTTGCTTCAGTCTGAATAGGTTTCTATAATTTGCCACCCAAAGTTTTTAACTTTGGACAATTCTTTTTAGATAGAGTGACTCTTCTTTCTTTTGTATAAAAAAACTTACTTTTACTGTTGTCAATTGGCTGCTTAATAGTGGCAAGTCATTACAGGTACACATTTTGCCCCAAGATATAATGGTTATAATTAAGTGATTCAAAAGTACTTTAGTGCAGAAGGCCAGGGCTATCCAAATGTCAGACTAAATTATAAAGTGAGCAGAACTAAAATGCCACAGGATGTAACCATCCATAATTTATGAGTAGCAGAATCAGATCAGTCCATAAAATGAGCTGGAATAATTTTTTCATGGTTTCATATGTTTTTATTAAAAGATATGATTCAGTAGCAGCGAAACACTGAAGATTAATAATGTTGCAAAAGAGTAAAGCATTCTTACCATATCCCTGGGACCCCCATGTTTTTGATGGTGTATTAGGGGAAATGTCATTAGGTGAGGCACTGCTTTATCAGCCTGTGGGAATCTGAGCCATGAATATTTTAGGTGGGACATCGGTTCTCAGGAGGCTCCCAGGCTGCTGTTTTTGCCGTGGAAGAAATCTCATGGGTCTCCCAGGAGAGATACCCTCTGAGATGTGGATGGTTAAGAGAAATCCTCATAGGCTCCTGGAGCTGTCTCCTGCTTGCCAAGAATAAATCCAAACTCAGGATTGTTTGGAATGGGCCTACGTGACAGAAACATTTGCAATCATGTCACTGAAAATGTTTGTTTTGCTGGGTCTACATGGCAAATAGGATACAGATCAGTGAGCAAAGAAATGGTTTGCTGAGTGGGTTGGACATCACTGATGAAATGTTTGCTGGAAGTGTGTACCACGAGTCTTGCTTCGGCACCCCATCCAGGGGAGTTGCCTTGCTGCCTGGCAGCATTGCCAGCCTCAGCACTTATGAGACATGAGCTGAAGTATTTGTCATCATTAAGGCTGTAGCTTGTTTTCTAGGAGTGTTAAACCTTCCAACCATATTGTAGCTCATGGAGTTTGACCCACATCTCTCTCAAAGTTTGGATCAGATACAGGGCAGCTATCCTTGACATTTATGGAATAGGTACGTTCCAGGGAATGGCCAGTAAAGTGCATTGTATAAAGTAAATCACATTTCCCCATTGATTTACTTTATAAAACTACAGACATACACTCTGGAAACAAATCCATTAAATGTTTGGTGAGGAGATAGCCTAGGTGGCCCCCATTGGAGTCTCTCAGTGGACTCCTCTAAATGTCATCATTGATGAATGCCTGCAGAAGATAGTTCACTCTTGGTGCCTTGATTTTCTTCTATGCAGTTTCCCTGCGCGAGGAAATTAGACACTGGACATCGGCTCTGTGCTCCACGTACTACAGGATTCTCTTCCCAGCTAGGAATATCCTTATGCTATACTCATGCTTTTAATCCCCTCTTTCACCTTTAATCTGCTGTACTCATGATTTTAATCCTTTTTTAATTATATCCTTTAACCAAGCTGGATATGATATCATACACAAGTTCAAATCTCCAAAAACATTATAGCTGCAATAATAGGATGCAAGTTGGGAACCCCAGTGTGTATACAGGCCCAAAAAATGCATTTGTTTTAAAATGAAGGAGCAACATGGGAAAATAACACCTGAGAGATATAGTTATAAATAACTAAATAAATCTCCCAGATTAAAATATACATATTCATGAGATGTTATGAATGAACTGAGGAAAAGTAAGTTAGAATGCACTAAAATAACAGTTTTCTCTCCACAAAATTACATAGAACAACATATTTACTTTTCAACACATTATTTTGAGTATAGGTGATATAGTTTGGCTGTGTCCTGATCCAAATCTCATCTTGAATTGTAGCTCCTATAATCCCCACATGTTGTGGGAGGGAGCTGGTGGGAGGTAATTGAATCATGGAGGTGGGTTTTTCTGTGCTGTTCTTGTGATGGTGAATAAGTCTTACCAGATTTGATGGTTTTATAAAGGGCAGTTCCCCTGCACACACTCTCTTGCCTGCCACCATGTAAGATGTGCCTTTGGTCCTCCTTCACCTTCTGCCATGATTGTGAGAAATCCCCAGCCAGGTGGAGCTCTAAGTCCATTAAGCCTCTTTTTCTTTATAAATTATCTAGTCTCGGGTATTGCTTCATAGCAGTATGACAATGGACTAATACACTAGATAAACACGAGTCATTAATTGTCCTTTGATTAGTGAAATTGATCTTTTCTTCATGGTTGATTGGTGAGGGAGAGGGAAGTTGACCTGTTGAAGTTCGTGCTTGGAGCTTCTGTTTGGTTAGGAGCAGCAGCACAATGTTTCCTTGCCTGTGAGGGAAAGTGAATATTTTGAGGAGTGGGAAAAAAATAACTTTTGGTGTTAGCTAGATTCCTCAGAGCCATAATGCCTAGGTTTTCTTTGTTTTTCTGAATTTTATTTTATTTTATTAATTTATTTATTTTTGAGACAGTCTCACCGTGGTGCCCAGGCTGGAGTGCAGTGGTGTGATCTCGGCTCACTGCAGCCTCTGCCTCCTGAATTCAAGTGATTCTCCTGCCTCAGCCTCCTGAGTAGCTGGGATTATAGGTGCCCACCACCACATCCAGCTAATTTTTGTATTTTTAGTAGAGATGGGGTTTTACCATGTTGGCCAGGCTGGTCTTAAACTCCTGACCTCAAGTGATCTGCCTGCCTTGGCCTCCCACAGTGCTGGGATTACAGGCATGAGTCACCACACCCGGCCTGTTTTTCTGAATTTTAGTAAATGGCATTAGGGTTTGTTCAATTTCTCTATTATCAATTTTTATTATATATATATCTAGTGAGAATGATTTAATTTCTATAGTTACAGAGACTTAGCACTTCACAAACTTAGTTAAACTTGTTATAATGTACCTGGCTGTCCCCATGACTCTGTTTCCACTGCAGGTCATGTCATGTCCTGTGTGTATGGCACATAGTGGATTTCTCAGTGTAGAAAACGTCTATTGCTGTGCTCTTCTTGGTCTCGCTGTCAGCCCTGGGACAAAGAGGTCCTTGGCCCCAAATTGTGCTTACTTTTCTAATAACAAACATTGCTTACATTTATTCAGGGCCCACCATGTGCCAGACACTGTGTTAAGCACTTTGCTTGCATTATCTAATCAATTATCTAACCGACTTATTGCCATGTCACAGATGGAGAACCAAAGGTGAATTAGCACACACTCAAGCCTACACAGACAGTGGCACGAAGCCAGAAGCTAGAATGTGAAACCAAGTCAGTTCTTGCTAGGGCTCACGCTTATCATTCCTGTTTTCAACTACCTCTCTCTGATTGTCATTTTATTTAAACTACTTTTTAAAGATATGATTGACATACAGAAAGCTATACACATGTAATGTATACAGCCTGAATGAGTCTGGAGATAAATGCAGTTGGCCCTTTGTGTCTGTGGGTTCCACATCTGAGGATTCAACCAACTGCTGATCAAAAAGATTTTGGGAAATAAAGCCATCTGTACTGAACATGTACAGTTTTTTTCTTCTCAGTATTTCCTGAACAATACAGTATGACCACCGTTTACCTAGCATTGTGGCGTATTAGGTATTGTAAGTAATGCAGAGATGATTTAAAGTACATGAGAGGATATGCATTGGTTATATACAAATACTATGCCATTTTATATGAGGGACTTGGATTTTGGTATCCATGGGAGATCCTGGAACCAATCTCTTATGGATACCAAGGGATAACTGTATACATGTGTGAAACTATCACCACAATCTATGCCGTAAACGTATCTAACACCTTCAAGAATTTCCTTCCTTCCACCCTTCTTATTAATTTATTTTTATTTATTCATTTATTTATTTAGATCTTGTTCTGCCACCCAGGCTGGAGTACAATGGAGCAATCATAGATTACTGCAGCCTTGACCTCCTGGGCTCAAGTGATCCTCCCACCTCAGCCTCCCAAAGTTCTGGGAATACAGACATGAGCCACCATGTCCAGCTGCTCCTTATGTATTATTATTATTTTTATGTGTGTGTTAAAAATGCCTAACATAATATTTACTTTCTTAGAACATTTTTAGAATACAACAGAGTATTGTTAACTGTAGGCACTATGCTGTAGACCTCTAGACCTTACTCATCTCATAAAACAGAAACACTGTGCCCTTTGACTACAAATTCCCTGCTCTCCACTACCAGCCCCTGGAAACCACCCACCATTCCACTCTTTGTTTCTGTGAGTTTGACTATTACTGACTCATCGCATGAGTGGTATCATGCAGTATATGTCTTTCTGCGTCTGGCTTATTTCACTTAGCATGATGTCCTCCAGGTTCATCCGCTATTGTCACAAATGGCAGGATATCCTTCTTTTAAAAAAACTGAATAATAGTCATTGTATGTATATACCACATTTTCTGTATCCATTCATCAATGGACATTTAGGTTGTTTATGTGTCTTGGCTACTTTAATAATGCTGCAGTGAACATGGGTGTGCGGATATCTGTTTAACGTACTGATTTCAGTTGCTTTGGATGTATTTCAGAAGTGAGAGTGCAGGGTTATATGGTAATTCTACTTTTAGTTTTTGGAGGAATCTTCATACTGTTTTCCTTAGTGGCTACACCAATTTACATTCTTACCAGCAGAGTTGGAGGATTCCCTTTTCTCCACATTCTTACCAACATTTTTTATTTGTTTTTTGGATAATAGCCATCCTGGTTTGGTTACCATTTAATACCAGAGCTATTAGACTACCTACATCACATTAAAATGGGCACACTGCAAACTGTCAAAATAAGCTTTTGATCAAGAAGTTTGCTGAAAGAATTTTGATAGAGTATAGACCTTAGCCAGGTTGAAGTTTCTGTGCTTCAAGAAACAAAGAACATTGTAGATTTTTTCCTTAAGAGACTTTATGATAAGCCTGTCATGTATCATTGACCTAAGTGAGGACAATTGCAACCCAGAGGGAAGCTTTTTTTTCTAGGATATTCTATAAATAACCTATTTGATTAATGGCTCTGTCCATGGAGAACAGGCGCCCACTTTATGGCTGAAGACAGGGATACAGCTCTCACCCTCACTTCCCACACGTTTGCCAAAGTGGCCCACTTACCTGGATCACCTACTTACTTTGATTTTTCATTTAACCTTTATATATCTCTGGAATTTAATTTATTCAGGGTGTATAACCTCAGCTCATGAGATGTTTTTGCCCAAAGCAGGACAGAGGTATTCATTTCTCTTAGAAATAAATCTTGGTGACTATTGTACTGCAGTTTAAGGTATTTACAAGTCTTTGAGATAAACGCTCAATCAGAATATGGCAAGAAAAGTCATCTTTAGGCTCAGTGACCCTGTCACTATCATTACATCTCTCAGTTATCCAGTTCAGAGGATGGGGAAACTCTAGTGGGGGGACCTCATGCCTCTATGTGATGCAGTAGTAACTCAACAGGCCAGATAAATAACCACCAGTTTGGGGCAGGAAAAATGGAAATTAAATTAATTTTTCTCTTCATTTCAAAAATTGGCTCTAGGAGCTTCAAGGAGATTTTTCCTTAGACAAAAGGGACTCTGTTCCCAATTTTGAGACAAGAACTCATCTATCTGAGACATGGTACAGAGTCTTCCTAACAGGATAATGGGCAGAGTTTACTTACTCAAAGGGTTTTCATTATATTGTTCAAGCCTAAAAGCTTTTTTTTAAAATTTTTTTTTTCAAGTACAGTGTTGTAGATTGCAAAAAGAAAAAAATATAGCCACAGATTCCTTTCATTCCTGTATACATCTACTTTTGCAATGTGAACTGGCTGCCCTTCCTGTCAAGAGTTGGAGTCATTCTCCCTATTCACTTGCATCTGACTGGCCTTGAGGCTTTTCGGACCAGCAGAGTGGGGCAGAAGTGGTGACATAGGAATTTCCCAGTCTAGGCTTCAGGAGGTCTTGCAGTTAATCTTCTCATGCTCTTGCTGTCCTGAGACCTCCATGTAAAGAGGCCTGGGCTAGCCTCCTTGAGGGTGAGGGACCACATGGAGCAGAGACATCCCAGCTTAGGCTCCACAAACCAGTCAGCCTGCCCACAGCCCATTCGTGTGAGTGAGACTGCCTGGGACTGCTAGCTCCAGTTGACCCACCAGCTGCTTGCAGAATCACCCAGTTAATCCACAGACTTGTGAGCAATGAGAAAATCAGTTTAAAGCTTTAATTTGGGTATGCTTTTATGCATGAATAGATAATGGTTATATATAGGATCAGCCTATATGCATACAGACACTTTAAATATGTAAATGTATTTCTGGGTGGTGCAATTGTAGGTAATTTTGTTTTTTAAAAATTTTATATATTTTCTAATAAACATGCATAACTTTAATGTTAAGATTAATAATAGGCTGGGTGTGGGGGCTCATTCCTCTAATCCTGGCACCTGGGGGGCTGAGGCAGGAGGATCACTTGAGCTCATGAGTTGGAGACTAGCTTGGGCAAAATAGTGGGAACTTGTCTCTAAGAAAAGTTAAAAAATTAGCTAGGTGGTGGCATGCACCTAGAGTCCCAGCTACTCAGGAGGCTGATGTGAGAGGATTGCTTGAGCCCAGGAGGTCAAGGCTGCAGTGAGCTATAATATGCCACTCCACTCCAGCCTAGGCAAGAGAGTGAGACCCAGTCTTTACATATATAATATATATATGATATATATATGATATATATATCATATATATAATACTACTAATTTTATTAAAATGACCATTGCAAACAGCTAGTAAATGATTGAGCAACTCAGTCACTTTCCTTTAGGAGTCCCTAGAACAGTGTGTTCCGGCTATCAGTTGCTGTCTAACAAACCACCCCAAATTTTAGTCACAGAAAACAACCATCTTATTATGCCCATGATTTTGTGGATCAGGAATTCAGACTGGACATAGTGAGAGCTCCTTGATCACTGGGGTCTCAGCAGGGATACTCAATGGCAAGAGATGGCTGAGAGCTCCACTGGGGTCTTGTGCCCAGGACTTTGGTTCTGGCTGTAGATGAGTTCCTTGCTTTTACACCTTGTGTCTGGTGGAGCTTGAATGTTCAAGATGGCTTCTTCAGCCTCACTTCTGGTGCCTGGGCTGGGCTTGGTAGAAGATCTGGGGCTGACCAGGTACCTATCTCTTTCTTTTTCTCCTCATAGTTTTTTCATATGTCCAGCTTGAGCAGCAAGGCAGTCTCAGAGCAATTAGATTTCATATTTGGTGGCTGGCTTTACCCTGAGCAAATACTTCAAGAGGTGGAAGCTGCAAAGCTTCTTATGACCTATACTTGGAAGACCCATAATGTCATATTTGTTGGATTTAATTAGTCAAGCAAGCCACTAAAGCCATCTCAAAATCAAGGACTTGAGCATTATTCCTAAATGAGAGTAGTAGCAAAAATATTATGGCAATCTTTAATCTACCACAGTCTGCCCTCTGGCCACAAGTTATTTACCCATGTTCCACATGGAAAATACACTCACTGTTCTGTAAGGAATCTCCCTCACAAATCGCATCTTATTACAACGATGGCTGTCAAGATTCTCCCTGTCAAAATCAGATCCAGGTATGGATGTGTCTCCTCACATGTGAATCTTTGAGTACAGCTCCTTGCATACAATTTTTTTTTGTTCTGAAGACCTGTGAACTACAGAAACAAACTATTTATATAATATCTCCACACATCCAATATTCAGTGGTAAAAAAGGTATTGTACAACCACAGTAGACAATGCCATCCCAAAGGAGGGGAAAGAGTACATGGCAATCAGTTGTCCACAGCAATTCTGAAACCCAGCCAGGCACAGTTTATCAATTCTGTCTTTTCTGGGGACAAGAACATTTCCTGACCAGGGCTCTGTGTTGCTTCCTGGAAATGACTCCTGCTCTAGAAATTCTTCCCATTACATTAGCAGAGTGCAAAGAATCAGACCTCCCTGGGTTTGAATACTGACTCCATATTTACTAGCTATGTGACTCGGTGCAAGTTATTTCATGTCTCTGGGCCCCGGGTTCATTGTTTATAAAAAGTGTATAATAATACCTCCTTATAATGTTATTGTGAACATTAAATGAGCTACTATATATACTTAACACAGCACCTGGCACTCAACAACTAGTATTTTTCACCTGTCTGTGATGTTCTGTCAGTTTAGGCAGTGGCAAAATTGTCACTGGTCTTGAGAAGGCCACAGAAGCTTCCCCAAATAGATACTATAGTGGGGGAACCTCCTGCAGAAGTATTGAGCAGTGAATTGGGGCATTTCTTACAGAATTATTGAACAATGTACTTTTATCACAAAAAAGAAATTTGGAGAGAATCTAGTTCGTTCTGTTAACCCCCCAAAATACTGAAGCTTTTGGGAATTATCATGCTTGAGGTTGCTTACTGAATGCTGGTCTTCTGCCGCTAGCAGCAATGCTTGTTTCATGGTCTACAATGTGCAGCATCACTATATTCTTTCATTTCCCATAAACAGTTGTGAATGGAATTCCAAGTGCGGAAAATGGGATCAAAATTTGATGCAAACTAGTGAAGATGTTTGACCTTTCCATCTGGCTCAGAGCGGAGCAGTTGTTCAGGTTTAGTAGCCTCAAGCAATTACCTGAGATCTTAAGATTAGCATGTTATGATAAGAAGATGTAATATTTCATGTTAACAACTGAGTGGGGAAAGGGAAGCATACATACCGCATTAGTGTGGTTTCTTCATATAAATGTGTGGTAACACAACCCTACTCAAAAAGGCATTAGATGTGATCCCAAGCACAATGTTTGGATCGCTATACCAAGTGATTTAAAGAGATTCCACTGCTCACATAAATACACACTCATGGATAATAACGGAAATCAGAAAACTGAAAAATGTATTACAAGTTTAATTCTGATTAGTTTTGCTGTGTGTGTGTGTGTGTGTGTGTGTGTGTGTGTGTATTTTTTTTTTCCCCATATATATATAACTGCAGTTAACTTCCCTGCTGACTGTGGAACCTGACCTCACCACAAAATCTTACTTAATCTCCCCAAAATAACAAACAAATCTATGAACATGTTTTCCAATTATTCAGGCTTAATACTAAAACATAATGAAATAAACCATGTAGTCAAGCAGAACCCTTTAAAATTCTCCATCCATCCTTATTTGCTACATGAAATTTGCAAACTATCTTTAAGGACCTAGGCATCTTTACACAGAATCTTATCTTACTCTTTGCTTGATGTGTTTTAGTGGTTCTCAAAGTGTAGTGTGCAAAAATAATTTTTTTTGTCAAAATCACCTTAAGAAATTAATTGTATATCCCATAAGTACAAGACCCATAGATTATATACACAACCCTAAAAAATTGTTTTTGCACACTACACTTTGAGAACCACTAAAACACATCAAGCAAAGAGTAAGATAAGATTCTGTGTAAAGATGCCTAGGTCCTTAAAGATAGTTTGCAAATATATATATATATTCCCCTTCTGGAACTGTGCCCATTGAGGCATACATGTAGTCAGCAGGTGCAGCAGGCATTATCAGTGCTTCACCCATATGCCCTTCATCCCTTTACTACATTATCTCCAATCCCTTTACTATTTTCGTGCCCTCAGGCTTTCACTGCACTTTCAATTCCAACAGCTAGCACCAGGATCTCTTGCTGGAGGGCCGCCTACTTTGCTGGCATGCACTGAGAGTTAAAGTACCTGGGAATTTACATCCTTTGAGTGTCAGCCTCTCATCAATGGCTGAATGGATCAAGAATATAAGTACTCCAAGGACAACTCTGAGGAGTGACCTCTTCTGTTTCTTGACCTCCCCTGCAGAATTAGGCCAAAGTTACCTTCCATGGGAGCTTGCTTGGTATGTCATCTTTTTGCTCGGCCACATTTCCCCGTGACCCAGTCAGTTTTTCCAGGGAACAGTTTATGATACATCATTTTCACATGAATCCTCATGTCAGTATCCACTCCTGGGGAACCTGCTCTACTGAGAGCAATGTCAAAATCACCTTAAGAAATTAATTGTATATCCCATAAGTACAAGACCCATAGCTTACATACACAACCCTAAAAATTGTTTTCGCACACTACACCTTGAGAACCACTAAAACACATCAAGCAAAGAGTAAGATAAGATTCTGTGTAAAGATGCCTAGGTCCTTAAAGATAGTTTGCAAATTTCATGTAGTAAATAAGGATGGATGGAGAATTTTAAAGGGTTCTGCTTGACTACATGGTTTATTTCATTATGTTTTAGTATTAAGCCTGAATAATTGGAAAACATGTTAATAGATTTGTTTGTTGTTTTGGGGAGATTAAGATTTTGTGGTGAGGTCAGGTTCCACAGTCAGCAGGGAAGTTAACTGCATGTGCAATGATGAAATTAACCTGTGTCTTCTAAAGTTCACTTATTCACAATTCCTATGTATTGAGTATGTGCTATGTGCCACATATTATTCTAAACACTGGGAGTAAGGCAGTTAACAAACTAGACAGATTCCTGCCCTCATGAAGCTTATATTCCAGTGGGAGGAGACATAACAAACAAGCTATTGTATAATATATTAGATGGAGAAAAATACTATAAAGAAAAATAAACCAGGGTAAGGTGGGTAGGGAATGCCAGAGTGGAGGACACTATTTTCTTTGAGTGGTCAGAGTGATCTCACTGACAAGGTGACATTTGAACACAGACCTAAAGGAAGGGGGAGACTAGCCACGCTGACATCAGGTAAAAGGCATTCCAGTGAGAGGAAACAGCGTGATTGACATGGATCTTCTGCTGAGAGGAGCGGTGTTGGTTGTTGGCCACATCCTAGCTGCTTCCCTCTGGGTCCACTGTCACATTCATGTGGAAGCCACATTTCCACTGAGCCACTCTAACCCATTGTGGGAGCACAGTGAGATCCTAATTCAGGCCACTCTTGTGAGGCAGGGATAGACACCCATCTGGCCTTCTGGAAACTTCCTTAGGACTGCACTGCAGTCTGAACCCTTCTTGCACAATCTGTCTTCCATATCCTCTTCCTCACAGATGTCAGGTTGGCATTGCTGTCAAAGGCTCCTCCTACCTTCTCCCCCTCCCTCCCTTTTATCGTTCACCTGCACTTCCCCTCCATACATTTCACGCACATCTAATTCCATCTTAGCATTTGCTTCTTGGAGAGCCCAAACAAACACAAGCAGCAAAGGCAATGGCCCGAGGCAGGAGCACGCTTGATGTCATTGAGGAACGGCAAGATCTGTGTGGCAGGAGCAGGCTTAGAAAGGGGCAGGGTGGCAGAACATGAGGACAGGCAGAGACAGAGGTCAAATCTGGAGGGCCGGGCAAGCATCATAAGGACCTGGAGTTTTTCTCTGAGTAACACGAGGTCACCTTTGGAAGGGGATGACCAGGATTGGGTGATATGATCCAACATTTTAAAAGGATAGTTGTCCCTGCTGCATGGAGGGAAGGTTATAGGTGAAAAGGGCAGGGAGATCAGAAGCAGAGATGCCACTGAAGAATCCAGACCAAAGATGATAGTGTTTGAAGAAAGTGGTAGTAGGGGAGGGAGTGAGCAGTGAGTGAATTCTAAAAATATTTGAAGATAGAGCCAACAGGATTTGCGGATAGTTAGGGCATGTGGTGTGAGAGAAAGAAGAGTCAAAGGCTTTTGGCCTGTGCAAATAGAATTGGCATTCATGGAGACAGGAAAGACTAGGTATTGTGAAATATCATGATACAAACCCTAGTTTAAGTAGATTTCTTCTGCTCGTATGCTGAAGTGGTGCTTGGTTTATATCTCTGCTTCATCAGAAGTCAGTCTTTTTACAGTGACTGCTGCTGCTATTCTAGATACCTATCATTGAGTGCTCACTCACTGCCTACTGCCCTAGTGTTTATGTTATCATAGTTATTAATTATATAAATGTGTTATGTATTTGTATTTATATATATAAAAAATATTAAAAAAAATCTCTTCCCTCACTTCATTTAATCTTAACCTCATGAAATTAGCCTCAGGTATTGTGTTGTTTTCTGGCTGGAGGTCACATAGAGTTGCTGCCAGACTCAGAACTGAATGGAACAGAATCCGGGAGGGTGAGGCTCTGATACCATGCTCCTCCTTGTGCTAAGGGCTTCCTGGTGCCTGTGCGGCCCTTCTGTAGCTGCTCTGTTTACCACTGTCTTCCTGACTATGTCTGGAAGCATCTTCAGGACAGGATGGTATCATAATCACCTTTATATGTTCCACTTAAACTACTAAGCTTCCTTGCATATAGTAAGTTCCATGTTTCCTCATGGTATTTTGTGAATTCTGTGTACCTGACTCTGCCCCCACCTACCTCATAACTGACCAATGAAACGTTATGAGAATTCCTAAATATCATCATATCCACTGGCCTGACAACATCCAGCGGCTTCCAAACTTGTCCCTTACCTGTCTGACACTGCATGGCCCCACTCTAAACTTGTGTCTGATTTTTAGCAGGTGGTCCTCGGACTTTATTTCCCTGGTATCTCTGGGCTCCTCCAGCACCCAGGAACTTCAGAGAGAAGACCCTGTATGAAATCTAGGACCCAACACCTCATTTCAGATGCTAATGATGATCCAAGTGTCCCTGCTAGAGAGAGATGTGGATGCATTTAATTTTTTTGTTGTTGTTGTTGAGACGGAGTCTTGCTCTGTCACCCAGCCTGGAGTGCAGTGGCGCGATCTCGGCTCACTGCAAGCTCCACCTCCCGGGTTCACGCCATTCTCCTGCCTCAGCCTCCCAAGTAGCTGGGACTACAGTGCATTTAATTCTTTGGTCATGCCACCTCTTTTCCCTGATATCTGAAGGGCTCCCTTTCTGTCAACTGAGTTAGTCATAACTTCAGAACACTTATGTTGTTTGACACGTGTGAGTTATGTAGGCAGGTTGGGTTTCCATTGCAAAAGAAAATTCAGAATGGCAAAAAATGGACTAATTGCTAAATTACTTTTTTTATCCATTCGCAATTACTTATATAAACTTGAATGTTAACTCCTAATTATTTGGCAACAACAAAATGCATTTGTAAAGATTCACCTTCAAAATGGCCAGTAGCTTTCTGACACTCTCCAGCTGATAATAACTCTGGACTGTGGATATCTCATCAGAATTAATTGCAGCAGACTGGAGTCCTGCAAATGCTAAAATGTCTTTAGTTTTATGGACCAATAGATGCTATGGTTCAGCAGTTCTGC
Organism: Homo sapiens; assembly: GCF_000001405.40. Taxonomy (NCBI): domain Eukaryota; kingdom Metazoa; phylum Chordata; class Mammalia; order Primates; family Hominidae; genus Homo; species Homo sapiens. The sequence goes on from NC_000003.12 coordinate 59,275,739, forward strand.
TTTACTATTAGTAAGTACCTTGAATCTTTTGGGAGGCAGCTCAACAAACCATTGTAACCTTTATAACCTTTATAAATTAAATGAGAATTAGTGACTATGCGTGTTGATGGTGAGTATCAAGAACAAGGACATGGAATAAAAATAACATCCTTTTTATATCTACCAAATAATTTAACATGTAAAAGCTTGCTTTGCCTGAGAGGTAAAAATAAAGCAGTCAGCCAAATATAAAATATTCATCATATGCATGGGAAATATCTGACATGTTTAGGGAGTAGACTGATAGTCAAAGAAGAAGAAAACCCTATAATAAGGTCAGAACATAATTTCAAGAGTTTAGTGGATAGGATATGGTGCCAGAAAGACATATGTCTCCAAATCAAGGTGAAGATCTATAGTATAACAGTCATATCTAAACCTATAAAGGACTAAGAGACTGGGATTTCCGCACATCACTGGTTCTTCCTGTATGTCGTATGTTCACATGAGAAGTGGAACATTTTTATTATTGAGGGCATATAATAAAATAGATATATAGAATTTCCCATGGGTAGATTGTCAAAATTTCACGTGATCTGGCTCCCAAAACCTGGAGAAGACAGAAGGTGGTGCATGGGGACGTGGGGGATGATGATAAGCAGAGAGGAGGAAGAAACTTTAGAGACTTGATATAAATTAACAGAGCATAGCAAGAAATAAGAATGGGCTTTCAAAAATTTTAAATTTGATTGAGTTGGTAAAAATTATTCATTATCATTGTCAAGAATGGCCCCACACAAAACTGTTGACTATATATAGTACAGAACATTGTGCTTAGGATCAGAGAGATAAAAAGACATTAATATTAATATTTTAATCCATTTAACATCATTTATTATGTGCCCTCCATGTATGAGATATTGTGTTAAGATGCTAGGGCAAGGCTGGCACATCCTGGTACCAATGCCAGCAATTGTTCCCATGACAGACATTACCAATCAATTATAGCTCTCTTCCTACTGCTTCTGGTCATGGCCATAGTGGATTTTTCAGCACAGGTGCAGATCCTACTATTGGCAGAGACCAGATGGAGGCTATTGCAGTAAAGTCAGTTAACACAGGGTGAGAGTTGGAATGAAGCTTGAAAAGTGGGCATAGGGAAGTGAATAAATTCAAAAGATAGTAAATAGGTAAAAGACAATATTTTAAATGATTGCACGGTGGCTGAGGATGGAAGTTGCTGGGACAAAGTCAGGGATCACATCAAGGTTTCTAGCCTGGGTAATTGGATGGATGGTAATATACTTCACTGAGGTTTGCGAGAAAGAAGAGGGCTTGTGGAGACAGGGATGAGCTCATTTTAAAGTACTTTGAGTTTTAGGTTTCTGTGGGCCATCCAAACAGAGATATCTAGCAAGAAATTGAATCTCTGTGTCTGTAATTTAGATGCACAAGCAAAGCTAATGAGATGACAGTAGAGGGTGGTTGTTATAACACATAGACACTGGAGGTCCATTATTCGGTTTGAATCCTGGTTCCACCAGGCATCAGCTGTATGACCTTGGTCGAGTTTCTTAATATGTCCTAATCTCCTGTTTCCTCATCTTTAGCTTGGAGATAACAGGAGTACCTATCTCACAGGATCATCTCGAAGATTCAATAAATGCCTGGCACACACATAGTAAGCACTGTGTGAATGTGAGCTTTCATTATCATTGTCATTATATCTAAAAAGTGCTAAGCAAATATTTGTAGAATGAATGAATCAATGAGATTACTCAGAGAAAGTATACGGAATGAGAAGACAAGAAGAATAAGAATAAAAACCTGAGTTTATTATTCCTTAGAATGTTAGTATTCTAGTTCTATAAGAATTCAGTTGCTTTGAAATTTACTTCAAGGAACAAAGATAAATTCAGATCCAAATATTATTTCTCTAAAAATGTTTTATTTATTTTTATTTTTTTGTAGAGACAGAGTCTTGCTATATTGCCCAGGGTGGTCTCAAACTCCGGGCCTCAAGTAATCCTCCCGCCTCTGCTTCCCAAAGCTCTGAGATTACAGGCACGAAACAATGCACCCAGCCCCAAACAATAAATTCTTATCAGGAGCACAGAAAGGAGATTCATTGTGCCAGGAAAAAAGATTGTTTGAAGACCAGATAGGGTAGTTAATCTTGAACCAATTAGGTCCTTCTAGAAGGAACAGTTCTGTCGAAAAAGCAAGTGTGGGCTAGCCAAGCACTCACACTTGGTTAAAAGGCAAGATGAGGAAGCAAGGGTCAAGGTTTTGTTGCTAAAACAGTTGGCAGAGTTGCAGCAAGCAGCATGGTGGCCAAAGCAGTCATTTACATGACACTGGAAATAACAAATTTGGTGTGCTCCCACAACAAACATGCTCCTGACAAGATGTGTGAGAGTCACAGCCTGGTACATCAGACCATATTTTATTAGCTACTAGTCCAACTGGAGAAACACTGTTTTTGAAAGTCTGCACTAATAAATGCCACTCACCTCCCGCAAAGTTCTCAAGCCCAAACCCCCAAAGTCATCCTTGATTCCTCTCTTTACTTTGGCCAGTTCTTCAGGAGCCCTGTCAACTCACAAAAGGATATCTTACATCCACGATCCTTTCTTTGTCTCCACTCTTATCCTCCTGGTACTAGGCAGCATCTTCTCTTGCCTGGGTAGCCTGCAGTAGCCAACAGTCTCCCTGTTTCTCCCTGTAATCCAGTCTCCAAATCAAGCCATGTAACTACCCAGCATAGAGCACAACCCATGTTCTTACCTGCAGGACTTTGCGTGATCACCTCTTTCATTTTGCCCTTCCTCCCATCTTCTATGCTTCAGCTTCACTGGCCTTCTCGCTTTTCTCGGACACACCACACTCTTTCTTGTCTGAGGGCCTTTACGCCAGCTGTTCCTTCTGTGACGCCTCTAGATTTTCAGAAGATGGAGTCCTCTAGTCATCAAGGTTCTTATCTGCAGTGTGACCCCCTCAGGTAGCCTGCTGTGGACATTGTGTCTGTCCAGCCCCTCTCCACTGGTCACCTTCTAAGATGTCCTATTCAATGGCCCTCGTTGCACTTCTCTAATATTTTTGCCATGATTTAATTATTACTTGTTTTTTGTTGTCTCCCCGACTGGAACATCAGTTCTGTAATAGCAGGGGCTGGGGTGGACCAATTTATTCATTAGGCACAGTAGGCACAGTGCCTAGAATCCATGATACTTTCTGGGGTCCACAAAAATGTTTTAATTTTCATTTACTTAAAAATTAGAAGAAAAAATAAATATAAGAATCACAAATACAGAATAATGAATTCAGCCTGGAGTAAATTTGTCTTCATATGTGGTCATAAAATAATTTTTTTTGTTTTTTTTTTTTTTTGAGATGGAGTCTCATTCTGTTGCCCAGGCTGGAATGCAGTGGCATGATCTCGGCTCACTGCAACCTCCACCTCCCAGGTTCAAGCGATTCTCCTGCCTCAGCCTCCTGAGTAGCTGGGACTACAGGCATGCACCACCATGCCCAGCTAATTTTTGTATTTTCAGTAGAGACAGGGTTTCCCCATGTTGGCCAGGATGGTTTCCATCTCTTGACCTTGTGATCCACCCGCCTCGGCCTCCGAAAGTACTGGGATTACAGGCATGAGCTACCACGCCTGGCCATAAAATAATATTTAAATTTTTTTTTATGGAGGTAGAGACTGATAGAAATCATAATATAGCCATAGAAGTGAGTCTGTCAACTTTGTTCGCCACAGTGTCTCCAGCACCTGGAACTATACCTGATGTCTAGAAAGCCCTCCAAAAACATTTGTTATCCAGATAAATGTCAGTGTCTTGAGAATTTGGGGATCTGGCCTCATGGAACTCAGGTTGTGTGTGGTGTGTGTGTGCATGTGTGTGTGTGTGTGTGTTTGTGTGTGATGGACATCTTCAGTTTGCCACTCTAGACCCACTCTTTTCCCTTCTCTACTTGCTTCCGGGCTGAAGATGCTGATCTATATGTAGATCAATGGCTTTAGGTTGGGTTCAGCCAAGGGGAGATGTGAGGATAGAAGGATAATGAGGTTCCAGTGTTTATTCGAGGGTTTTCCTCCCCACTAAGTCAAAATGAACTTCATCCCCCCATTACTCTAATGAATAACGATAATATTACCAATAATAATACAATTGATATTTATTGAGAATTGATATTTGTTGAGACTAAATCTAGTGTTGATATTTTTATGTAGTGAAATGGTATGATAGCATAATGCAACAGCCTTTACTTTATCCTTAAACTTCACGGCACAAAAATGTTTGCAGACTTCATCAATTTCCTTAAAGATCTCCCTTGATCTTTTGATATTCATATTTTTCATCTCTGATATTTTTATTCTATTACCATGCTTATAGGTTTTCTTTTTTATTGTTAACAGGTCTAGCTTTGTCAGATCCTCATTTGTCAATGGTTTTGTATGTAATTGTGCAACTTTCCTACATCGCTGTTATTAACCTAATAAAACCTGAATCTTTTGCAGTATATGTGATTTTTACAAGCAACATGTTTACTCTGTGGGTTTCCTTGAACTTAGACTAACTACAATGTCATAATGTGAGTCTTTGGCGTTAAGTGGCCCTTGTTTCTGCAAGAACAACTAGCAACCTCTTTTCTGAGCTTCTGATATAAGAGAGTCCACAAAGCATTTAAAGAACACTTTACCTCTGGCAGGAAAATATTTTTTGTGATAAAAATAGACATATGATAAAGCTTAAATTCTTTCAATAAGTAAACACTATGTGGTCCCTGGTTTCTAGGGCATAAAGGGCATGTTTCTGCTTGTCAGCTGACCTTGGTTCTTACCCTTTTATGTTTTTACTTCCATGTTTTCTCTAGAAAATCAAAATTTCAAAATATATAAAATTCTAAAGCTAAGATTTTGAAGTAATTTTAAAGGTAGGCAATGGATAATTAAAACAGTATACATAAATGTCCTTTTTGAAGCATCTCAAATTAGTGACTAAGATAAATTTGGTTTTAATATATAACATCATTAGGCCTAATGGCGAAGTTCATTATAATAATCTATATATAAATTTCCTGGTAATATTACAAGTATTTGGAAGTACATCTCATAAATTATTAGTGAAATGTGAGATAACTAGCTTTATTAGTCCACTAACATATTTATTTTCATCAAGGATATTTATCATATTTCCAAGTAGCTTGCAGCTATATAGATAAGTTTTATTGATTTCTTCATATTTTATTACCTATCTGAATGTCATTATATTCTAAAATATTCTTAAATTCATTTGCTGTTTTTTTTTCTTTTTTTTTTTTGAGATGGAGTCTTGCTCTGTCGCCCAGGCTGGAGTGCAGTGGTGCAATTTTGGCTCACTGCAACCTCTGCCTCCTGGGTTCAAGTGATTCTCCCACCTCGGTCTTTTGAGTAGCCAGTACTACAGGTATGTGCCACCACGCTTGGCTAATTTTTGTATTTTTAGTAGAGATGGGGTTTCACCATGTTGGCCAGGCTGGTCTCGAACTCCTGACCTCAAGTGATCCGCCCACCTTGGCCTCCCAAAGTGTTGGGATTACAGGCATGAGCCACCACGCCTGGCCGATTTGCTTTTGTAATCCATATAAACTATATGTCATGGCTAATTATTGGCACATAATCAGAGTAAAATGTGCATAATTGTTTGGGGGCATCAATGTTGAACTGTGATTATGATTGTTTTTATGATGCTCTTACATGGGTGTTTCATCTACACCTCTGGTCGGAGAAGGCCCAGTTTGACTCTGTATCTTGCCTGCTTTTCCTCCTTGAAGGAGTCCCTGCAGTATAACGGCACTCTCCTCTTTGCAGGTGCTCAGAGTAAACATCTCTAAGTCATCTTCTATTTCATCCACTACTCTCATCCCTCCCTTCCTCCTTCTTCTCCCCCATTCCTCTGTCCAAGAAGTCACCAGGCTCTGTTGCTTCTTTCCAGAGGGGCAGAAGGGAAGACAATTTCTGACAAGAAGATATGGAGAGGCATGGCACGTTTGAGACTGGTGCTCACTGTGGCCAGAATACCAAGTCGTGGGGGACAGCGGTGGTGGGATGTGAGCAGGTTGAGGAAGACCATGCAGTAGCTTCAAGGTCTTGCTTAGGAACTTGGATTTTTCCCTTTACTCAGGGAATGGGAGTCACTGAAAAAAAAAAGACAGAAAAGTGCAAGACAGGGGATTAGCATAATGTGTGCAATGAGAGGAAAGTGAGGGACTTTCAGGTGCCGATGAAAGAGGGATTGAAGGGGAGATAGGAACACAGGCTGGTCAGGGAAGGGAGGAAATTGAAAGGCAGAGAGAGGGTAGGCCATACCCACAGAGGAGGAAGTGGGGCCAAAGAGCAGTTTGGAAGGAATGAGGAGGCAAGACAAGTGGAGGAGAGCAGGTGGTCAGAGGGACCTTTCAGAGCTGAGTATTTGAGAAGCGTATGACCCTGGGAGTCAATTACTGAAGGCCTAGGGTGTATACCATTGAAACAGTTCCAGAGGAACTGGAAAGCGAGGGCTTTGGTGGGGTCATCCCTGGGATGTTGATATTACATTACTGCGGATGTCATTACTGGGTACTGGCAGCATCCAGAGTGGAGAGGAAACCCTCAACATATGGAGGGCAAAATGGATGTCAGTGGATGCTAGGTGTGGGGCAAGACAAAAGAGCTTATTGGCTGGGGTCACTGGCTGAGTTCAAAACCTGGCTCCACCAACTTTCTGATTGTGGGAGAAGGTAGGTCACCCCTCTGTACCCCTGTTTCCTCATCAGTAGAACAGGGGTCATATTAACTGTGTCACAAGGTTGTTATAAAGATCACTGAGATAAAGCATGTAAAGCACTCAGAATAGTGCCTAGTCCATAGCAAGTGCCCAGTCAATATTCACCATCATAACTCAGAGGAGATATAAGCATTGTTTGTGGCCTGGGAAGGTGGCAGGAGAATATTGGATCTCCTTCCTGCTGAGAAGCAGAAAAAACAAATGCCTGAGAGAAAAACATGTCCTCATTTAAAGCAAATGTGTTAGGTCCTCTTCCCCCTGCATCTGTATGCAGAATAAGCAACATTGAGAATCTAAGGTAATTTCTTGGCAATAGACTGAGCTTCCAAAGTGCTCAGAGAATTTTGACAGATGTCTAGAGGGGTTGACCCATAGCCTGGACTATGGAAGACAGTGAGGAGAGGCAGAGAGTTGGGATGAAGACATATAGGACAGAATGGGCTACTCAGCCTTGGAATTCCAAATGAAACTCTGGAGGGGGTGGAGGGTGGGCCATGTTTGCACGATCCCGTGTTATGGTGTGGACAGTGGAAACGGTTATGTTCAGTGTGCCTGGACTATTGGAGCCTCAGAGTGAAGGTCGATTAAAGTACACTTTAGTGAGCGTTCTGAGCAACCAGAAGATGCCATAAGGGACCAGCTCATTTAAGGAGGTATGATAGATTCAGATGTAAAAACCTGTGTACTCTCTGTTTTTGCAAATAGTCCTAAAGCACTTGATTCTGCTTGTCTTGAACCTCATTTCATTTTATTTTGGATTATTGAATTTAGTTCCTAGCTCACGTTTTGGATCTAACCACTTTGTATTCCTGGTTGTGAGTCTTACCTCTTTAGGGAATGGTTCTGCTGCCTCTCCTTATGACACAGCAGTCTAAGACTACTGGGGGTAACCCTCTGCCTTCCATTGGGTTTCCTGGAAACACAATTAAAGATGAGAAGTTTGGCGCTGAAGGTTTATTGGGGAGCACTCTTGGAGGTGAGAAAGGCAACACTGAGCAGAGGGAGAAGCTGATGTGCAGGGAGATTGCACCTGTGGCGTCAGCCAACCCTATGGGGGCCCTGGAGTTGGGATGGCCCTTTAGAGTTGTTCCAAATGAGGCTAAGGAGTCAGACCTTTGTATCTCGGCATTAGCCAGTCATTAACTGTGGGCTGCTCCCTGGGAGTGGGTGCAAACTTGGGCAAGGAATATCCAGGGGTGGAGGCTGTGGGGAGCCTTCACTAGCTGACATTCCCAACAGATGAGGATGAGTGTGTTGGTCCTGGAGAGCAGCCCATGACAGAGCACCACAGTGTCTACTCCCCTCCCCTCAAGGGGCTTACCTTAGCACTCTCCAGCTTGCCTCTGGTTCCTTTTGAGGGCAGTAGTGTTGGGATGAGATGAGAGATGAATAGAGAGAGGCTACAGAGAATGCAGGAGAAGGCCGAAGTCTTGTTTTACATCCTGCACCATTTTGCTCACAGAGAACTGAGGCTGGTGTAACAATATGGACATCACCTTGAGGGTTCAGGAAAGAAAGGGAAGGCAGTTGTGCAGTCTATACCACTCACTCTACCCTTAACTGCACACCCACAGGTCGTCTTTAATATTTACGGGGTTGTTGTCTTATTTGGCAACACTGCTGTGCAATTACAAAGAAATTGATCTACATAGCACATGGAGGCTAACAGCCAGGAGAATGAGCTTTTGGTAATTATCGGATTGTTGAGGGGCTAATTATGACAAAACTGCTCCCTCCTCTAGAGAAGCTACTCTTACAGAAGAAATAGCAGTGAAATCTTCCATTAGGAGTATTTTTTGAAGCATAAGAGCTTGCTTAAATATGAAATTAAAGGCAATACAGGAAAATTTAAAAGTCTGAGAGGTGAAAACAATGACAGCTCTGTTCTAATATATGGAGTGTTGGGATGCCTGATAGAAAAGTGCTGTTTGGGCTGTACAACCAGGGCTGTAAAATTAATGTCCACTGACCTGTTTGAAACATGATCTAGTGAGTGATCATGTCTTCAGCAGGTTTTGTGACTCTTTCTGGGGTAATCTTAATACCAAAATGTGCTTCTTTCATCATGGGGACCTATAGAGCTCCTTTTCGGGGCAATTATTTAAATGATTTTCCCAATATCCCAGAGAATTGTTGATCTCCTGACCACCAGGAGGCAACTTTTGTTGCTTCCAAAGCCAAAAGCAAACGACACTTAAAAAACTCCTCTTGTTCATTCACTGGGAAAATTTCTAAATGATAGCAATTCTCTTATTCCCTAGAATAGAATAAAGGAATGTAGAAAATGTGTTAGAAAGAAACTTCAGATATATCCCTCTTCATTAAAGTGTGAATTTCACTCTAAATGTGCTCATTTCCTACGTTGTAAATTACAGTTAGAAAAAATAAATAGAACCTGGCCATTCCCAAGTTTATGAAATCATGTAGTCTTTCCTGATGAAAAATTCCCCACTCAACAACTAATTTGCTGCTAATGATAATAAGGTCATCCAAGAGCACAGCTGTTGGGTTTCCATGGTACACACATGACTGATTAAAATTACTTAGAAAACCATGGGAGTGGGCTGTTATACTGGTTGAAGGATTGTGCATGGAATGAAGCCCTCGGCATTGATGGGAGCTGGTTAGGCAGCCTGCCTTTAATTAGCAAGGGAAACCTCTCCTGTTTTAAATAATTTATATCTGCATCCAAAGTAGATAATAGAAGGAGTGTAATAATGAGAAAGCATTACTGCTCACCAGGAGGCCTTTTCCAAACACAATTTACCAGCACAAGAAGTACCTGGGTTTGAACACTGTTCACCCCCCCGACAAAGCTCAGCCTAAACAATTGACTCTTCTGATGAGATTATTTCCCATGCAACAGAAACTTGTTAATCTAGTAAACTAGGCATAAACAGAATGTGGTGTTTAGTAAACTAGGCATAAACAGAATGTGGTGTTTTTATATCTTTGGTGAGCAAAAAGCATCTGAATTCTTTTCTTCTTTATTCTGTACTTTTAGGAAAAAGAAATGCACCCTTTACTTAAATTCTACACCATCCCTATTTTGTGCTTTGGTTTAAATAACTGGCTAAGCCATTGAAATAAATGCCATTTTATTGAATGGGGAAAATGTAGATTGATTCCATTTATATAAATAATAAATTCTCTGAACACATAAAATATTTCTTGAGCTGCATTAGTGCACATTTGCATTTCTCTTTAATATGAAACAGCTGTTGTATTTTTCATTTTATGATGTTTTAAAGAGAACGAAAGAATTGAGAACAAACATGAATCACACATGCCCACTACGTTTCATTAAAGACAATATTATATTAATTCCCATTGCTCCTGAGTCTGGTGGAGAACAGAAACTTGCTTCATTTTTAAAACCCTGAAAGTTAACATAGAAACTTTAGTAAGCATTTAAATTATCAACTTGAAATGAGAAAGGGAGTCGGCTCTGATATGCATCAGCTTAACTGCACCACTCTGGATTTAGGAGCCGGCAAAGTATAGAATTTACTTACATAAATCAAATCATTCTGGTGAAAGGTAGCCATGTAAATCCCCATTTCTCACCTGGCATTCTCATTTGGGTAGAAGAATTGATTCTCTTAGCAATGGAATAAGCTGCCCTCCTTGTCCTTTTGCTAACATAGTTTCTTTATAGTTATGCAAACTAAATTTCAGTCATCTTCCTTATCGTGGCCTTGGGAAATAAAAATCTGGCTGGTTAAATATGGCTGATGGTTTTCATTATAGTTTGATAGCCTACATTCTATATGTATAACAATAACTGAAACTAGATTTTTTTTCTGACATGCCTGAGCTGAAAATCAAATGAGTTTTCAGTCACTGTGGACTCATGACTTCATGTTTTTGATAGGATTCTGAGAGCACACTCTAAGAAGACCCTTTTGTCCTCTTTTCTGCCTCCCCTCTCTCTTGATTCTATGCTTTGGCACTATGGCCTAGTGGAATCAAACCATTGTATTTTAGAGTCAGGTCTATGTAGTTCAGAGCTTTGACTCTCCCTCTAAACTAGCTTGTGGATTTTGGCAAGCTAAATGAACTCTGAGCTCCAGGTTCTTGATTTTGTAAATGAGAATACTAATTGTTGTCTCCCAAGATTGTTATAAGGGTTAAAAGAGACAATCTGAGTAACAGTCCCTGCCATTGGGGCCCAGGACCCAGTAGGATTTGCCAGATGGTCACCTCTTTCTTTCTCCCTTTCCCTTCTCCTCACTTCCTAGCTCAAGGAGACAGTGGCTTGGCAGTTGTCAAGGACTGTCTCAGCTACAGGCTAAGAGTGGCTCCTACGGTTTGTAAAGTGTCATGAGAAAGCTTCCCACAGAGGACATGAGTCATTACCACTGTGGACATGACAGCATCCCTGTGTGTGTTGAAATGTCAACCCCAGGCTCAGCACGACATATTATGTTGTGAAGGTAAATCACAAATGGCAGCCTGGAAGCAGGGGGATTCCAAAGTTCTCCAGAAATACTTAAGAGTAAGGCACTGCCCCAGACTCAGACTAGAGTCTCTCAGACCCCTTTAGAGCCCCCAGGAGTGGGATCTGGAAAGCCCTGTGACTGGAAACTGAATAAGGCAGCAGAAATCTACCAGGCTAGGATGTGGCCATAGTCAAAACCAGAATAGTCAGAGTTCACAGAATCAAGAATATATGCCAGGATTCAATGGCTGAAAATATATTTTTCATTCTTATAAACAACTGTACAGTGCAGGGAGAACTTCCACATTTATCACTGTGAATTTCACAACTCCTATGCAGTGAGGATGATTTGCCTAATTTTATCAGTATGGAAAGATAAGCTCATTGAGATGAAACCTCTGTATAACTCCACCTCTTTCTGTAGTGGGAGGTAGTATGTAGAAATTACACATGTCAACTCTAGAGTCAGACACCTTGGCTCAAATCCAAGCCCTGGCACTTCCTTGCTGAGTGTCCTTGGACACATTAGTTATGTAACTTGCTTGAAATTCAATCTCCTCAGGTGAAAAATGGGAATCACTTTTTAGGGTTGCTCTAAAGAGTCAATGAGGTAATGGGCTATTTGTTCAAGCCAAACCTAGGAACCTTTCTTTTCTCTCAAACTCTTCATTCTTTCTCCTTCCCATGCCCCAACCCTGCTCCTCTTCTAGCCTTTCTCCCCTCAACAAAGGGTAACCTATCCACCCATTCATTGTTCAAGTCAGTAACTAGATGTCATCCTTAATTCCACTTTCTACCCCATTGTCCTCCCTACCCTCCTTTCCAATCCAGAAGTCTGTCAGCTCTGTCTCCAAAATACTTCATGAATCTGTCTGCTGGTCTCCATTCATACATTCAAATCTGATAGCCTCTGACTGTGCAACTACAGCAGCCTTTGCTTTTACTCATGACCCTTATAATCTATTCTCCACATTACAGCCAAAGCAACCTTTTGGAAATATAAATCATACCTTGAGACTCTAGTGCTTAAAAATCTTGCAGCGGTTTCCTGCTGCATCTAGACTAGAATCCAAACTCCCTTCATGGCTGCTGCTCACCAGTCAGAGCCCATCTCCTACCATTTCTCCTCTTGTTTCCCACAACCCCATCAAACTTGTCATTGCAGAGCTTTTTGAATGTGCTGCCAGCTGTGGTTGGAATGTTCTTCCTCTCATCTTTTGGAATTTAGAGTCTGAAAGCAAATATACGACCTAAAGATTCCTTTCCTGAGCTCCCTATCTAAAGTAGACCCCTATCCTAGTAATTGTAAAATCACCAAAAAAAGAGATTTTTGTTTATTTAATTAAAATTAAATAAAATGAAACTCAACTTTCTCTATCTTCTCATACAACCTTCTTTGCTCCTGTATGAAACATGTCATTTTCTACATTGATTGGTTGTGTCAGAATGACTGTTTTCAAATGATGCTATGTAGAGCCCAAGGGGTCCCTGGGTGTAATTCAGGGCCCGAAAGTTCTGGGGCTTGAGATGCTAAATTAGCTGGAACCCAGGACTTTGACCTTGACTTCAACTGGAAAAGCTGCATTTTTGTCTGTTTTACTTGGTGAGGTTCTATATGAGATTACTTTTGTTACAAGTTTGAAAACCACTGGTCCTTTTACTCCTGTTAAATTTTCTGCTCAGACCTCTTGATGATAGGATTTATCTCTGCTTCATTTTCTCATCTCCACCCTGCCTGGTCCAGCAGTACAAACTCAAACAGTTCTGGTTGGTTGAATGAAGGAGTCAAGACCTAGGGAATAGGGCCTAGGGCCTAATGCAGCTCCACTCCACAGCCCTATGCACAATTATTGAGCCTCTTTGCAATCAAATTTTTGGCCAGTCAGGGAGTAGAGGTTTTTCCCAACATCCTCATCACTGTCAGTGTTAGCATACATGTATACAGTTTATGCCATTTTCTGCCCTGTGAATTATTTTCTCTGTAACAATTATTTGGGTTTTGATTTATGGTTTGCTTTCCCTTTTCTGATCTGTTTACACCTCCTAATAACTTTCCATTCATCCAGTTTTCCCTCCAGGGAGTTTAACCAGATTGGCCAATTAGCACTTCCCTTTTAACAAACGGATAAATATTTCACTCTACTCAAGTATGGAGGACACCTTGCAGTGATGAGATAAATCGGAACTTCCCTATAGATTTTCTTTACCTAGAGTGAGTGCATCACTTGAAGCAATTACATCAATAATAATAATGCACACACGGGCACATATTTCATGGTTATACCTCCACTGGGAGCTTTGATTTCTCCTTGGAGTCAAGGACTGTGGAATCCCATGAGATTTCTCAATTTGCTTGGAGGTTAGATGGGATATGTAGTTTAATATTATAATATATGATGAATGTTAGTGCTAAGTGAGTTTAGATAAAATGTATTATGTCTAATATATTTCCATACCTCCCCCATAAGGTCAGTAGAGTTATATATTATCATATATTCTAAAAGACTGAATTTGATTTACCATCTTTCCACATCCCAGATGGTCCTTACCTTCTGCTAATTAGCTACTCAAATAAATTGGGTGACAATTCTAAGAAAGCACAATTGATATATTAAAGTGTTAGTTTATTTTAAATAATGAGTATCATTTTATGCCTTAGCTCTTTTATTTATAGAGTTTCTTGCTATATCTCTCAATGAATTAGTGGTTTTGCTGGAATACTAAATTGTCCTTGTTTAACTGAGGAACAATAATCAAGTTGGCTTTTGATGCACTGGTAATTTATAGCTGTGCAGGTGACGATACCAGCATCAATCTGTGATGTTCTTTTATCAAGACTAATTCCAATGTAATATTTCAATTTAGTTTTCACTAAAGCATTCAATTTGCATTTAAAAGGCAGTCAATATAGGTTAATAAAATGGTGTCAACTAATAAGCTATTCTGCTTGTATAACACTGCCCTTCTCACCATGAATTGTCTTGGACTGACATCCCACTACCCTGGGTGCCAGCCAAAAAGACATCTGAATGCCTACTAGTGCCATTTACCCAGGGATGCTAAATATGGGTGGATTGAATGGCAGTCTGCTATTGTTTTTCTGTCTATGCCAAGGTAGCTGGGTGTGTGGGGAACACAAAACCGAATTAAGACACATTATATAACCTAGTGGGAAAATAGCTGGTAACAGTACAAGGGAGGGAAATAATTACTCTCCTGCAAGTCCATACAAGATGTGAGAAGAATGCAGAAAAAGGACAGCTTTGTTTTTCTTGGGCTTGGGAAAGGCTTTACAGATGGCATGGCCTTGGAACAAGACTAAAGAATGGTGATGGCCGAGGATTGTAGAAGAGCATTTGGGGCAGCATATTGGTTTTCTATGGCTGCTGTAACAAAAGACCAGCAACTCAGAGGTTTAAAACCATGCCCACTTATTATCTCAGTTTCCATGGGTCTAAAGTCTAGCACAGCCAGCATGACTCAGTTGATTTTTGCTTAGGTTCTCACAAGGATACAATTTAGGTGTCTAGAGCTCTGGGGAAGAATCCACTTTTGAGGCCATTCAGGTCACTGTCAGAATTCAGTTCCTGTGGTTGCATGGCTGAGGTCCCAATTTCCTTGCTGGCTGTGAGCCAGGAGCATCTCTCACCTCCTTACAACTGCCTGCATTCCTCAGCCCATTATCTTTTCCATCTGGAGTCTCTTCTCTGCCTTCTCCTTCTACTGAATCTCTCTAACTCCAGTGGAAGAAAGATCTCTGCTTTAAAGGGTTCATGTGATTAGATTGGGTCTACCGAGATAATTCAGAAAAATCTCTTTCTCTTAAAGTCTATAACCTAAATTATATTTGCAAAAGACTGTTATTGTAACATATTGGCAGCTTCCAGGGACTGGGGCCTGGACATATTTGGAGGCCATTCTGCCTACCACAGTGAGCGAGAAGAGTTCAGGATCTCTTCATAGCAGTGGTAAGGAGTCAGATATGTACAGAGGGTTGGGACAGGAAATGGAGGTGAGGAGGCAAAATTGATCACTCCTTTTTATGCATACTCATGACACTTTGCTGACTCTACTAAGAGTAAACTCAGATTATATGGGGTTCTTTTTCCATTTGCCCCTGAGGCCAGGAACCTAATTTTATTCCATTTTGTACCCCAGTGCTAGAATTCTACTTTCCCTTCTAATAGGTAACTGGTAAGTATTTTTCAAATTGAGTTGAAGAAAAGTGATGGCAATTGATGACAACAAAATATCATTTCTTAGGCTGGGGAGTAAATATCTAAATGAGGATGGTCAGACAGAGGTGGTAGCAGAGATTATTTTAGAAGGGGTCTTACGACACGACTGGAATCACTTCATGGAATGGACTTCGTATTTCTCTGTCATGCTTACTGCCTATGCTCTTGGATCATGCACTACCTTGAAGATTTCTGTCTTTGAAGTTACTGCTGTACTTGATTTTGGTATTTTTAGACTGGTACATTACTTTCCCGGCTTCTCAGCAATCCACAGCCCCTCCACACTGAAAAGGGTTCCTCATGTTTTGACTAAAGGTAGCCTGCCTTCAGTTGACCATCTATGAGCTGTTCAGTTAACTTGTTGGGTTCCACAGGACTAAGATCTAATGACATCAGTACTTGGGGTTTAATAGAGAAGCTATGCCTTGGAAGTCAATTGCTGTGGATTGTGATTCGTCTACTTCACATAACTCCTTTGAGACTCAGTATCCTTATCTATAAAATGGGGCTATGGCATCTAACAGATAGTCACACAGATGAAATGAGACCACATAGTTAAGTGCTTAGTACTTAATCATTAATTAAATTAATTGTAAATAAATGTGATTTCTCAACTCGTCCTCAAAATGATTGTAGTCCATAAATTGATTATAGTCCTCAAAATGAGTGTAGTTCATAGTAGCCAATTAAATTAAATTAAATTAATTAATAATGACCACACTGGTGTAATTTACACATGAAATACCTACAATATTAACAGAAAAAGTGGCAATTCGTGTCCTAGTGATAGGATACCCATTTCCCCTGCCCCCCAGTTGGTCCCTCCATTTTCCTACTCTGCCTCTCTCATTGGATAGGTGCCTCTGTTTCTGTGCTAGAAAAGCATGGGACAGATTCAGAGTCAGGGTTCCTCTAATAACCTGAGGGATTCTCCATGTCAGCCTGAAGAGATATCTCTCTCTCTCTCCTTGAGGACTTGTTTTACTTTGTGTTCAGTAGCTTATTATGTGCTGTCTGTGACACATCATTTCTTCTTTTTTTAGGTGTTTACATCTTATTTCTCAAACTATTTTATGAGCATCTAGTCACTCATTCCAACATATTTCTTTTTATTTTTATTTTAGTTTCAGGGGCACATGTGCAGGTTTGTTATGTGGGTAAACTCTGTCATGGGAATTTGATGTGCAGATTATTTTATCACTTAGGTAATAAGCATAGTACCTGATAGGTAGTTTTTCTATTCTTATACTCTTCCCACCTTGCACCCTCTATTAGGCCCTAGTGGTTTTTATTATCTTCTTTGTGTCCATATGTACTCAAAGGTTAGCTCCCACTTACAAGTGAGAACATGTGGTATTAGGGTTTCTGTTCTTAGGTTAGTTTGCTTAGGATAATGGCCTCCAGCTGCATACACGTTGCTGCAAAGGACATTATCTCATTATTTTTTATGGATACATAGTGTTGCATTGTGTATATGAATCTTTTTTTTTTAATTCAGTCTACTGTTGATGGGCATTTAGATTGATTCCATGACTTTGCTATTGTGAATAGTGCCATGATGAACATATATGTGCATGTGTCTTTATGGTAGAATGATTTATATTCCTTTGGATACATACCCGATAATGGGGTTACTGGGTCAAATAGTAATTCTTTTTTAAGTTCTTTGTGAAATTGCCAAATTGCCTTCCACAATGGCTGAACTGATTTACATTCCTACCAACAGTGTACTTGTTCCCTTTTCTCCACAACCTCACCAACATCTGTTATTATTTGCCTCTTTAATAATAGCCATTCTCACTAGTGTGAGAGGGTATCTTGCCGTGGTTTTGATTTGCATTTTTCTAATGATTAGTGATGTTGTGCATTTTTTTATATGCTTGTTGGCCATGTGTATGTCTTCTTTTGAAAAGTGCCTGTTCATGTTCATTGCCCACTTTTTAGTGGGGTTGTTTTTTGATTGTAAATTTGTTTAAGTTCCTTACAGATGTTGGATATTAGAACTTTGTCAGATGCAGAGTTTGTAAATAGATGTTGGATATTAGACCTTTGTCAGGTGCAGAGTTTGCAAATATTTTCTCCCATTATGTAGGTTGTTTGTTTACTCTGTTGATAGTTTTCTTTTGCTGTGCAGAAGCTCTTTAACTTAATGAGGTCTCATTTGTCAATTGTTGTTTTTGTTGAAATTGCTTTTGGTGTCCTCATCATGAAATCTTTGCCAGGTCCCATCTCTAGAATGGTATTTCCTAGATCATCTTCTAAGATTTTTATAATTTTAGGTTTCACATTTAAGTCCTTAATCCATCTTGATCTGATTTTTGTATATGGTATAAGAAGGGGGTCCAGTTTCAATCTTCTGCATACGGCTGGCCAGTTATCGCAGCACCATTTATTGAATAGGGAGTCCTTTTCCCATTGCTTGTTCGTGTCAACTTTGTCAAAGATCAGATGGTTGTAGGTGTACAGCATTATTTCTGGGCCCATTATTCTGTTCCATTGGTCTGTGTGTCTGTTTTTGTGCTAGTGCCATGCTGTTCTGGTTACTGTAGCTCTGTAGTATAGTGTGAAGTTGGGTCATGTGATACTTCCAGCTTGTTCTTTTTGCTTAGGATTTCCTTGGTGTATTAGTCTATTTTCATGTTGCTGATAAACACACACCCAAGACTGGGCAATTTACAAGAAAAAAAAAAAGGAGGTTTATTGGACTTACAGTTCCACGTAGCTGGGGAGGCCTCACAATCATGGCAGAAGGTGAGGAGGAGCAGGTCACATCTTACATTGATGGCAGCAGGCAAAAGACAGCTTGTGCAGGGAAACTCCCATTTTTAAAACCATCAGATCTTGGTAGACCCATTCACTATCATGAGACCAGCATGAGAAACACCTGCCCCCATGATTCAATCATCTTTCACTGGCTCTCTCCCACAACACCTGGGAATTATGGGAACTACAAGATGAAATTTGGGTGGGGACACAGAGCCAAACCATATCATTCCCCCACCTAGCCCCGCTCAAGTCTCATATCTTCACATTTTAAAAACAATCATGCCTTCCCAACAGTCCCCCAAAGTCTTAACTCAGTTCAGCATTAACTCAAAAGTCCACGGTCCAAAGTCTCGTCTGAGGCAGCCAAGTCCCTTCTGCCCATATGCCTGTAAAATCAAAAGCAAGTTAGTTACTTCCTAGATACAATGGGGATACAGGCATTGGGTAAATATAGCCATTTCAAATGGGAGAAATTGGCCAAAGCAAAGGGACTACAGGCCCCACGTAAGTCCAAAATCCAGCAGGGGAGTCAAATCTTAAAGCTCCAAAATGATCTCCTTTGGCTCCATGTCTCACATTTAGGTCACATTGATGCAAGAGGTGGGTTCCAATGGTCTTGGGAAGCTCCACCCCTGTGGCTCTGCAGGGTATAACCTGTCTCCTGGCTGCTTTCACAGGCTGGTGTTGAATGGCTGCAGCTTTTCCAGGCACATGGTGCAAGCTGTCAGTGGATCTACCATTCTGGTGTCTGGAGGATGGTGGCCCTCTTTTCACAGCTCCATTAGGTGGTGCCCCAGTAGGGACTATGTGGGGGGACTTCAACCCCGCATTTCCCTTCCACACTGTGCTAGCAGAGGTTCTCTGTGAGGACCCTGACCCTGTAGCAAACTTCTGCCTAGACATCAGACATTTCCATACATCCTCTGAAATCAAGGCGGAGGTTCCCAAACCTCAATTCTTGACTTCTGTGCACCTGCAGGCTCAATACCACGTGGAAGCTGCCAAGGCTTGGGGCTTGCACCCTCTGAAGCCACAGCCTGAGCTGTACCTTGGCCCCTTTTAATCATGGCTGGAGTGGCTGTAATGCAGGGCACCAGGTCCCTAGACTGCATACAGCATGGGAACCCTGGGCCTGGCCCACAAAACCATTTTTTCTTCCCAGGCCTCTGGGCCTGTGATGGGAGGGGCTGCCATGAAGACCTCTGACATGCCCTGGAGACATTTTTTCCATTGTCTTAGGGATTAACATTCGGCCACTTGTTACTTATGCAATTTTCTGCAGCAGGCTTGAATTTCTCCTCAGAAAATGGGTTTTTCTTTTCTACCACAGTGTCAGGCTGCAAATTTTCCAAACTTTATGCTCGCTTCTCTCATAAAATTGAATGCCTTTAACAGCACCCAAGTCACCTCTTGAAAGCTTTGCTGCTTAGAAATTACTTCTGCCAGATACCCTAAACCATCTCTCCAAAGTTCAAAGTTCCACACATCTCTAGGGCAGGGGCAAAATTCCACCAGTCTCTTTGTTAAAACATAACAAGAGTCACCTTTGTTCCAGTTCCCAACAAGTTCCTCATTTCCATCTGAGACCACCTCAGTCTGGACTTTATTGTCCATATCGTTATCAACATTTTGGGCAAAGCCATTCCACAAGTCTCTAGGTACTGGTGCCATAACCCTAGCGGAGCTACAGTTGTGCTGCCTGACAGCAATAAGATTCCTCTCCAGTCTCCTTGCTGGATGGGACTTGGCACCAGCTTCTAGCCCAATGGTACCGCTTCTGTGTGAATTCAGCTGTAGGGTGCAACTTCCTGTTGTCCTGAAAAACACCTGGATGGCAGAGTGTGCAACCCCACCCACCACTGCCACTGGTAACCAGATGGGCAATGCCTACTAGAGCTTTAGGCTCAGCATCCCTGATCTGTGTAAACTCAGCTAGAGGGAACAGCTTCCTATTGTCCCAGGAAACATCCAGATGGCAGAGCATGTGACGCTGCCACTGGTAACCAGATGGGCAACACCTACTAGAGCTTCCAGCTCAGTGGTCCCACTGTGAACTCAGCCAGTGGGTGCAGCCTCCTGTTGTTACAGGAAGCACCCAGACAGCAGGGCAGGTGACCCCAGTAAGCCCCACTGCTGATAGCCAGGAAGGCAATACCTGCTAGAGCTTCCACCCATCAGTCCTACTTCTGTGGGAACTCAGCTGGAGGGTGCAGCCTCCTGTTGTCTTGGGAAACACCCAGACAGCAGGGCACGTGACTCCTGGCCATTATAAGACAGAACCTTACTGAGCTGAAAAACACACTAGTAGAATTTCATAATGCAATTGTAAGTATTAACAGCAGAATTGACCAAGGTGAGAAAAGAATCTTAGAGCTTGAAAACTGGCTCTCCAAAACAACTCAGTTAGATAAAAATAAAGAAAAAAATAATAAAGAAGAATAAACAAAGCCTCCAAGAAATATGGGATTATATAAAGAGACCAAATCTCATTCTTTTCATCTGTACATGGCATATACTCTAAAATTGACCACACAATCTGGCATAAACCAATCCTCAGCAAATTAAAAAAAAAATTATACCAACCATGCTCTTGGACCACAGTGTGATAAAAATAGAAATCAAGCTAAGAAAATCACTCAAAACCATACAATTACATACAAATTAAACAACCTGCTCTTGAATGACTTCTGGGTAAATAACAAAATTAAGACAGAAATGAAGAATTCTTTGAAATGAATAAGAAAAAAGATACAACATAACCAGAATCTCTGGGACACAGCCAAAGCAGTGTGAAGAGGGAAGTTTATAGCACTAAATACCTGCATCAAAAGATAGAAAGATCTCTAACAGGCTAACATCACAATTAGAGGAACTAAAGAAACAAGAGCAAACCAACCCCAAGGCTAGCTGAAGACAAGAAATAACCAAAATCAGAACTGAACTGAAGGAAACTGAGATGCAGAAATCTATACAAAAGATCAATGAATCCAGGAGTTTGTTCTTTGAGGGAATTAATAATATAGATAGATCACTGGCTAGACTAAAAAGAAAAAAGAGAGAATATCCAAATAAACACAATCAGAAATGACAAAATGGACACCACCACTGACCCCACGGAATATAAAAAACATTCAGAGACTATTATGAACACCTCTATGAACACAAACTAGAAAACCTAAAAGAAATAGATAAATTCCTGGAATGGTACGACCTCCCAAGTTTGAATCAAGAGGAGACTAAATCCTTGGACAGAACAATAATGAGATCTGAAGATGAATCAGATCATTAATAAAGAACCTACCAACCAGCAAAAGCCCAGGACCACATGGATTCATGGCTGATTCTACCAGATGTATAAGGAAAAGTTTGTGCCATTCCTACTGAAATTATTCCCAAAAATTGAGGAGGATAGACTCTTCTCTAACTCATTGTATAAGGCCAGCATTATCCTGATCCCAAAACCTGGCAGAGACATAACAAAAAAGGAAAACGTTAGGCCAACATCCTTAGTAAACATAGATGCAAAAATTCTCAACAAAATACTGGGAAATCAAGTCTAGCAGCACATCAAACAACTAATCCACTTCAATCAAATAGGCTTTATTCCTGGAATGCAAGGCCAGTAGAGATCCCCTTGGACTGTGACTTGCTACCATAAAACATCCAGGTGGCTCTCTGCTTCAGTCTTGAAGCATGGTAGGGGGGGATTGGTGGACGATGGGGATTCTCCCATTCCCAGTCTTGCACAGGTCCCTATGGAGAGCATGAAACCCCTTGTGTGTGGTTGGGCTGGGTATGTGTTTATCAGCAGTATGAAAACAAACTAATTTAGTAAGTTGGTATTGGGAGTGGGGAGTTGCTGGAAAAATACCCAAAAATGTGGAGGCAATTTTGGAACTGGGTAACAGGCAGAGGTTGGAACAATTTGGAGGGCTCAGAAGACAGGAAAATGTGGGAAAGTTTGGAACTCCCTAGAGACTTGTTGAATGGCTTTGCCCAAAATGCTGATAACATTATGGACAATATGGACAATAAAGGGGGCTTTCACTCACTTACTCTTTCCTGTGTTGTAGTGGTTCTCTTGGCCCTGCACTGAGCCCAGACAGGCTGTTGCCCAGCTTTGCTCCTCTGCTTTCTGTGTTCCCCTGATGCCTTGATGGATCCTGACATGGTTTCTCAGATGATTGGCCTGCAGGGTCAGTCGTCATCAGCCCTTTGGTTTCCTCTCCATGAGAGTGGCACACATGAGCTGCTTCTAGTCTGCCATCTTGGCCCTGCAAACACATTTTTTTTTAGCACCTCCTATGTACTAGGCCTTGGAGAGGTAATGGGATCAGGATAGACACAGTTCCAGGCTTTGAGCTCTGATGTAAAGATGGACAGTTAAACAATCAGTTATAATCAGTGTGACACATTGTTACAAGGAACAGAAAGACAGTCATAGGAGCCCAAAGCAAAGGTACTTTTATGCAGTCCATAGGTATAGTACCTTGAACTTAGCAGGTACTCAATAAATATTAATAGATTGAAAATGTTCACAATTTTGCCCTGAGCTTGAGAACTTGATATAGTTGAAAATAGGCAATATTGTAGGCTGGCGTCTTGCAACCTGAAGTCAGGCTACCTCAGATTTCGCAGGGGGTCATGAGATAGAGGGCTTCAACCTGCTCCCCAGCGGAACCCTCAGCACTGCCGGCGGCAGGTTGTCCCAGGTCTGCCTGTTCATGATCTCTCTGCTGCCCTGTTAACAACTTAACCCAATGACCCAAAGCTTCATATGTCTCTAAGGATCTATCCCTGCACTGAGGGGCTCGTCTTACTTGTGTTTTCCAGCTCTCCCTTTTTTCCCCCACCTTTGGCTTCTTTGTTAGTGTTGACTTTGAAGAGATAAGGCTTATTTTTCTAGCAGTAATGTATTTCAGGAAACATTGAAACAAAGGCAAATCATTTTTTTTCTTTCTCCATTTTACTGCAATTGTGATTATTTTGTGAAGGATTGAGAGAGAGGTCACAGGTACCCTCAGCGGGCCCACAGATGGATGTCTGCAGGCCATGATACCCACAAGAGCAGGTCTTCTATTTATGATGCTCATTCCAAATGTATGCAGCTCTCTGAGGCATCCCTCAGACTTGCTCCTTCCCCTTGAAGTCCCAGAACACTTCCCACATAGATCCAAGGACAATGTGCCTTCCAATTCTCCTCAAACCAGTGTGTGTTCTCCAGGAGCTGCTGATGAGGATGGGAAAGAGAATTGTGTTACTCTGATCTTTGCTCTTGACAACCTTCCTTATGTGTGATGAAATATAAATAGTATATGCCATGATTCACTATTAAACCTAGAAGAGAAACGACACTGCGATTCATAAATTAATGTTAAATCTATCTTCTGCGGTGATTGCAGGATTAGGGGGAGCTCACTCGCCTGTAGTTAGCAATGATAAATGATTTCTGAAGAATTTGTTACTTAGTTTTCAGTGGCAATATTAAGAAAAATATTAAAAATACTTTATAGAATCATGAGTGTAGCATTTGGTAAAGTGGCTTTTTTTCCCAATGCCTCTTTTTTTTTTTTTTTTAAATCACGTGGCCTTATAATTACCTGAACTTCTTGACATACTAATTAACTCTGATTTAAAACAGCCATTATTTTTAGAGTTAAGCTTAGTGAACATTGTCTGATATTATTATGTGACCATTAATATGACTAGGGAAAAATGAGATAAGGAAAAGAAGAAGACAGTAATTAAGATGAGTAATTTGGTAACAAAGTTGAACTAAAGCAGGTTGGTGACTCTTCGGCATGTGATAATGTACATTATTGGCATAATTTATCTTTTAAATTAAATTACTCTACTTATCCCAGGCCCCATGTAGGTTAGGTTTTGTTTTTATAGTTATTGGTACATGAAGTGATAGACTTGAGAATAAGTCCTAGGAAGCCATCCCTCTGCAAATTCAGAAACTTTGACCTCTGAATGTTTTATGAAACTAACTAGATCTTGGTGCTATACGAATAGGTACAAGGGGAAAAATTCAGAATGTATCCAATGGGGGAAATTTTTTTTTTGCAGCTTACAATAGGACCCAAATCAAAACGTCTCTTCTCATTCTTGAAAAGGGTGGGCAACAAGCTGCTAGCTGTGGCAAGACCACAATAGCGAAGGTCAATAAAATTACAAAAGTATGGCATAAATGAAGTCAACATTCCTCATCTACTCAATAAAGAGTATATTTCTTGTGATGAAGACACTCCATCCAATATAAAAGAAGAAATTAAATTATCTGTATGCTTTATCTAAGGGGCTCCATCATGTGGATATAAAATCATTTATTTGATAAATGTGTTTATGTATTATTGGTTTCTGTTTTATGTTAGGCATCATTTTAAGTGCTGGAGATTCACCAAAGAATAAGACAGACAAAATTGCTGCACTCAAGGAGCCTGCATTCTAATGGCAGGAATGAAAAAACAAATCAATAAACACATAAATAAATCATAAAATATCAGATCGTGATAAGTGCTATGAATAAAAAGTAGAATGTTGTCATAGAGAGGGACTGGAGGATTGCTTTAGACAGAGATGTCAGAAAAAGCAAGTCTGAAGAGGTGGTGTTTAAGCCAACACCTAAATAATAAGATGAGCAGATTATAGAGGAAAAATATGCCAGGTGGAGCGGACACAGGGCAAAGAACTCCCTGGCAGTCAGGAACTTCGTGTGTTTAAGGAACACAGAGAAGGCCAGAGAGATTGGAGCCCTGTGAGTGTTGGGGAGGTGGTGTAAGCCAAGATCTCAGAGGCAGCAGGGGCAGATGAAGTAAGCCTTCCTGGCTGTGGTAAGGATGTAGTCTGAGTGCAATGGGAAGTTCTCAGTGGGTATTAGGCAGAGAATGGCATGATCTGACATGTATTATTAAAGACTGGCTCATGGAGAAGAACTAGTTAGAAGGCTATCGTGGCAGCCTGGACTGAGGAAATGGGAGTGGACAGGAAGTGATGTTGTGGGTGGATTCAGGACATACTTTGGAGATAGAGTTAATAACTTCTTCTGATAAAGTGGAAGGCAAATGAGAGAAATGGGAAGTCAAGGATGACTGCAAGGTTTCTGGCTTGAGCAACAGGGTGTAGTGCCTGTTAGTGAGATGGAGAAGGCTGGGAGAAGAGCAGAGTTATTTTTTGAGGGTAGGTAGAAATCAAGAGTTCTGTTTTGAACATGTTTGGTTTCAAACGTTTTTTATTTTTTATTTTTCAAGAGAGGGTCTCTGTCTGTTGCCCAGGCTGGTTTGCAGTGGTGTGATCACGGCTCACTACAGTCTTGACCTCCTGGAGTGAAGCAGTCCTCCTGCCTGAGCCTCCAGAGGAGCTGGGACTACAGGCATGCACCAACACATCCAGCTAATTTTTTAACTTTTTATTTTGTAGCGATAGCATCTTGCCACTTTGCTCAGGCTGGTCTTGAACTCTTGGGCTCAAGTGATCCTCCAGCTTTGGCCTCCCAAAGTGCTGGGATTACAGGTATAAGCCACTGTGCCCAGCCTCAAATGCCTTTTAGACATCTAATCACTTGTGCAGCTTTTTAAAGTACAGGTTCTCAGACTACCTATATCATTTAGGAATATGTTTGCTTTCAGGTAAGAGAATAACCAATCAGAAGTGGCTTAAACAAATAAGGGCTGAGCTTCATCAAATCAAAGGATATGCAGAGGTATGTGGCTCAGAGCTGGTGCTCAACAAAGTTATCAAAGACCCAAGCTCTTTGTAGATCCTCGTTATGCTATCCTTAGTGTTTGAGTTATTGCCTATGGTAACATGATAGCAACTGCATCTCCAGGTCACAGTGTCCACATTTAAGTCATTTGAATCAGGAGGAAGTGGGAGGAGTGATGCCAGAGACATTGATCTTTTTCTAATCAAGAAAGCAAAAGTTTTCTTAGAAGCTCTCATTCAGAGACTTCCACTTATCTTAATGACTAGAACTGTGTCACATGGCAAACCCTACCTAGCTGTAAGGGAGTGTGAAAAAGAGAATTTTAGCTGATGCCCTGTACAAAATTGGGGTTATGTTAGCAAGAAGCAAGGGGCACTTGACATTGGGTAGAAAATAAACAATGTCTGCCACCCTGGAAGTTCCAATTTAGAAGGTCTGGGACAGGAGAAGGTGAGGAGGCTGATGGTGCCACATATTCTAATGCGTGTTGAGATTGAATATTGACTGGTGTAGACAACAAGTAGAGCTCAGGAATGTGCTCAGAAGTGGTTCCTGTTTGTCCTCAATTCTTATACAGTCTATTCTGCCACTTACCTAGTGACAGATTAAGGAAGGCAACAGATTTGGGTCAATCTATCTTCTGAGGCTACCCTTTAGACATCTTTCTATGGAGTAAATTAGTTTATTAAATCAGAGGTAATTCCTTTTCTAAAATGTTGTATTTTCTTATTTGAGGACCCCATGCATTCTTTGGATCAGGATGGTTTTGGAAACACAACTTTCTCCAGTTGCTCAACGAGATGATAGTTTCTGTACCCCCATCCCCCCAGTTCTACTCTACATCAGGTTTACTCCGCCATGCTTATCACACGGCTCAGAACAAGAGTGAATGGCAGTCCCAGTTATCTTGAGCTTAGGTACAATACAATGTGTCACTCTCCATTATGGAAATTATCATTAATTATTAACATGAAAATCTTTGACATGATATATTGTCCACATTGTCACTGCCAAGAAGGGGACGATGATTAATGAGTGCCCCTTGGAGGGAATACAATAAAGTGCGATGTAGGAAAGGAAGCTTGTAAGTTTAGCAAAGAAGCAGAATATTGAATACTTTGGTTTCTCTCTCCCTCTCTTTTTCAACACACACACACACACACACACACACACACACACACACACACACACACACACACTCTCTCTCTCTCTCTCTCTCAGGTTTAAAAAAAGCAGCCATTTACCAAGCTGAAAAATAAATATAATTTTTAAAAATTCTATGCAACATGACATTTTAGGGTTTCTTGTTGTTTTCATCTAATCCCTTGAGCCTGATATTACAGGTAGGGCCTATTCAGGACAGAGTTAATCCTTAGAACTAGTCACCTCCTTTATGTACTTTCCTATATGCTTTTAGGGCAACATTTTCTATGTGTCTAGGTCTTCCCTGGAAGCATGCTATGTCCTGGAACTTTCCCAACTGACACCTTTACCCATTTTGACAAGAGTTCTAGAAGTAAGCAGTCCAGGGGTGGTACAGAGGCTAAGCCATGGTACCAGGAACCCAGCCTCCTTCTAGCCTCTGCTTCCCCATCTAGCTTATTGGCTTGTTGTCTCATGGTTGCAGTACAGCTGCTGCAGCTCCACACATCCCACCCATGTTCAAAATTAAAAGAAGGAGGTAGAGTGGTGCCAGCAATATCTATTTCCTTTTCATTAGCAAAGAAAGTGCTTCACCAGAAATCCCCAAACTATAAGGAGAGCTGGGGAAAGGACTATTTGGTTTAGCAAAACAGAAGTTCTGGAAGCTAGAACAAAGGGAAGCATAGATTGATGTCTGCAATTAGCTGGATGATGACTATAGCAATGACCATGAGTTATAGGTGACATTTGTTCTCACACATAGATAACAAGTGAATATTCCTACACAGACACATATTATATTGGGACACGAGGCTTGAAGGCCGGCTGGTGAGGGATGTGGGTCCTTTCAGGTCAGACCCTGTGAACTTCTGCTATGTGTAAGATTGGAGCTGTCCGTATGACTTCATTTTCTGTGAACTTCAGCAATAAATCAGTGGTTCCTGGTCTGGGTCTTCGGGAGCATCTATCACTGAGTAAAGGCAGGAAAGATTTCTGATCCCAGAATCCATCTCTACCAAAAGAGAATATACAACTCTGGCACAGCATGTAATATTTGCTCTTAGCTGGAGGACCAGCAATTAACAATATTTTATCATAAAATGTCAACAGAATATTGATGCAATCATCTGGGTTAAAATAAAAATAAAAACTGCCACTATGTTCAGAACACTGGCATTCTTTTCTCATGGACTAATCGTTATTTATTATTGTCCTTTCACCTCCTCCATCCCATTTTTAAAACTGCTCTTATTTGCATAATAACTATAGCTTGTTATTAAAATCACCATGGATATCTTATGGCTGCTGTTTTTTTAAAATAGTTTTTAAATTGAGGAATAATTTATATACAGTGCAATCCTCAGATCCTACATATACCGTTCAGTTAGTTTCAATGAATGTATGGCAAGGCACAGAGTAGGCCCTTTTCTGTTGTTCCTCCACCCATACCCCAGCATAGGCAGCCATGAATCTGATTTCTGTCACTAAATGTTAGTTTTGCCTATTTTAGAATTTCATATAAATGGAATCATTTGGAATGTACTTTAGTTTTCAGTTTGGCTTCTTTCACCCAGCATAATGTTTTTTGAGATTGATCCATGTTGTTACATGTGTCAGTAGATTATGCCTTTTTTTGCTTATTAGTGTTTAACTATGTGACTGTAATTTATTGACCCGTTATCCTGATGACAAACATCTGGCTCATTTCCAGCTTTGAGCTTTTAACAATAAAGCTGCTATGAATATTTGCGTATAAGGCTTTTTGTGGACAAATATTTTGATTTCTTTTGGATAAAAAACTAGAAATGGAATTGGTGCTGTGGAGTATTATATGTTTAACGTTTTTAGAAATTGCCAAACAGTTTTCTAAAGTCGTACCATTTTATACTCTCTCCAGCAGTGTATGAGTGCTCCATTTGCTCCATATCCCCTCCAAAATCTTGTCTGATTGTCTTAATTTTATGATGGGTGGGTTGTGTTATCTCACGTTTTCAATTTGTATTTCATCAATGACCAATGATGGTTAAACATGTTTTCATTTCTTTATTGGCTATTTGCATATCTTCTTTTATAAAGTGTCTGTTAAAATCCTTTTTTCCAAATTTTTTTGTTAGGTGGTTTGCCTTTTTATTATTGAGTTGCAGGGGTTCTTTATATATTCTGGGTATAAGTACTTCATCAAACATGCCTATTGCAGATAGTTTTTCTTGGTCTGTGTTTTGCCTGCTATTTTCCTTTATAGTGTTTTTGATAACCAGAAGCTCTTGATCTAAATAAAGTCCAAGTTGTTATGTTTTTCTTTTATGGTTTATGCTTTCTATTTCTTCTGTAAGAAATTTTTGCTTACCTCAAAGTCACAAAGATATTCTCTGATTTCTTGTAATAATTCTACAATTTTAACTTCTATATCTATGATTCATATGGAATTGATATTTTCTATGGTGTGAGATGAGGTATGACTGTCTTTTCTTTACTCAGATATGCAATATGATAACACTTGGAAAATCTGGTAAGCTTTCAAAATCGGAGACACTCTTGGTTTCTGGCCACCCTGCTATGGTTAATGGATAGAGAATATGTATTGTTCAGTGACTAAGAGCATGCTTTGGAGTCACAGTTCTGCCAGTTGCTAACTATGTGACATGTGCAAGTTCATCTTCGCTCTTTAGTTCTTCATCTATAAAAAATGGTATCCAGTTACAGGGTTCATATAAAGTCTCTATCAACAAAATAACAATCACGTTAATATTTGTCAGGTATTCTTTGAGTACTGGTACTTGGAGGTTAATGTGAAAGTGAAAAGAATTTGTACATTTAAAGCACGTAAAAAGTACCTGAGACAGACTAACCACTTTATAATATTAGCTATAATATAGAATAAAGATATAGCCCAACTCCATTTTCTCCCCTTGATCTTTTGTACTCTGGACTGGCCATTCATTGAGTGCTTGCTATGGGGAGAACTTCTGTTAGGTGCTGGGACGGTGCAGTGAACAGGACAGACATGGTCTCTGCTCTCATGGAGCTTTCAACCTAGTGAGGGGAAAAGACATTAAACAAATATCATGACAAGTGGTTTGAAGAGTAAGTATAGAGTGTTAAGATAGTTTAAAATCCAAAGATCATGTCCCTTGTGGGGAGTCAGGGAAAGCCTTTCTAAAGAAGTGAGTTTTAAGTAGGCCAGAAATGAAGAAACACAGAACAGTCTGATGGAGGCTAAGCTTGTTAAAGGCAGAAACCTATATATGTTTATGGTTCCCTATAACACCTAGTTGAGTGATGACCTAGAGAAGATTAAATGCTCTTTGAGAATCGATAATGTCATATAAGGGGAAAGAGGTAAAGAGCAGTGCCTATCAACTAAGTGGTCTCTAAATGAATGATTGAATGAAGGAATAAAATATAATTATCAGGTATTTGTATTTATTAGGCAGCATTTAGGTATAGTGGATTCTTCAGATGTCAATCCTGAGTTTTCTATTCGTTCGGGGAATATATCGAGCAATTTTTATGTGCCTCAGTTGCTAAAATGCTGCCTGAATCCCCTCTCTTCTCAGGGGAGTCAGAAAGGCTGGCCTGGACAGGGATTCATGAAGCTGGAGTAGGGGCAGGTAAGGTCAGACAGAGGGGAGCATCTCTTACCTGAAGTTTTGGGAGCTGCTGAAATCAGAAGAGCCTCCTAGTGAAGGAGAGTGGGGAGAGCTGTAAACAAGGGAGAGACACCCAGCAGTTCTCTACATTGAAGAGGAGTATGGGATTGAGAGAGTCAAGAGCAGGCTGGTTGAGTCCCTGGAAATTTGTCATGAGTCAGCAGCAATGCCTGGTCACCTCATCTTCATTGAGGGGTGGGGTATTGCGTCTGGAAGCGCCACTTGTATCAAAAGTTGATCGTCTGTGAGGGAGAAAATGCAGAAACAAATGGGGGAATGCTGTCAAAAGACACCTCATATTTTATTCTCTAATGCTGCTGAGAGAAGGTGGCACCTGAGCTGGATCTTGAAGTTTCTGGGTGTTACCTGGATGAAAACAAGTGGAAAGGACAGAGGGGATGCTTGGCAGAGGCGTGAGAGAACAGGACGTATTGCTTCTCTAATAACCCGTGCCGAGGCTGGCATCTGTGAATGCTAGCATCTCTGAATTTAGCTGGACCATTCTGGAAGGTAATTACATTTTTGGTCTGCATCATCTCTTGGGATAATGAATTTCTATAAGGTTTCCATTCACTGTGAAAGACATACTTTCTTCTATTTGTCCTACATTTCTTAAGTGCTTCCTAGTTTAATATTACCTGCCTGTTGCTACATACTTTTCCTTCTTTAACTTAAATTAACACTGAGCTTCCTTAAAAAAAATCTGAAAATATATTATTACACACACACACAAGTAGAGACAAGACTTTTATTGGGATCCATTTATTGAAATAAAATAAAAATTAGCTTACTTAAGGAAGAAATAGAAACTATTTTTACTTGAAATATATTTGGATAGTAAATTTTTTTGCAAAATTTGATACAGTTCAAAAACTGAAGAACAATCAATTATATTTTCTCTTTGGAAAATAATCATCAAAGGATTAAGGCTTAAGAGAAGAGGTCTATCTTATATTTAAATATTAAAATAGATTTTCTTCAAAAATGTGTCATTCCAGAAATAATCGTGAAAATAAAGATTACCATGGAGCTTACATGGGATTTTGAGTTAATCACCCAAACTAATTAAGCAAAATTATCCTAATTTGTTTATTATGTTAATGATCTGAATTAATTTATAGCAATTTTGCATGTATTACTAAAGATTTATTATGTTTCCTACTAAATGACTTAAGAGCTATAAATCCCATGGTTAAATGTAATTAGTGGAGACATATTTATCGGAAGGGATAATTACATCTGATAAAAGTTCTTCAGTTAGGCTTAATTAAAACAGATTATTCCCCCATAAATGAAAAGTAAATATGGTAATTACTGGGTAGATTTTCATGGCAAAAATGAGTATCTCAGCATTTAAATTTTCTAAAAGGGGTGGGAAAGTAAACTATGTAACTGATTACTTCCCAATAAAGTATGATTAATAATCCCTGGGAAACAAGCATTTTCCAGGAGTAAACATTTTGCTACTTAATTACTAAAGGGGGAATTCTGTTGAGGAAAATCTATCATTAACTCAGTTTAAAGTGGACTGTGGCTATTTTTGAACATAATGAACAGTGTTTTAAGGAAATTTCTTTTTGTTTTTCTTTAGAAGATTATCTCTAGCTCAGCTAAATAGCAGTCTTAGAAAGAAAAATGACTGTTAATCTCTCTAAGACTAAAAAGTTTTCGTAATAACCTGGGCTGGACCAGGTTATACATGCACAAAATGTATAAACTCTGAAGGTGGCAGAGCCTGTTCAGGAAACATGAGTACACATGGAGAGATTACACTGTAAATTGATATTTCAGTTACATAAGTGCATACATGTTAATGAGTAAACCTCTATATACTATGGCAGATTTTAAATTATTTTATATCTAATAGGTACTTTTTCAATAGCAGCACTAACATTAAAAGACACCATTTTACATTTTGAAAGCGCTTTGAGTCCCTTGTTAGTTCATTAGATCATTTTATCCACCCAGGAAGACAGACGAACAGGGGTTATTAGCCTCAGGGAGGCCAGGTACAAGGTCACACCGTTAATCAGTGGACTAGTTAGGACTTGAATTGATATTTTGACCCTGAGTACAACCTTCTTTCTCCACTGTCATTAAGGCATAGAGGAGCTCATGAGCATGACAAGAAGATGGGGTTGGTTACATGCTGTTGTAGGTATAAACTACTACATAGAAAAATCTCATCTGTGGCATGACCAGATGGAAAATGTTGTGTTCACAGTATGGTTTTAGTGTTGAAGCAAATGGTAAAACAAACAAGCCTGGTACAATGGATCCCTTTAAAGTGGAGTGGCCGGAATGACCATCTACAGATCAATTGATCAATAGTGTGCATCCGTCTGCGGGAAGAGAGTTTTCAGAAGGATGATGGCAGATAGACCACCATCTACCCCATTCTGCCACTTGGTGGAGCTGAAACTAGCCCCTGGCCATTCTGTTATCCTCACTCTTAGGCTTTTGCCATTTTTAAATATGTTCCTTTCTCTGGAGACCTCGGAGCATTATCACAGACAGTATTGCATTTCTCCTTACAATATCCTTTTGCTTTCCAGAGAGCCCAGGTGATTTATCAAAGTCAGTAGCTATGGCTAATATGCTCTCTGTTCTCCCAAAATTACCTAAATGCCTAAGAAGCTGAGGAAGGACCTATGCTGCTAGAGCTATACAATCAAAGGCATTTTAGGAAAGATCCCTAGCAGAGGCTCTCATCTTTTGTGCATGGGCTTAAAAGAGGATTTTTCTTCTTTTTTTTTTTTCTCCCCTTCCGCCAACAAGAATAACTGAATTAATACTTTGAAATGTATACTGAATGCTACATATTAGGCAATTCCATTTTATCAATGTTTATATTTGTTTCAGAGACCTGCTTATGTCAAAAGATACTGAGTTGTATTGGTCAAATGCAACCGAAGGGCATTTCAGATGTTTTCACTAAATATGGCTTAAATACCACTATAACGCACCCAAAAGGGTGTCCAAATTCTTTGGACACTTTGAGATTTGAGTAATATTCTTTGTGGTTCCACCACACAGGCCACACTCTGTGACTTGCAGGTCATTTTTAAAACTATAGATAGAAACTTTGGCTATATATATAAATATATATATATAATATTTATATATATATATATTTAGAAATGATAACTGAATCCTCAAGATTGCCATAAAAAGTTTCTAACTGTGCATAAAAGCCATATCAGATTCGATACACCTGAGTGTGTCTCAGGTGAAAACTCAGTGCACGTGAATGGAAACAAACAGGTTTATGACAAAAATTTATACTTTGAAAATTACCAGTGTGATTTCGAAGACATTCGACTTTAATTACTGATAAGTTATTTGAGGTCAGTGCTGTGTTGGGGAAGGCCTGGTGAGCGCTTTGGTGGGAAGTAGATGGGTGTACACAAGGACACTCCAGCCCGCATGCCTGTGGCCACATATCAGAGTTTCACGGCATTTTTACAAGAAAAATAACTTTATTTATCTAGAAACAATGACAGTTAAACAAGAATCACAACGGGAGTAAATAATCATATCATGATTAAGAATATGAAGTATGGAAGCAGAAGATCTGAGTTCAAATATGGCTTTTCCAGTACCAGCTGCCTGTCCTTGGGGAAAGTGCCTGAAGTCTTTATGTCTTGTTTTCCTCACCTGAAAAGTAGGGGTAATATTAGCATCTACCTCATAGGGTTGCGTGTAAGTTAAGCAATTTTAGATCTTATTATTAATTCAGATAGATTTAGAATCAGATTTATTTACATTTAGATGACGTCTATGTGCTCCTGCAAAACTTTTTATTGAAAGATACATGTATCCTTTTTGTCCTTGACCAATACAATATATGCTAAATGAGGTGAAGAGGTTAATTCTGGAATAGGCTAATTTTGGCTTCAGCCTGAATCTATCTGAGCGGCATTCATTGCCCTGTTACATTACCCTGTTAACCGTGTGGCTTTCATTATTCTGTTACTTTACCCTTCTCTATTTGGCTTTCACTCTGAGGGTGGGCAGAGTAGGATATGCCCCTGATAATTTAGTGGTTTCAAAGCATATTAACAGGAGAAATCTGTGTCCATCAAAGGCTGTTGGTTATGGTCTCCAAACACTAGCCCCAGCTTTGATCTATTTAGCTCTTTTGTTTTCTATTCATTGTTTGCTTTAACATATTTTGGTTCTGAATTCTAAATGATGAACGCCATTATCCTACAAATAAATAATGTCCTATCTGCTCTACTTTTTCATAGAAGATAAATCAGGTTTTCAAGCCTTTTTTTGGCTCTTAGACTTTGTCGTTATTAATTTTTGCTATTCCAGAGCACAGTTTGCAGCTTAATTAATGATACATCAGTTCCTTAACTGTTGTCGGTAACATTTTAATATTATCTTCCAATTTGACTAAGTCATCCACTAGTTAAAATCTTAGGTGTGAATAGCTTTAGAGGTCAGAAAGTCCCTTTTTCTTCTTTAATCATGAATCATTTCCTGTAACTGCCTTTACATTTCCAAGATACTAGGTAAACCCCACTTCTCCTAGGGAAAAATGCCCAATACTCCTACAGGTTAAGAAACTTATTTGCTATTCATGAGTTTAAAAATGCATTATGCATTAATTTATTTATCTCTTTAAAGTTCAGCTTCTCTCTCTGGGATGTTTTCTCCCCAAACTAATTTCTTTAAAACAAAATCCAAATACATAGAGTGTGATCGAATATCACTTATTAGAGAATCCTGACCTCTTGATGTTTTTATTACTTTAGGGTGAATGTGAGGAGCATATGGATTTTTTTAGCTCTATAATTTCCTCTAAACCAAATGCTTCTACTTTAAATACGAAATTACAGCAGTAACATTCCCTAATGCTAACAGTAGAGTACATGACGGGGAAGGAATGTGTAATTTGTTAAAAGTAATTCCAGCTGTTTTATTGCCTTCCAATCCAAGATAATTGCACACAAAGATATTCATTTAAATTATTGACATTAATTCGCTAACTAGAACTTTAAATAATAACTTCATGCAAAAGAAAACTCAGTGAAGTCCCAGAAATAAACAAGATTTAACAACTCATTGGAACTGTTTCTACATTATTATAAATCAAGCCTACATTTCTGTAATTTTGGCAGAAACAATTTTCTTTCTGCATAGTATGGAGTTAAATATCCTGTATAGATGGGGCTTAATAAGTATATATTTTAGTTCTTATTAAAACAACTACACGGACAACTTTCTTCTTCCCTCTTTATTTTGTTCTTTATATAGTCCATTTCTAGAACTTGTAAACTGAAACCTTATCATAAAACATTCATTTCAATGGAATCGGTGGTAATTTCATGACACAGCCAACCCTCAGAATCAGCAGGAGACTGGTTCCAGGACCTCCCTCGGATCCCAAAATCCATGCATACTCAAGTCCCGGATATAAAATGGTGTAGTATTTGCATATAACCTAAGCACATGGGGCTGAGTGTCCCATATACTTTAAATAATCTCTATATTACTTATAATACCTAATACAATGTTAATGCTATGTGAACAGTTCTTATACTGTATTGTTTAGGGAATAATGACATGCAAAAAATGTCTACATTTTCAGTACAGATACAAGTTTTTTCCCAGATCTTTTCAATGGATGATTGGTTGAATCCACGGCAACTGAAGGCATGGATACCGAGGGCTGACTGTACTTTCATTTATCCCACAAATTCTGAAGCACCTACTATGCCAGGCATTGTCCAGGTGCTGGGATACTCTGCTGCATGAGTCCTCCTTCCTGCCTTCACAGGGTTCCCTTGTAGTAGAGGCAGACAATAAATCATTACATAAGATCATCTCAGCTAGTGCAGGGATCTGTAGAAATGTGAAGCCAGAGGCAGGCGGATCACGAGGTCAGGAGACTGAGACCATCCTGGCTAACATGGTGAAACCCTGTCTCTACTAAAAATACAAAAAATTAGCCGGGCGTGGTGGCAGGCGCCTGTAGTCCCAGCTACTCGGGAGGCTGAGGCAGGAGAATGGCATGAACCCACGAGGCAGAGCTTGCAGCAAGCCGAGATTGGGCCACTGCACTCTAGCCTGGGCGACAGAGGAAGACTCCGTCTCAAAAAAAAAAAAGAAAGAAAAAAGAAATGTGAAGCCAGGTGACGGGGAATATAGTGGTGGCTGGGCGGTGAGACCAAAGAGGGACCCTTTCTGAGGAGGTGACATTGAGCCGAATGGTAAGAAAAACCAACCCCTTAGGGGCTGAGTATACTGAGCGCTGAGGTGGGAGCAGCTTGGTGTGGGTATGCTGGAGGACGAGAGAGAAAGATGGGATGGCTGCAGAGCTGTGAGGAGGGGCAGGAGATGCAGTCAGCAAGGTCGGCTGAGGCCAGCCCAGGTAGGCTCTGGTCAGGGTCTGGATTTTATTCTAAGTATTTTTGTTGTTGTTGTTGCTGTTATTGTTGTGTTGGGTATTTGGAGGGTTTTCTTTCTGTTGTTTGTTTTTTTCTTTTTGAGACATGGTCTCGCTCTGTCACCCAGGCTGGAGTGCAGTAGTGAGATCATAGCACACCGCAGCCTTGAACTCCTGGACTCAAGCCATCCCCCAACCTCCTCAGCCTCTGGAGTAGCTGGGACCACAGGTGTGCACTACCACACCTGACTAATTTTTTTTTTTTTTTGGTAGAGATAGGGTCTTGCATGATCTGATTTATCTTTTAAGATCACTCCAGCTTGTAGGTGGAAAATGGAGTTGGTGGGGAGGATGGGTAAGAATGAGAGCAGGGTGTGTAAGATGGCCTCTAACCAGAGGTTCATTATTAGAATTGTCAGAGCCTCTGCTAAGTGGTTTTATTCGTGGACAGAACTTATTCTGCTTCATGTTCTCTCTTGACCTTGGGCTTCAGGATATTGGAGGAGATGATTCCCTCCAGATTTAATATCTTAAAAAGTCTACTCTCTGGACCCCAAGAAATTTCCCCAATGGCTCACCTGCCTCACTGCCCCACTGCTGGAACATTGAAGGTTCTTAGCTCTGCTGGTGAATTTAGTGGGTGCCTTGTGATACCACAGAGAGGCAGATGGGGGCAGCAGGAGCCAGAGGTGGAGACAGCGCTGCCTGGGAGGCCAGGGTCACAGGGAGCTGGCAAGAATCATGGCTCCTCCTGGAACATGGAGTTCCTTCCAGAGAGAGAGAGTGGCTTCGGAGTCCTGGCTTGACTTCATTTCAGAGTAGCAGATATTGTCCACACCAAATGGGAAATGTTTGGAACCTGGAACCTACTTCCTTCTAATCTTACTTAGGGTTGCTTAGCTGCAGAGTAATCTGAGAGTTACCCTGACACTAGGATGGGTGGGATATGATTTGAATCAAGTCTGTTTTACCATTATTCCTGCCTTGACTGTGTGCTTTAATTCTCTGAAAGGAGCGCTTGCCACCATTTAGCCTGGTGAATTCCTTGCAGGCAGAAATGGTGCCATGGTTCATTTCTGAATCCCAAAAACTTTCCATAGTTTCTGACATATAAAACCACTGACTATGTGAATGAACCACCATGTCCAATGTAACCAAGCTACAGTGTCTATGGCAGCTACCCGAGCAGGGCTTTATTTCATTCTTGTGTCTCAGTTCTATCATGGACCTCCTGTTGTGAACACTCTTCTTCAGAAGATTTGGTCTCTCTCGAAGGTCAGAACCACCTTCCTGGCTCTGAACCTCCTTTCAGTAACTAAGCCTTAGTAACAGGTTACTGGCTATCCCTCACTCTGCCTGACACTCCAGTGTTTTCTCCCTTCCCTCTCCTGCTCCCTGGCCAGAAGACTTCTCTTGCACTCTGCCTCTTAATCCCATCAGGAACATGGCAGATAGGTCATGTGAGTCTCTTGGCCCACCAGGTCAAATGTCTGACCTGGATAGGGTCAGCCAAGCCCCTGGTCCATTGAGTCCAGTCTAACAGCACACCATCTAAAACAGTAAATTCAGTAATAGGGTCACAACTTTTAAAATGACATTTCTGTTCAGGCTCCCATAGTGAAGTGACCCTGTAAATTAACAATTTTCTTCAGCCCACCTCCACTGCCCAAGATTGATGAGTCATATTTATTCTCAACATTAACAGAACTTTTCAAATGGAGGCATCAGAATTCACAACTGAGCTCTGTTCTTTGACCCACGGTTTGTACAGAAAAGAATTTCATACAAAGACATTCCATAGCTAATTTTCAGTACAGGTCAACGCATGCAATTTCAAGATGCCTTTGTAGTTGAGACTAGGAAGAGCATAGGAAATAAGAATAAGGCAGACAGAATTCCCACTGAAGGGTGGTCTCTTGAATTCATCCATGAGAAAGCATTTAACCTCTTGAATTGCAGTGAAAGGACTGGTCAGGGAATGAATAAATTGCCCGCACCATGGAAAACCAGGTGGCTGCCTGAACACATAGCAGAAGATCTAATTCAATTTAGCAAGATTGTGGAGGGGTTAAGAGCTTAAGCCCTGAAGACTGAGTCTGGGTTCTTATCGCTGCTAGATGTGTGACCACAGACAGGTCACTGAACCTCATTGTGCCTCAGTTTCCTTGATTATAAAATTGGGATAATACTAGAACCTTACTTTTAGAATTCTGAGGATTAAATGAGTCAATAATTGAAATTGCTTAAGCACAGAGAGTGGCACAGCAAATGGCAGCCTTGATTATTATAATCCTTACTGTCACTCTTACCATCCCCAGTGCTGTTTCTCTAGACCATGCCGCAGTCATATGTCACCTGGAGTATGGTATTTATTGGGAGGTAACACTGCAGTAGACTCCTCATTGATTCCTCAGCATCTGCCATTGCCTTACTTAAATCCTCTCTCCTCAGTGTGACCAGAGTGACCTTTTGCTAAAATAGATCTGATCATGTCACTTCTGAATGAAAACCCTTCAGTAATTGCCCATAACTCAAGGACCAAGTCCATATTTCTTCATCATGTGGCCCTGTTGTTTAAAGAACCAGTATGTGACTTCATGGTCCTAATTACAATCTCAATGGACTAATTAACTGTGTGATCATTTAATATCTATCTGCTTACTTACACTATGACCTCAAAAACCTAGTGGGGAAAGAGTTTGCTGTTCCAACCCTGGTGCCTAGCACAGTGCCTGTCACATGATGGGTACCTAGTAAATATTTGCTGAGCTATTGACTAAGTATAAAGAAGATTTGTGAATGGATGGGCATGAATAAGTATAAAGAGAGTATAAGAGCAACTTTGATGTATTGCACAATGGAAGTTTTCCTTATACATGTGCTTCATGGTTTTGATGTAAACTCTTATTTGAATTCTTTTTATTTATCACACAATGGGGGCAGAATGGAGAGAAAATACAGAAAGATAGAAGAAAAGAATAGTCACGGGAGAAAATTTAGCTATTAAAAATCATGACATAATTCCATCTTAATATTTAGAGGACATGGTTTTGAGAAGCAAGTGTTAGAAGGTTTTGTTTTGATTTTACCAAGTTTCCAACGTACTTTAAGTTTCGGTTCTGTCAATGACATTTTATAGTGAAGGCATAGTGAAGGCATTTTCTTTAATTTTCTACATTTTTTTTCCCCCAAAAAGGAGTTTCACTCTTGTGGGCCACGCTGGAGTGCAGTGGTGCAATCTCGGCTCACCTCCACCTCCGGGATTCAAGCGATTCTCCTGCCTCAGCCTCCCAAGTAGCCACCACACCTAGCTAATTTTTGTATTTTAAGTAGAGACAGTGTTTCACCACATTGGCCAGGCTGCTCTTGAACTCTTGACCTCAAGTGATCCACCCACCTCAGCTTCCAAAAGTGTTGGGATTATAGGCGTGAGCCACCGTGCCCAGACCACATATTTTTTAAAGCTTGAATGTGTGCATTGTTATCTCCAAAATATAACTCTATGTCCAGTGTAAGTAGAGGAAAACATTAGACCAAATTATTATCATTTTTTTTTGCCACAGTTTAAGAACCAACACCCTCTTCCTAGAGAGTATAACACATTACTCAATTTTGCCTTTTATTTGTATGTTAGGCTTTTACCTAATAAATAAGTGATATCCATTAATTCATTTATTCACTAATTCATTTATTTCACAAAGATTTACTGAGTGCCTAATGGTCCAACCACTGTGTTAGGTTGGGTTAAACTTTCATCAAGTGCAAAACAGATTTTAGTGGATAACACGTGCTTACTTATAGCTGTTTTAGTAACTATTTTTTTGCTATAAATAAATGTACAGCAACTTTTAAACCCCCTATTCTCTCTTAATACATACTTTACAATTTAAATTGACCACAATATTCCATGTGTATGTACATATATATGTAAGTTTGTGTGTTAGGGTGGGACTGGGAAAGACTGGAAGCAATGTCGGTTTCCTCTTTGAAGTGGAAATATTTATAAGGTACACTGCTTAGCGGTGTCACTGATGACTGCACTGTCCAGAGTAGCATAAAGTACAGCTGCTCCCTTCCCCTTGAATAATTTCCTGAGAGAAAGAGCTAACTCAATTTCTTTCAGCTATAATCCTTTGGACACAGATATGCTGAAATTTGAGATTTTGTAAGTTTGGAAAGAGTGGGCAAATTAATTGCTCTTGCCTTCAGTACTTGAGAAAACCCTCAAGTGCATAATGCAGACTTTTGATCCAGAATGAACGATGCTTAAATCCATCATTTCAATGTTACAGCTGTCTCTGGACTACTTGTGCAGCCTCAAGTCTTGATTACTTCAGGTGGTGCTGAGCTGAATTATCCCCTTGCTAGTGAGGTAGTTTCTTGCTTGAACACATGTTGGAAATTGTGAATTTTCCTTCTCCCCATATTCCCTAGCCTTGTCCTCCAGTGTAACTTAATGGTTGGATTTAATAGGATTTAGTTCAAGCAGATTGTTTGACAAGCACCCAAAAGAGATAACGGGCATCTTGTGAAGAGTATTGTGGAGTGAAGAAATTGAGGGAGTGAATTTTCAATAGGTAACGCTGTGACTATAGATTGTCCCACCTTCATTCCAACTCAACAGCACAGTCAAGTCCTGGACGGGGCAGAGTGCCATGATTGACACTCTTTAGCATGCCTGAGAATCTTCTGCGGAACTTGTTGGAACAGATTAATGACATCACTCCAACCCTCTGCTCAAAGATACAGCTTTCCTAGGTCAGGACTGGGATCAGGACTCTGGCAAGCAGGCATCCCACGAGTTTCTAATGCATGTGCTACACTTTAAGAAGCATACTTAGAAGTCATTTTCTAAGTTCCCTGGGCCACCAGAAATCTGCCTAACTAAACCTCGCCAGCTTAGATTTCTGTAGAAAGGTCTTTGAGTTATGTTTGAATGGCCTGTCCTTGGTCTTATTGACGGACCTTTCTAAGAAATGGCCACATAATGTATGTCTGTGCGTCTTCTGAATCGTCTGTTGGAGATGTTGTTTATTTCATGATTCCTTGGATAAAAATCTAGTGAGATGGTTT
Organism: Homo sapiens; assembly: GCF_000001405.40. Classification (NCBI taxonomy): domain Eukaryota; kingdom Metazoa; phylum Chordata; class Mammalia; order Primates; family Hominidae; genus Homo; species Homo sapiens. Next base: position 59,317,949 of record NC_000003.12, read on the forward strand.
CAGACGGGGCCCTGTGGAACCTCAGGGTTCCTGGACCTGCTTCAGGGGTTCTACAAATTACAAAATATTTTCAACCCGAGGAGAGTTATTCAAATTGCCTAAAGAACCCTACATTGTCTTTTTCTCTTTTATATATCAAATTTCAGAATAAGATTTCCTTTAAACAAACAGGGAATACTATTTTGCTATAAGTTTTTAAATTGTTGGTGTATAGTGATTTAATCCAAGCATGGGGGGTGTTTTCCTAAAGGTAGCTTATTTTATAATATGTGTGTGTGTGTGTGTGTGTGTGTGTGTGTATGTAAAATAAATACATATTTATATATTAAAATAAATATATATTTATATGGTTTTAATATAAATATATAAAAATATTTTAGTATATAAATATATATACACATTATAAAATAAACTATATACAGTATATATTGTGTGTATGTAGATATAACATATAGATATATTATGTATATACATTATAAAATAAACTACTTTTAGGGTATATATCATATATATGAATATATATAATATATATACATGCATATATAAAAATTCATGTATCAATATGCTATATTTATACATATACTCATATATACATATATATGTATGCATATAACATATTTCCCTTTTGGCTTTGGTTGTCAGGAAGCAGATGACAGTGATGGGCACCCCACCCCCTCACTTTCTCTTTTGATGCGCTCTCATTTGAGGTCATATGAAAGTGCAGGAGAGTGGTTAAGAATATGGACTTTAGAACCAGATCCAAAGATTCAAATATTGGCTCTACCATTACTGGTTTGTGACCTTAGGCATCTCACCTACCCTTTCTGTCCCTCAGTTTTCAAATTTGTAAACCTGGGATAGTAGTCATATCCTTCACAGGATTATTGTCAGAACTAAATGAAATAATACCTGTACGGAGCTTAGAACATAGGGCCTGGTACATGGCTATCACTCCTGTGTTTATTTTTCAATTACATATGTGTTATTATTACCTCCTCACAACAATTCTATGAAGTGCTTATTGGGGTTAAAAAAACTGGAACTCAGGAAGGGTTGGTAACTTGCCTAAATTATCTCATGAAGTGAAGTTTCTGGGATCCAAACCCTGTGTGTTTCATTCCAAATCCTCTGACCTTTCCACCACATCACAATGTTTCCTGTGTTGTCAGAGATAAAGTCGATGCCTATCTTCCCATATTAGACAATGTAGTTGTAATATTTATATTCCCATTCCCTCAGTATGGTTTTTGGTATCCTGTTTTCATTGCTATTTTTATTGCATTATCTTATATATATCTTATTGTAAGCTGCCTTAGATATCTTTTGAAAATAGGCAGGGAATAATTTTCAAATAAAATAAACATATCAAAGAAAATATTCAGCATGTGTATCATTGCCTGAGTAAGTGGCCCTGTGAGTACATTTTGATTGAAAGTAAAAGTTTTGTCATTGGCTTTGAGTCCCAAGGCAAGTATACCAATATTTTTTGAGAACTAAGAAAAGCAGTTTCAGAGTAAATCCATTGTTATCTGTTTCCATTGTACTGGATTTGCCAACAAAATTACACAAATTATATAGAATGACAACGGATATAAATCCAAAGAATTGGAGGCTATATTTTTCTTGAAGGTCTGCCACAAAAAAATTGGAGGCAGTAACTGTGGTTCGGCCAACTTGATAATTGGTTGGAACTTGGATATTGATTGAGTCTAGTTCCTGCAGAGATTTTCCCCTCTTGCAGAGTAAGAAAAGTAGGTCAAAGCAGATAGCATGGCTGGAATGCATAACAAGTTGCTAAGAAGCTAAAATGATTTTGCGAAGACCATGCTAAGAAACAGCTTTTGCCAGTTCTTGAATGCGTGGTATGTCTGTTTTTGTATCATCATCTTTATTATCTTTAATCCTAAGGATAGAGACACACACCTGCAATAATCTCCAGCTCTTTCAGTCTTTGTTGTGAAGCTCGCAGTTTTCCCTTCCTTATGGAGGGATTTTCACCTTTTCTTCTTTTCTGGACAAGAGCCAATTTTTTCCCTGCTGCTTCAAACCTCAGGAAGCACTTTTATGAGGCTTTGGACCCGAAGTACACTTTCTGGGATTCTCTGAGACGGCGGCCTACACTAGAGGAGCAAGTCTTCCGTCAGGACCCCTGAAAACATGGGTCACTAGAATCACTGCAGGAAGTTAGTATGTGGACATGGTGGAGCCGTGACCTTTGACCCTATTCTCTCAATCTCTGCACCACTGACCAACAGGGATCTGCAAACATTTTGACAGCTCCTGCCAGTCTAGGGTCTGCTTAGAGGATGATACAGATCTCATTCCAGGGAGGAGCTTTCCAACAGTTTGTAGAACTGCCTCTGGTAATTTGAGAAACAGCCCCTTCATTCTAGCATGAGCCAGTCACTAGCAGGAGCTTCTTAGTCTCCGAACAAATACTTGTGACATAGAGCAAACAAAGACTTGTTTGCTGTGCCACAGGGCGCTTGGATCTTGCCAGAGCATCACTTTCAGGCCTGGAAATTCCCCTTTCTTCTCCAGCCTGATTGCTTTTAAAAAGCTTTACATTGGATCAACCAGAGTTTTTTGTTTCATTCATAGGAAGACTCTTTTATTCTCCCTGAAGCAGTTTCATGGAGGCTCCTGAGTGCTCTGGAAAAGCCATTTCTTATTTCAATATGGCAGAGGGAGGTGCCTCAATAAGACTCTTGATGGGGTTTCAAGTTAAAAAATTGGAAACAATCTTAGCTTGGGGTGCTATCACAAAATTTAATAGACTGGGTGATTTATAAAGAACAGAAATTTCTCTCAGTTCTGGAGGCTAGAAGTCCAAGATTAGGGTGCAGCATGGTCAGGTTCTCGTGAGGGCTCTCTTCTGGGTTGCAGACTGCTGGCTTTTCATTGTCTTCTCAATGGATGAAAGACAGCAAGCTAGCTCTCTCTGGCTTCTCCCTATAAAGGCACTAACCCCATCATAAGGACTCTTCTCTTATCACCTAATCACCTACCAAAGGCCTCAATCTTTAAATACCATCACATTGGGGATTTGATTTCATACATTTGATTCAACATATGAATTTGGCAGAGACACAGACATTTGGTTCATAACAAACTTTAATAAACAATGGGGTAATAATTTTATGTTATGATTAAATATCAGTAGTATAATATTATGTCAACAAAACACAATAGAAAACAATAATAGAGCACACTCTTTATTTTTTCCAAGTCTGGAAGAAAAAAATAAAAATGAATTTAGCACTTACTATGTGCCAGGTATGATAAGTGCTTTGCATACATCTCATTTAATGCTTGAAGGGAAACCTATGAGAAAGGTATTATTATGGTCTTTGTTCTACAGCCAGGAAACCAAGGCTTAAAGAGATTAAGCATTTTGCTGAGAATCACTATCAGTTAGCTTCTGCTAACAAAACATGGTGGTTTAAAACAAACAGTTATTATTTCCCATGTTTTTGTGAGTTGGCTGCAATTCTTCTGGACTGGGATAGCATGGCTAGGGTTGGGGCTGCATGGTCAAGGATGGCCTTTACCAGGATGATAAGACAGCTGGGCCATGCTCCATTGGCCACTCCCTCTCCAGGGGGTCAGCCCAGGCTTGTTTCCATGGTGGTGGGAGGAATTTCCAGACACAAGAGAGGGCAAATCCAGATACTCAAACACTTTTCAAGCTGCTGCATCATATTGGCTAATGTCACGTTGGTCAAAGTCATATTGAGCCCAAACCCAATTCACGGGGTGGAAAAGTGGATTTTGTCTCTTGACTGGGGGTTTGTCATAATCACGTTGCAAGAGGGCATGCATTCAGGGGTTGGGGGAGGATTTGTGACCTTTTGCAATATATCATAATCACAAAATCAGTAAGAGACTCAACTGATGTTAAAATCCAGGTAGTCTATTCCAAAGCCATATGATATAACCTACACATGTTATAATGATCTTCCTTGGAAATCTTAATGCTCTGGGGCATTTTCTTTCCATTTTATATAATGAGCATGAATTACTCTGAGAATTAAAGTATTTGAAAACTACTATGACTGCATTTAGATGTTCTAGGCACTTTGAGGAAAAGACAGTGATATCAAGACCACGTCATTTTAACCTTGTCAGCACTTCTCCTTGTTTGCCAACTTCTGAGATGTCCATGGAGATGGCAGACTCTCAGCAGTTGCTATGAATTGTGGCACAATACCTTACATGAACTCTCCCAGCAGTGGCAGAGAAGTAGCCCTTTGACTCACACTCATGTTTCTCATCTTGCCGGCCAAACCTGGGTCATTTGAGCAGCTCTCTACTGTATCATTATCCTGTCACCACAGGAATTGCAAAGAAATAGCCAATGAACCTGAAAGATTGCAACTAATTGCCTTCTGCATTCATTAAGCCTTGGGAAGCTGGGTTTAAAAATCGCCTTAGGCTGATTCTTCAAGTTGTGTGTAGTTAAAGCATTCTGGATATAGAAGCGGTGGCTCACATGTTTATTCATTCCTTCTTCAAATATTGATCGGGTGTCTGACACTGAACAGGGAGTTGAGAATGCAGTAGTGAACAAAATAAAAATGGCCCTGACCTCATGGAACTTCCATTTTAGTGAAGGAAAGGTCAACAGATTACAGATAAGACAACTACACAGCTGTGAAAGTGATGGATGGAGGGTCTCTATGGGAGCCACTGTGCCTTGGGAAGTCAGGGAAGGCTTCTGTAAAGAAGACATTAGAGCCAAAGCCTGAAGGATGGGAATGAGCTGTTGCCATGTAGAGCTGGGACAGGCCATTCCAGAGACGGAGAGAAGCAAACGCAAGGGCCTGGAAGCAGGTGAGGGCTTGCTTGCTGTGTTGGCGAAACACAATGGTGGCATCGTGCTTTGTTTCTCCTCTTCTCCATTCTCTGCTACTTCTTGGCCTCTGTTGGTGCAATGACACTTTAAGAAAACCCAGGACCAAATCAAGCAAAGTTTGTAAAAATATGGCAGATAGAAATAACAGTTTTTTAATAGGAAATATGATTTACCAAATTAAAATAGTATTTCTTCACATATTTGACAATTTGTGCAGTCAAAATCAGTATTCATGAGAAGAGTGATCATTTCTTGATTAAAAATCTAATACCTAAGTATAATTCTAATATATTAGTGAATGCCTATGGGATTAAATGCTACTGAATATATCTATTGGTGTGTGATGGTCACTCAGTAATTACCTAAAGTAAAATTGTAAGCTATGAATGCTTAAATTTGAAACTAGTAAAAAGTATGAAAGTTATAGCATTTTTATCTTCTAAAGCATTAGGATCACCTAAAAGAAATTTTTGTAATATACTTTTTTCCCAAAGTATTTTTTGTTGTCGTTTTGCTTTTTATATAATTGTACTTTGTCAGTGAAACTGTTTTATCATTTCTATTAAACATCAGTGCTATCTTTATTTTAGGTTTACAAAATGTCATTCATTTAACAAATATTTACTGGTTCTTGCTGTATGGCCAGCCTTAGACTAGATGTTAGGAATACAAAGACATACCATCTCTCCTCTGGGACATGCCATTATGGGCCTTTTTAGGGCAAGCCTTCCCGTTACAAATTGACAATTTAAAATGTGCTACTTCCTAAAATTCTTCAAAAGGACAGAACTAGCTTCTACAGCAGTTTATCCCCAACAGCTTATGTGATTAACAGAGAAATATGATTTCACCATCTACTTTCAGAGACAAAAAAATAAAAACTGAAGTGAAAACAAAAACTCCTACCAAAACAAAAATTCCTACTAAACCCTGTCAACAAAGTGATGGGTCTTGACATGGATGCTGGCAGTCAGCAAGACAGAAGTCAAGGATTGTTTCAGATAAATGGCAGGAGTCAAATGCAGGTGGCTCTGCTGACTCTCTACAGATACTAAGCACTCATGGTGTGTGTGTGTGTGCGTGTGTGTGTGTGTTTGCATGCATGTGTGTGTGTGTTTGCACGCATGTGTGTGTGTGTAATGGAGCACACGACTCTTGCAGGAAAGATGTTCCAGGAGTTGACTGGGGCATAAAGGTGTAAGTTGCAGCCTTCAAGGCATGGCCTGCATTCTAGTTTCTGGAACTCCTACATCTCAGAGATGCAAAAACTAGGGTGCTGAGAGGGCCAAACTGCATGGACCATACTACTGAGTACCTTGTGGTCTGGTCTGTGCCTCATTATCCTCTGGCCAGGTATGGCTGACAGAGAAGCATCTGTTTTTTGGGTTTGCTGTCAGGAGGCTGAGATCTTTGAGGCTGTGTGTGTGTGTGTGTGTGTGTGTGTGTGTGTGTGTGTGTTTCTCAATAAAATTTAGACCTTTGCTAGGGCAGCTGCCAAGAATAAAAAAGTAGGCTGAGAAAAATCACGTTTCAATGCAAGTAGAATGAATAATATTTCTTTGTCTTAAAGATGTTTCCACTATAGCTGTTCAGTCTTGCTTGAGAAAATTTCGTGTTGTAGAATGTTTAATGTTAAAATGCTCTGTGAGAAAATCCGTAATTTGCAATTAGGTAACTTGTAGGGTCAGTCAGCAAAAGACAAAATCTACTTGCTTCAAAAGTGTTTTGGCAGCAAAGTTTAGCCAGACTTTATTATATTCAAATGCTCAGTGGTTGCTAGATGTGTAATTTTTGTAACTTTAGACCCCAGTGGGAAACATTGTTTGGGAATCATAAAAATCATGGTGAAGAACAATTGCAGATATTGTACAGTGAGCGATAGGATATTTCTTGATAAAACATAATGGTTATGAACCTCTAAATATTATGTTGAGTAAAAGAAGCTGGCACAATTGAAACATAGTTTCAATTATATGAAGTTCAAGAATACATTTATCTGATGGAAATCAAGGAATCAACTGAAAAGGAATGGGATGGAACTTTCTGGGATGATGGACATGTTCTGTATCTTGTTTCGGGTGAGAGTTACAATTTATATCTGTGTATTTTAATGTATGTAAATTATACCTCAATTAAAAATGAATAAAACTGAACACTTTAGATCTGTGCACTTTAATGTATGTAAATTATACCTCAATTTAAAAATGAATAAAATTACACACACAAAGATATCTGTTAAGTACGGTGATTCTCAAATTTTTTTTTCTGTATTGATCCTCATGCAAATACATTGATTACTTCTGGCTTAAATGTGTCTTTCTTCTACCTGTTTGCCAAATGACAATTTAATTAAATAAATCTTAAAACCTATACAGCTTCACAAGTTTTGTGATTGTAATTATTTCTAACTGGTACTGGTGAACTACATTTCTTATCTAGATCTACCTCCTATGGACTAGTCGATCCTTGTTTAGACAAAGTATAATTTAAAACTCTCTAAGCCTTAGTTTTTCCATTTGTAAAATGGAGATTACACTTGCCTGAGGGTTGTTGTAGGATCAAGTGAGAAAATGTATATTATAATCCTGCTAGTCAAAGCATCATCAATGGCATCACTCAGGGGCTTGTTAGGAATGCAGAATCTTAGTCCTCGCCCTGGACCCACTATATTATTCTAACACTGCTATAAAGAAATACCTGAAGGCTGATGTGGGTGGATCACTTGAGGTCAGGAGTTTGAGACCAGCCTGGCCAACATGGGGAAACCCTGTCTCTACTAAAGATACAAAAATTAGCCAGGTGTGGTGGCACATGCCTGTGGTCCCAGCTACTTGGGAGCCTGAGGCAGGAGAATCGCTTGAACCTGGGAGGTGGAGGTTGCAGTGAGCTCATGTCATGCCACTGCACTTCAGCCTGGGTGACAGAATGAGACTCTGTCTCAAAACAAACAAACAAGCAAACAATAAAAAACAAAAACAAAAAAAACCTGAGCCTGGGTAATTTATAAAGAAAAGAAGTTTAATTGGCTTATGGTTCCACAGACTGTACATGCAGTATGGTTGGGAAGGCCTCAGGAAACTTACAACCATGGTGGAAGGCAAAGGGGAAGCAGGCTTTTTTTACATGGCAGGAGCAGGAGGAAGAGAGAGAGAGGAGAAGGAGAAGTACTACATACTTTACTACATACTTTTAAACACCAGATCTTATGAGAATTTACTTACTATCACTAGAACGGCAAGGGGGACGTCCGCCCCCATGATCCAATTACCTCACAGCAGGCCTCTCCTCCAACATTAGGGATTATAATTCGACATGAGATTTGAGTGAGGACACAGATCCAAACCATATCACCCACTGAAGCAGAATCACCATTTAACAAAATGCCCAGGTAATTTAACAAGATGCCCAGGTAAAGTTTTAGAAGTGTGATCTTAAATGCATTGTAAATTATAAATTGAGATACAAATATTAGAAATTGTCATTAATACAGTTTCTATGGTGGAAATATGGCCCAGCATTTTGCTATGTGTTTTCCATGTTGTTGTCAGGCTGCTGGCCTGAAACCAATGTGGGTAACATGCTTGTGAAATATGGCTGAGTTGTTGGTGGAGGGACTTCATGAGTCAGAATGGTAGGCTTTCCTAGGACCAGCCAACAAACTGCATTTCCAGGTAGCTTTTCAGGATGCAATTTCATAGGGTGTGAGAGTGGCCTCAGGTCTATGAGGCTATAACATTGAGTAATTTCTGCAATTCCAAAGGCGGTGAGAAATTTCTATCCTGGAATTTAATTTTCTTCCCCTGGAATCTGTTCCTAGCCAATAGCCGTAAAAGGTGCTGCCATCACCAATTCACTTGAGCCAGCAGCCTCCCAATCATCCATGATTCTCTTTGTGACTCCCATCCCTATCCCATCCATCAGCAAGTACCCTCAGTCCTATCTCTGAATTCGACCTTCAATCTTCCTACCTCCGTCCAGCTTCATGACCACCACCGCCATCATTTGGCCTACTGGCCCCTAGTGGTTTCCCACCTCCACTGCATGCTCTTTGATCATTCATTCTCTAAATGTCCGAGAAAACAGATTACATCATACTCCTGCTGAAAACTCTTCCATATGTTGCTTTTTACTTAGAATAAGACCCAGACCCCACACCTGCACCTGTAGTAGCCCATGAGGTCCTGCCTGAAATGGTTCTGGTGCATCTCTGCAGCTGCATCTTGCCCCTCCCTACCTCACTCGGCCCAAACCACATTGACCTTCAGGTTTCCAAGCGTGTCCCATGTTTCTCTGTTTTGCAGATGCTGCTTTCTTGCCTAGCTTTTTCGTCTCCCCTCCTTTGAATGCTCAGTTTGTTTTTCTCCTGCAAGTCTCAGCTAATTCCCCAGTTTCTCAGAGGTGTCTTCTGTGAGTGTTCTAGCTAAAGTAGACCCCACTGTCAATCACCATCTCAGTCCTTTGTTTTTTTCCTTCACAACACCTCATCACAAGTTGAAATTATTCTGCATATCTGACATTCCATTTTTGTTTGATCTTCCCTTGTAGAATAGCAGGGCTTATACTTGTATTGTTCACCATTGTATTCCCAGGGTCCAGCTTAGTGCCTGGCCTAGGGTAGATACTTAGCAGATACTGGTGATGACTAACTGACTAATACATGAATGAATGCATGCATGCGTGAACGAGTTCATTCCTTTGCATAGCTGGATGGCTGCTTAATTATGTAAGGCTGTTTGGAATTTACTTCCTGAAGAAGTTAAAAAAAAAAAAAAGGCCCACCTCTTGATTCTACACTCATCACCCTCATACCAGATTGCTGAATGCATTAAAAAAAGAAAGAAAAGCAGAATTCATTTTGCAGAGCTTGCTTGCTCTGTATCCCTGGTCCTCCTGTGACCTCATCCTGCTTCTGGAAAGGGTGGTTCCCTTGCAGTGGTTTTATCAGTCCCTGGTCCCTGGACCCGCACTGTTGGAAACCACAGGAAAAGCAAGCACAACATCACCTTTAATTAGCAAGAGAGGCGCCTGCCTGATACACACAGCGGCTTGGAAGCAAGAAACAGAAAAATGTAAGGCAGGACCAGGTTCGTGGAAAGAACTAGAAAATGAAAAAGAGTAATTATCCTGTTTTAACCTAATGTTGTTAATCTGTATTGCCCATTATCATTGAGAGCATCTTGCCTACTGAAGTATGCGAGCTGTGGAGCTGCTCTTTGCTCCAGCAGTGTAGCTAACAGAAGGGACTGGCTCCTCATCCATCATAATAATTAGTTTGTCATAATTTTCTGTCCTTCATGGCTCTGCAGTAAAAAGATAGAAGAGGCATTTAAAGTTACCCAGGAATTGTTCCCCAAATTTCCTCCCTGTTCTTTATGGGAACAGATAGCTGTATTTCTGCCCTATTTATTTTATGTTTGGCCTGTGATAATGAAGTATATTTCATCTGGAAGTATACAGCTTTAATTTTCATGTTCTACTTGGAAACATCTCGCTGTTTCGTTTTGTTTCAGCTCTACAGTATATAAAGAGAGCTCATGCTTCCTTCTGAACTCACCCATCACCCACCAGAGTTAATTCTAGTTTCAAGACCAACATTACGACTTCATGAGCCAACTGCATAATAACACGCACCGGATCTCCAGTCCGTTAGCATGGACAGAATGTTTTCCCTATTTTATCCCTTAATTTTCAGAACAGCCCTGGGAGGTAGACAAGGCAGGGGTTATCCACATGCCCATTTGACAGAATGAGGAGCAGAAAGGTCAACTGACTTGCTCAGGGCCATGCTGCTCAAGCAAAAAGGTGCTAGGACTTGATTCCTGGTTTGCTAATTGTACATGATGGCCTTTTCTATAACTCCAGCAACATCTGTAGCAACCGCTGCTTCTACTGGAGTTTGCTTCTGCTGAAATGCAAATGGGTCAATTTTCAGTTATTCTTTCATACTCTCATCTTTATGAACAGGATGGGCATTCTGTGGTGGAAAAAGGGAAAGGTGGCTGGTACAAAAACATGGGGTTTATGGCCCAGGGCAGAAGTTCTCAAAGTGTGGTCCCCGGACCAGCAGCATCTGCATCACCAGAGAGCGTGTTTGAGATGTAAAGTTTCAGGCTCCACTCCAGTCCTACTTACTTATCAGAACTCTGGGGTAGACTTGGCAATCTGTGCTTTAACAAGTCCACCAGGTGATTCTGATGCAGGCTAAAGCTTGAGAAGCACCCACCTAGGAAGAAGATGGGGAAACACAGAGGAGAAGAGAGAAATTACATTGTGTGCCCAGGCCACAGACTCTGGGGCCAGACTTCTGGGTTCTTATCATAGTCCTACCACCTCATCCATCCACAGAGTATTTACTGAGCATTTACTATATGCCAGGCACCATGCAGATGCTTGGAATATAGCAGTGAAAGAACCAAAGATCTCACAGACCTGCTGTTTTACTTTACACTCATTGGTTGAGTGATAGAAGGAGCAAAGTAGTCTGTCCTTTTGTTTCCTGGCCCATAAAGGGAGAATACTAACTGTGCCTAACTGTAGAGTTTTTCTAAGGTTGACACTGAAAATATCTAGTGTCTGCACACAGTGAGAGCTCTGCAAGTGCTTGCCCTCTTCCTCTTCACACACTCTCAGTTGCTGAGTACTATCAACAAGTTGATGGTGCCATCCCTTGCCACTGTTCCAAATTGTGATCACAAGCCGCAAAGAAATTCCTAGAGGCATGAGACTGACACAGACATCACTGAGATGCTTAAAGGAGGTGTTCAAATTATCCCATTTGGAAGGGTGCAGAGGCCTCTTGGACCCAGGTGATACGTACTTGATTGTGAAATATCCAAATTTTGTCATAATTTCCACGATTACTATGACAATATTGGCCCAAGTTCTCTAGGAATAAATACGTTCTTGGCACTGCTTCTGAGTCCTCCAGCCTGAAATATATACAGGGCTCAAGGATGAAGAACTTATTGGGTGGCTTCAAGTAGTATAGAGCGTATTTGAAGATGTCTCTGATTTTAACGTCTGGCTGCTTCAGGAGGGCAGAGATGCGGTGACAATATGGGCCTTTCCCACGTTCACATCAGGTGCTCATTTCTCCAGATACAAAATTGTTTATGCTGTATTCAAAGCCCAGCTCAAATCTTAGCTCATCTATAACATGGTTTCCGGTTGGATCAGCTCATGTGAAATTCTTCAGTGAGGGGTTTGGTGCTCCCTTGTACCCCCAGTGGAGCAAACACCATTTGCCAGCCACCTGGGAAGCAAATATTGCATCTGTTGTAGCATTCTGTGTTAGTTCCTTGAAACCCTTCCCACCCCAGTCTAAGACTGTGGTGGAAGCTGTATTGAGAAGACATGTAGGCAGAAGTCAAATGTGGAACTCCTAAACCACCCCAAATATAAATGTTGTATGGTGTGTTTGTTGGGTGTGTTGGCGAGAGAGAGAGGAGAGACAGTGAATGGGTGTGTGGGGATCAGAGCCAGAAGAAATAAGAAGGGAGGCAGAAGGGGGGAAGAGGAAAAAAGGAAGATGGAAGAAAAGGAGGTAGAAGGAATGGAGGGAGGGAAGAAGAAAGGGAAAGAGGAGAAAGGAGAAGGAGAAAGGCAAGAAAAGTAGGCTAGATGGAAAGGAAGGGGAGGAGGAAAAAGGAAGAAAGGGGAGGGAGAGAAGACTTGGGCCTGCAAAGCTGACTCCTAGTTCACACAGCCAACTTGCTGCCTGCAGGAGAGAAGACAGGCCTGCCTCGCCTGCTGTCTGTTGGTGGGACCCAGGTCTAGCTGAGCCCATTGTGGCATTGGTGGCTTGACATGACATGCTTCTGTGTGGAGTAAGATGCTGCAGAGGGTGCATCTTGTATGAGAACCTCTTCAACTCAGTGTCCCTGACCACTTCTATATTGTGGCCTGATGATTAAAGATCCTCTCTTGGTCCTGTTCTCTTCATTGAACCTGTGCCTCTACCATGGGGATTCACTCTACCTAGCGATTCACAAACACATCTAGATCTTTCTCTAGACTTTGGGCCTTGGAGGGTGGGGCCATGTCTTAGTCTGTCTTAGAGAAGTCAGATTGAGTTGCTTTACATTTAGTAGGATCATGTTTCTAAAATGTAGTAGAATTATTTACTGAGAATAGTGTCCTATTTCTTGTGGAAAAATAGACCCATTGGGGTGCAATTTTTCTAGTATGTACTGCTGATTATAAGGGACAAATGATTCTTCCTTTTAGTCTCTTCTTAATAACAAAACATTACTGAGCTAAAATTTATTGGAGATTTTGTTTTGTTTTTTCTCCCTCACTCCCCTCCCCTGACCCATCTAACAAGAATATAATGCTCTGGAAGAATACCTCATATTTCAGATCTAAATTTAAAGAAGTCAGACTCAATTGCTCAGTTAATTAAATTTGCAGTAGTCTCTTTGGAGATATTTATGGACTTGTTTTTACACTTTTGCATTTTCCTTTTCTTCCAGTTGAGTAGTAGCAAATACAATGTGACAGCCACATTACTGTACATGTCAGTTATTTACAGACTAAAGTGATGGATTTCCTGATAATCATTTAATAAAATAATTTTCGGGGGATGCAGGCTCCCAGACCCCTTTGTTCATATGTTGCATTAAATGGGGTATCACATGATACCCCAGAGAGAACCACAGCCCATCTGACTCTGACATATGCACTATTTGAAATTTGGGGGCTTCCTTTATGGCTAAAAGCCAAATATTTGGACATGTGGTCTACTATGCAAACATCTTAAAAGTAGAAGCCACAGAATAAGATGAAGTCATCAACACTTCCATTGCCTGAAAACCAAAGGATATATAGATTCCTAGTACCAGGACAAGGTTTTGTTCAGTTGTAAATACCCATGCCACTTTCTGCAATAATGATACTGAACATTTTTTATCAAACAATTTTTATCAAATAAAAAATTAAAGCCTATTTTTTTACATCCATAGCTTCCAATATCTCTGTGACATGTGCCAGAAACTTTGTGAAACTATTTAGATGTCTTCTCTTATAGTACCCTCGCAATACCTTATGAGATAGGTTGTTATCTCCATTTTATAAATGAAGAAACTGAGGCTCAGAAAGAGAAAATGATACCCCCAGGTCATATAGGTGGCAAATGCCAGAGCCTGGTCTCAAGTCTAGTCCTTTTGATTACTAAACCCATAGGATTTTTACTACCCCATTTTTATTTTATACACACACACACACACACACACACACACACACACACACACACAAATAAAATGTGAAATGAAAAAGCCCCAAATAGTGGTGGAAATAGTAGATAATTAAAAGCAATGCATAATTCATAGATTAGAGTTTTATATTGATAAATACGTAAAATAATATACTTTCATACTTGGCTTCTCTGTAAAGATATTTAATATTATACGTGTCACAGAACATTCAAGAAAAAATTTAAAAACAAAGACAGAACATGCCCTATTAGGTATCAAAACACGTTTTAGAGTAGTAGCAGTCAGAAAAGTGTGGCATTGACAGATAGAACAAGACAGAGAGCCTGAAATAAACTCAAAAATGAAAATTTTTTGTATGAGAAAGTTGGCACTTAAAAGTGAATGGGGAAGAGATGGTCTGATTATTCAGCAAATGGCGCTGGGATGCTGGCTATCTACTTGGGGGAAAAAAGGTCTCTATCTCACATTATTTATGAAAATACTGGATTAAAAGTCTAAATATTTTTAAAAATATGCATTGGAATTCATAAGGTCTAGGTGACATATGAGCATTCCTATGAGAAAGACTCAGAGTTGAGTTGTAAAGTAGAAAATGCATTTTCCCATACTTGAGACATAACTGTTACTCTTCAGACATGACCATGTTAATACCTATGCTTCATATCAAAAAGGGTGCTGCTGACTGCACACGAAATGTGGTATATTAGCACATATACCACTTGTTTAACTGGTCCCCATGGTAATCAGAGGCTTGTACTTTGGGCAGGGCTAGCTGGGACTTGGGGAGCAAGACCTTGCTGTGGACTCCCCACCCACCCTATGCAAGAGGAGGCTAGGTTGCCCTGCTTTGTGTTCCCATGGCCGCTGGGATTTCCTGACTCATGTTATTTTGGTTGGCTGTTCTCTCTGTTCTGCTAGATTGTGAATTTCAAAAGAATGGGCTGGGTGTGGTGGCTCACTTGAGACCAGGAGTTCGACGTCAGCCTGGCCAATATGGCGAAACACTGTCTCTACTAAAAATACAAAAATTAGCTGGGCATGGTGGTGCACGCCTGTAATCCCAGCTACTCGGGAAGCTGAGGGAGGAGAATTGCTTGGACCCAGGAGGTGGAGATGGCAGTGAGCTGAGATCACGCCAGTGCACTCTGGCCTGGGTGACAGAGTATGACTCTGTCTCAAAAAAAAGAAAAAGATTAGAGGCCCTGTCTGCTTTGCTCACTGATGCATGGCCTGTCCCTTGGTCAAAAGTACTTCATGGAATGTACAGATAAGCATGTTTTGGACCTCTTGGACAGGGCTCACAAAGGGGTTTATAGGGAAAAAGGTGAACATGTTTAACAGGGAGATTGGCATGTCCACAGGAGACTTCTGGGCTGGATGGGAAATGTGTGTGCTTGTGGCTTCTGAGGCAGTCCAGATTAGTCAGGAGAAAGCATGATTTGGCATTTAAAGTGAATAGGGAAGAGATGGGCCTGGAATGTGCCATTCCAGGTGATGAGGGTGACCTAGATGTGAGTGTGTAGGGAGCTGAAGGCCCGTGGGACGTGACCAGCTCGTCATTCTGCTGGAGGCTATATAATCAAACAGCAAACTGTTTACCATGAATGCAGGATATGGGCAAATTCACACTGCACCTGCCACCAAAAGTTTTGCTGAGGGCCAACACTCCCTGGTGCCAGGCTCCTTGAAGTTATCTACTGAGAAATCTAGCGCCTATTGTTCAAAGGATGCAGTCTCAAGCCTGCCGTGAACCAAAGGGCCGACTGAAAATTACCCAACAACCACCACCCCCTTTTCTCGTTATCTCTTCTACCAATAAATACGGAGGGCTGTGTAAAGCTCAGGGCCCTTGTCCACTAGAGGCAAGTTGCCCCCGACCCCTTCTTCTAAATATACCCTTTTGTCTCTTGTCTTTTATTATCATGTTCGTCCCCCTTTGTTCAGTCCACCAGGGTCTGTGGCTGGCTACAGAGTGGACCTTGAAATCACACAATAGCTACCCTTTCTGAATCCTTACAGCATGCCAGGCGGTGTGCCCAGCACTTAATGTACATTCTTCCATCTACTCTCTACCATGATCTTAAGGGATGGATGCTATTATCATGACTTTTCAAATGAGGAAACTGAGGCTCAGAGAGAAGGTAAGTCCCTTTCCCAAGGTCGCTCAGCTAGTAAGTGACAGACTTGGAAGTCAAAACCAAAGCCATTCAAACTGACTCCTAACTGCCATGCAGCAGACTGGATTGAGTTCAGCAAAAAGGGTACTGTGTGATGATAAGAAACTCTTGCATTCCCAGCTCAATATGGTGCCTCTCAGTTCTTTCCTACACACTTCATTAGGACAGCCACTGGGCGTGGTGGTGGGCGCCTGTAATCCCAACTACTTGGGAGGCCGAGGCAGGAGAATTGCTTGAACGCGAGAAGCAGAGGCTGCAGTGAGCCGAGATTGCACCATTGCACTCCAGCCTGGGCAACAAGTGCAAAACTCCATCTCAAAAAAAAAAAAAAAAAAAAAAAAAACAAAGAAAAAAAAAGAAAAGAAAGAAAGGAAGGAAAGGAAGGAAGGAAGAAAGAAAGAAAAAGGCAGCAAGCTCCTAACACCCACCAAGAGCTAACTTTGTCCTCATAGAATGCTTAAGCAGCCCTGCAGCCACCAGCTCGGCCTTTTGCACAAGGCCGAACTTTAGACTTATAGCTACAAATTAGTAGTGGCTGATAACCAACTAGATCACTGCAATTGGTAATCTACAATTTTATTTTGCAATGACTGATTGCCTCATTCTATAAGAAGTTAGTGCTATTAACTTGTGCAATAATGACTTAGCTTCTGTAAATAGTTCTGTGTTTCCTAAATGAATTACAGGCATGGGCCCAAATATTCCTGTGTTAGGAAAGAGTGGAAAATTCATGAAAAAATACCCAAACTGATGAAAGTGGAACAGTTTCTCTTACTTAAACTTGTTCATTTTCACCATTACTTATGATGAATGAGCAAAAGGTAAAAAGCAAACAAAACAAAACAGCAACAAAAAAATACTTTTCCTTAAATGTTACTATTTGATCAATGATTCAAAGATAAAAGGTTCAAGTTCCTAATTGGAGAAAGTTGTAGAGAATCACTCAGGTACCTGAAGAATGAAAACAAACACTTAAATTAGCTTTCTGCGGCCTGTGGATATCTTAATCCTTGAAAATCAAAATTAACTAGGCTAATTTTAAGAAAGAATAGCAGTGATGCAAGTGTTTCAGACTCACACAAATGATTTTATATAGGAATATAATTTACACGTAGTCACTAAATTCCAAGACATGACCACTCTTGAAGGAAAATAAAATTGATAAAATAGGTGCATTTGGTTATGTTACCCACACTCAGATGAAATATCATTGACCTACTAAATAAATAAAAATAATAGTGACATAAAGTTCACCACAAAGTATTTTGGCACAGTTCCGTCTCTCACATACACAGCTATTTCAGTTCTCTCAAGATAAAGCTGGTTGCCACTCCATGACCTCTTTTCAGAGGACGGTCCTTTCAGCAAGGGAATTTGAGGACTGAAGGTATTAGAGTCCCTCCCTTGCTCAAGAACCGGTCTCACTTAAGGAGGGAGGAAGAAGCTTTTCCTTGAGAAGGTTTGGAGATCCTGGTATAGATTGTGAAACGAGGGGCTGGGAAAGGAGAACCCCAGCCTCGGGAGCCTTCTCGGGTCAGTCTTGATAGTGCCTTGAAAATCTAGAAATGGATTCCTTTAAGCTCTTCCTGTTCTCCAAGTCTCGGGAAACTCCTGTGTACCCAACCTGGGGGTGGCCTGTTCTGGTTTGCAGTTACTCTTGTCGAGGCATGGGGTTGTGTGAGGACTGTCTCTTAGAAGATCTTACAGGGAGTAATTCATGGATAAGGGAAGGCTGAGTATCTCTGTCAATGTGGCTTAGCCCAGTTAATATATTTTGTGTGTTTATGGAGTCAGATAACTCTTTAGCCAAATCCTGGCTCTTGGTGGTATGTGAGTATGAGAAAAATTATTCAACCTCTCTGAATCTTAGTCCCCTCATCTGTTAAAGGGGGAAGATATCAGGACCTTCCCCATGGCACTAGCATGAGGATCAAATGAGATAATGTGCATGCATATTTGCATTTAAGTTTCAAGCAGTCAGCTGGTGGCTTAGGAATTGGCATGGTGATGCAGGACTCCATTCAAGTTAGTGGCAAATGGTCAACACATGTGACCCCAGAATCTTTTACTAAGAAATTCAGCTTTCCCTGTAAGGTATGTGACTGCAGGGAAGACGCTCAGAGATTCAGCTCACTCACCTTTGGAGTGTGGGACACACTTTGGATTGTAACTAGTTCAAGACTTTTAGGTTTCCTAATGGAAGACATCTGAGCATAAACTAGTCAAAGGGCATGAAGGGATTTCTGTGAAATACACCCCTCACCACAATCTATTCTCAGTTATATCCTAAATGATGAGAATGACTAGCCACTATGTAAATGAATAGTGATATTCAAAATTAAATAATTTCACGGTACTAAAAAGTTGATCATAAATAAATTAAATAGTCATGTGGCTCATATAGTCTCCTCTCAAATATCATACAGCATCAGTCTTCATATATATTGATAAGCACAAGATATCCATAAAATCATAGGCTCTGGAGCCTTCCAGAGAGATTCTCATAGATAGAATCATTCATTGTAGCTGACATTAGTAAGTCAATTCAACTTAGATAGCTCACAGCTGTCCAGGCTGTTGTATTTACTGAGCCATGGACTACCTTGTTTTCAAGCATGCTTGAGAAAATTACTTGTAAGACTGTTTCTCTTCTGGGCACACTCAAGTGTTTTAGAATGAACTCCATAACTGCAGATTCAACATTGGATCAGGCTCGGTGTAATAATAATATCAAAAATTATTGCTTTAATAATGTCTTGAAGTTGCCTGGAATCCCATGACTTGCCTTCTCTTAGTAATTCAGCCAGATAAGGTATCAGTGAGTGTTTGTGTGTGCAAAGAGCAAGGTACTTTAAGAAACAACAAGAATCTCAAGATCAAGGTGAAAGGATCTTCTCAACATGCTCTAAAAGAGTCATCTTCTTTGGAGGGTGGGCACTGCCCTTCCTGAGAACCTCATGCCTTTATTTTATTTTATTTTATTTTATTTATTTTTTTGAAACAGAGTTTCACTCTTGTTGCCCAGGCTGGAGTGCAATGGTGCGATCTTGGCTTACTGCAACCTCTGCCTCCTGGGTTCAAGTGATTGTCCTGCCTCAGCCTCCTGAGTAGCTGGAATTACAGGTGTGCACCACCACACCTGGCTAATTTTTGTATTTTTAGTAGAGATGGAGTTTCACCATGTTGGCCAGGCTCGTCTCGAACTCCTGACCTCAGGTGACCCACCTGCCTCAGCCTCCCAAAGTGCTGGGATTACAGGTGTGAGACACCACACCTGGCCCTCATGCCTTCTTTACAGTGAGAAAACAGGGCTCCAGGGCCAAGAAAGTTTCCTTGGCAGGTGGTTTGGTTCCTTTCCTGGGATCTTTCAGTTATTCTTCTCCATTGCTGAGTTTATGCAAACTTTTAAGGAGATTCTCTCCTTCATGCTCCTCTCCTTTTTACGTATGTTGAAATATTATGAAAAGTGTAAAGTGCAATGTAAATGTAAGGGCTTCCCATACCATGTGTGTGCCTGACATGGTGCCAGGTACTGCTGGGAGCATAAAAGCATCATGCGATGTGGAAAGCATGCTAGATACCCTTTGTCAAATGCAGTGTTTCCAAAAGTGGGAATACCCACCACCGGTGATGTCTGAGATGATGCTAGGTGGTACACAAAGAAACATTTTTATTATAATAGTTACAATTTATGTTTCGATAGGTATGTGGGCATTTATTATCATGTGTGATAGGAAAAAATATAATTAGTATAACAATAATATTAAAGGTATTATTATGTAGGACAGGGTAAGTAAAATAAATTGATTTATTTGAAACTGAGAAAAAAACTAATAGTACAGGGGCTACATGGATAGGGTAAAGTCTGGAAAATATTGAGGCCCAGCAAAGAGGATGGGTCTATCTCACCCAAGATCAGATAGTGAGCAAGAGGCAGCGATGAAGACTGCTATGTCTTCCAATTCCCAGGAGCTTCCAGGCCATTCGAATGTAGTAGGGACTACTTCCTTTTCTTACTGGTCATGTCCTCAGTCCAGATTTGAGTTCACTATGAAGAAGGTATAATACTTTTCTGTGTGTATCAGCTGAAGAATTTAACCTGAACAGTGAAGTGTTAAAATCTGCAACAGTGCATTTCAAACACAGGTATTGAACATATTACTGTCAACAGCTTATAAAAGATGAGCTGAAACCTTAAAAACTGGCTGAAACCTGGCTCTTTGCAAAACCTCAGCAGTTGGACATAACTAGCGCAAGGAGGCAGCAGCCAAGTCAGTTCAGCATGTGGTGCACCTCCCAACCTGCAGCCTCCTTCCCAGACATGTCAGGCCAGAATCACCACCATTCCCAATTCCCATTCACTTAAACATCAATGAGGAAGACTGAAACCAGGAAGGTTTCGATAAGAGACGGAAAAAGACCTAATCTCTGTCCATACCTCATTTGTAATAATGATGACTATTCATTTGGCACTGTGTCTATGTAATATCTGAGCCTCATATCACTGCAGGCCAGCATGCTTATCCCCATTTTGCACATGAAGTAACAGAAGTCCCAGGCAAATTAACTTGCCCAAATGGAAAAGTTGGGTCTCAATTCCAGGCTTGTCTGAGTATAAAGTCACAAGACTCATACTTAATATTGTGTCATACATGGATAACGGAAAGACATATGAAGTGATATTGAATAATATGACACATGAAATTCAATGCTAGCCTACATAGTAGAGACTTTTGGCACTGAAATAGTTGAGAGTAAGAGAAATCACTGTTTTATTCATTTATCTAGCCAAACTCATTTTGTATTCCCTACCACGTTCTAGGCACTTGTTACTGATATGAAGCAGAGGTTAGCAAACGATAGCCCATGGGCAAAGTTCAGCCTACTGTCTGTTTTTCTAAATAAAGCTTTATTAGAACACAGTCACATCTATTTGTGTGTGTATTGTCTGTGGCTTTTTTTGTGCTACAACGGCAGAGTTGAATAGTTGTGGCAGAGACCTTTAGCCCCGGAAAAAACTAAAATATTTACTTTTTGGCGCTTTATAGAAAAAGTTTGCTGACCCTTGATCAAAGCGTCCCAGACTTTGTATAAGAGGTGAGACTTGATTAAGAAAGGAAGATTAACGTTCTGAGAAGGGGTCACAAACTCTGAATTCTAATTTGGTCCCATTGCTCAGTCTTCACATGACCTAGAGAAAATAGCAGCACCTTTGAGCTTCATTGTTCTAATTTATAAAATGGGGATAGCATGGCCTGTTAAAGTGCCTCCTCTGTTTCCGTGGGTTAAATGACACAGCATGTGCTAAATAATGATTAATAGTTACATTTTATTGCCTACTTATTGATGAGGTATTTTTCTAAGCCATTTTCATACAATTTCTTATTCAAACCTCAATGTAATCCAATGAAAGGTTTGCTTGGAATAAAGGATTTACTTATTAAAAATTATTCACATGCTTTATTCTTTTGTCTTCCTGGGGATATGATCTTTGTTCTTCTTGGTCCAAGGTTTGATACCTGGAGCAGAGGGCAGGAATGGGGAGGAAGATTAGGATTTGTTAAGGAAGGAAGTCAGAGACAAAGGAGATACTCCTTAGTTTCTGAGATGCAAAGGCCGATTAGACATCAGACAACTTGCAAATTGGAGAATATTCTTGGAATAAGGTTTAAAATTGGTATTGCCTCTTTCAGAGTATCAGTAGCAGGGGCAAGGGGGCAAGTGTGTGGACCCAGTTTATAGTTGCCCCAAGTTGTGGAGCATAGATCACTTCTGCTCACACAGCTAGGCTAGCTTTAAGGTTTCAGGGTGTACAGGAAATAAATGGTAGGAAGTGAAAGGAGTGAGCGAGGAGGGAGAACAAGAAGAAGAGATGTGGTCTGGCTTTCTCCAATGCTTTGAGTAGGGGTGGAGGCAGTTATACGTGAGGGTTTAATGGAGGGAACGGGGCTTATTGCCTCATCCATTTAAGAACTTGGACAAGCATCTCATCTTGGGCTGCCTCAGCATTCACCTGGGGTAAGTTGTACAGGTGGTTCACAGAACAACTTTGCAGGCTGTAGCTTTCTCAGTCCCAGTGTGCACCTGCCATGGGGCTCTCTGTCACATGGTATAGAAGGAAGACCCTGCAGAAGTTTAGATCTGTAGCCAGCAGGAGCGAGGAGAGGTAGAGACAGCTGGGGAGCAGCCATGGGCTTGGTCCAAGCCGAGACAGAGCCAGGCTCCAACTGTGAGTGCCAGCATGGCCACAGTGATCAGGGGACCAGGAACTTGTCCCTGGAGACGAGAGAACTCCCAAACCCAAAACCCTGAGCTCCCCATCAGCCTGATGTCATAAAAGACTCCCCCACTTTCTCACCAAGACACCTGGCTTCCTGTTAGACGAGGAATACAGGGAGGGGAGCCTCTGAGAGTCTATGCATTTTTATGAAGAGAGACCGAACTAAAGAGGGTGTGTAATTTTTAGATTATATTCAGTTTTAAGCAGGATTATATATTTAATTTTCTCTCCTCATTTCTCCTGCCCCTGCCACACTTCTATTAGTGGTAAATGGAGGTGAGGAAGTCAGATTAATTTTAGTCAAAACTGTTTACAAATACAGCTGGCAGCCAACCCTTCATATCCCTGAGTTCTCCATGTGTAGATTCAACCAATCACAGATAAAAAAATTCAGAAAAAAATGGAAGGTTGCATCTGTACTGAACAAGCACAGACTTTTTATCCTTGTTGTTATTCCCTAAAAATACAGTATCACAACTATTTACATAGCACTTACATTGTGTTAGGGATTATAAGTAATCTAGAGATGATTTAAAGTATGCAGGAGGATGTGTGTAGGTTACATGCAAATACTATGCCATTATATATCAGAGACTTGAGCATTCATGGATTTTGGTACCCACGATATCAGGGGTCTTGGAACAAATTCCCCCATGGATACTGAAGGACAACTGCGTGTGTGTGTGTGTGTGTGTGTGTGTGTGTGTGTGTGTGTGTGTGTGTACTGAAAGTCAATTATTGAAAACAGACTGGCTACTTCCTTACTTCCCTATAGATGATCTGAACTGCAGCCCACTCAAGGGTCCCAAGGCAAGAAGGGGACTGTCCTTCAGAGATGTGCATTATTGCCCTGTTTGTGTTTGAGTGTCACATTAAAGAAAAGGTTGAAAGCAGTGTTGGGACTGGAAGGGCCCTAGATCTGCAGGAGAGTTTGCCGGGAGTTTTCTCTCCTGGTTTGCAGTTGCTCAGAACTGGTACTGAGGCAAGAGCAGGTAGTAATTAGATAGCAGGGTGGGGAGGGCAAGGGTGACAACTCGGAGTCACTTGGAGAGATAGGAGGAGGGGTGGTCCTTTTCCCTCCCTACCAAAAGATCAGAGCTACCCTTTGAAACCCTGACTGTGGTCTAGCTAGCTGGCAAATACTCCCTCCCGCATGCCAGAAAGAAAACAAACACTGAGCCCTTGGAACACCATCTGCCGAGCGTCTCCTGGTACATGCTGGCTGCCTGATTTTGAGGGATTCAGAAGTTATTTATGTTTCAAGCTTGAACAGCAATCTCTAAACACTGTCTTCCCTACCAGGAAACCATTTCCCCTTTTCCATGAGAGGTCTATGAGCTCTCTGATCACTTCAGTGGGAAGAAGCTGTCAAGACAGTTTATCTGGAGCTTCTACTTTGGGGAGAAAAAAACTATTTTTTTAAAAAAAGTGGACAGAGTTGTGAAGTGTATCTAATAAGGCCTGGCTTTGGCACCTGGACACATAGCATTCACCCCAAATCTCTTCTAGCAGGTAGGCAGGTTTCTGAGTTACAATGTATAGTGCCGAAAGGTGGCTAAGTCTGGAGTGAAAGCCAAGCACACCCAGAGCCTCCACCTGCCAGAGCAGTCACGAAGAAGCACCAAGCACGAGTGGGATTTTGTCCAAGGAGAACATTTGTTCTGTGGATGTTCATTTGTTTGTGTCAGTCTTATTGTGACTTTTTATTTAGTTTTTATTTCTGTTGAATAACCAACTTTTTAGAAAAGAACTTACTTATTTTTAATTAACAATTATTTTTAATTAAAAATTGCATATGTCATGGTGTTCAACATGATGATTTGGTATATGTACGCATTGTGTAATGGTTAAATCAAGCTATTTAACATATACATTACCTTACATAATTATCTTTTTTTGTTGTTGCAGCATGGACACTTAAAATCTACTTTCTTAGCAATTTTCAAATATACAATTATATGGTTATTCACTGTAGTCACCATAATGTACACTAGATCTCTTGAACTTATTCTTCCTCACTAAAATGTGTGTCTTTTCACTGACATCTCCCTAATCCCCTCACCCCCTGGCCTCTTATGACCACCATTTTGCTCTCTGTTTCTATGAGTTTGACTTTTTTACATTTCACATACAAATGAGATCATGTGGTATTTGATTTTCTGTGCAAAGGAATGGGTTTGTGGATAACATTTCCCCCTGTTGTTTTTTGTTTCCATGTACTGCCCATATTTTCATATTTTCTATAATGAGTATACATTTCTTTACTTCTCAGAAAAAAAAAATCTTTAACAAATAGGAATAAAAACTTCACTTGTATCAGCTACTGACCTCCCATGCCCTCAGATTATATTGAGGGTTGGGGAGATGTGAGAGAATCATGATGATGAGGAGGAGAACCCAGGCCTTCTTTTCAGGCTTAATACCTGCCTCACTGCCCCCCGCCCTCTGCCACCAATTAATGAAGAAATCTACAAACTACTCTGCGTCAGAAACTATGGTGAGTTTAGATACTGTTTGGGAATTATTGTGTAATTTTCATGGGGGTATAATATGTTGAGGATATACAGGAGAAAGTCCGTATTTGTAGAAAATATAGGTGGTGATGTTGAAGGATGAAGTGTCATAATGTCTGCTGCTTAATTTAAAATGGTCAGATAAAAGGGCAAATGTGAAGCAAATAACGCAAAATGCTAACAGTTGTTGAGTTTAGTGATTGCTATATGTGTATTCCTTGTACCCTTCTTTTAACTTTTCTATTCATTTCAAAAAGTACATATTACAAAATTGGAAACAAAAGCAATCACTCCTATCAGTCTCCCCTTTCTTTCAGCATTTTCTATTTTTTTTATTTTTGTTTTGTTCCTTTCTTACCTTGTTCTCACCTGCCTGAACCAGCATCCAGGCGTGGCTGGTGGGGAAGCCTGTTCATGGTGGGGATGAGAAAAGGACATCATTCAGGAAACTCATCAATGTCATCCTTCCTGCCATTTGACACCCAGCACTCCTTTCCTCTGACACCTGTGTGTTTGTACAAGACTATTCATTGCACTGTTGTTTATAACACGTTTAAATTGGAAGTAGCCTTCATTTCCATCATAAGGAGAGTGGTTAAATAGTTTAAAGTACTTCTATACAATGAAGTACCATGTAAGCTAAGGCAAGTTTGTGTGTGTTTTTGTTATTTTATTATTTAGGTAGTTCAGAAAATAGCAAAAGGGAAAGCAAAAACAAATCACTCAATTTCCCACCCTTAAAAACAACTAACCAGACACAGATAGACATCCTACTATGAATGTGGGTACTTTAAATGACATCCCAAAAGAGAATATCCATCCACATGGCTACTGAACATATAGAAAGATACTCAGTCTAATTGGTAATCCAGGAAATGAAAATGGAAGCTGTAGTGAGGTACATCTATGCACCAACCAGACTGGCTGAAATAAGAGTCTCATGCTATAAGGTGTTAGGGAGGATGTGGAACAACTGGAATGCATAAACACTGCAATTGGGAGTGTTAGTACAGCCACCTTGGAAAAACAATTGGGCATTATATAATAAAGTTAGAGATACACGTACTCTATGAATATTTCCTGAAAATATTCTCTATTGAAATTCATGCACATATACAGCAAAATACATATGAGAATATTTATAAGTGCATATTTGTAATAAAACTGCCAATAGTTCAAATACCTATAAATGGTGGGAATTTATAAATAAGTTATTAGGTAGTTTTACAATAGAATATTATACTGAAAGAAAATGAACAAATTATAGCTATAAGAAACAATTTGAATTAATCTTAACAAACATAATGTTAAGCAAAATGAGCATGAAAAAGAATTCATACAATCTGATTCAATTTATATGTGGTCCAAAAAGCAGGTAAAATAAGATGATATTGTTTAGGTTTGCTTGCATGGAAGGTTAAATCATAAACAAAATCAAGGAAATAATGACCTTGAAAATTTGCATGGTCGTTAACTCAGTAGGGAGAGAGAAGATTGTGATTGCTGCAGCTACACTGGGCCTCTAGGATGCTGGCAATATGCTATATCTTCTCCTGGGCAGTGGTAATATATGAGTTCATTTTGTTGCTAAATATATACATATTACATACATTCTCTCTCTGTCTCTGTCTCTGTCTCTGTCTCTTTATATGCACACACTCACACACGTATAACTCCTCTATACGTCTCTGTGATTATTACAATAAAAAAGTTAGAATTGATACATAGAATGTAATTCTATTTTATCCTATCATTTCTAGATGGTTTTTTCCTATCTTTATATAATTATAGAGATGTTAATATCTTTTCATGTGCTTATGGTTATTCCATATACCTTCTTCTTGAGGTGTCCTCCTTAAAGTGTTAAAATATTTTATTCTTTTTTTCATTTTTTTCTTACCATTGAGTTGTAAAGGAAGATATTTTATATGTTCAGAATACCAGTTCCTTGTCAAATGTATATGTATTGCAGGTATTTTCTCCCAGTCTGTGACTTACTTTCTCAATTTTTAAATCTTGACTTTAGAAGAGCAGAAGTTTTTAATCTGATAAAGTATAATTTACTAGTTTTATTGTTTTATGCTCTTTTATATCCTTAAAAAAGTCTTTACATACTGCACATTTGTGAAGATTTCCTCCTACGCTTCCTTCTGGAAGTTTTATTGCTTTAGTCTTTAGGGTTCGGCCTATGATCTAATTTGGGTAATCTTTGCATGTAGTGTGAGTTACTGATGAAGTTTTATTTTTCCCATGCTAATACCCAGTTGTTCTAGCACTATTTGTTGAAAAGTCTATCATTTTATCATTAAATTACCTCTTTACTTTTGTTAAAAATAAATTGACCAAATATGTGTGGATCTATTTCTGGATTCTCTATTCTGTTTCATTTATTTACATGTCTATCCTTATGCCAATACTAAACTCCTTTGGTTACTGGCTCCATAATAAGACTAAATCAGATAGTATAATTCCTCCAATGGTGTTCCTTTTTAGGAAAATTTTTTGATTACCCTAGATATTCTGCATTTTTGTATAAATTTTGGAATGAGACTGTCAATCTCTACAAAAATATACTGTGATTTTGAATATATTAACCTATAGCTTAATTTGGGGAGAGCTGACATCTCAACACTATCAGTTTTTCTAATCCACAAGCATGGTATATCCCTCCATTTAAGTCTTTACTTTTTCTAAGCAATATTTTGTAGTTTTCTGTTTACAAGTCTTGCGCATATTTTGTTAAATTTATTCCTAAGCACTTTATGATTTTAACCTTTTATTATAAATAATACTGTTTTTAAATTTTAAATTTCCAGTAGTTAATTTCTACTATTTAGAAATGAATTGATTTTTTGTGTATTGAGTTTGTATTCAGCAACCTTGCTGGACTAACCAGCCAGGAAGCAGAAACCACATCAGTCATCTGAACAGAACATTTTAATAAAGTTTAAAATATATATTTAATAAAGTATTATTAAATAGTGAAAGGGATTAGCTACTATAAGGAGTGAGAGAGAACTCTAAGCAATCCAGGAAGGGCAAATATGGGGATTCGCAACTACCACAAGGACTAAGGCAGAGTATCCAAAAGTAGAAATAAGAACTCAGAAGAGTCTTAGTCCTTTTGTGCTGCTGTAACAAAATATCACAGACTGAGTAATTATAAACAACAGAAATTTATTTCCTCACAGTTCTGGAGGCTGGGAGGTCCAAGATCAGGGCATTGGCAGGTTCAGTTGTCTGATGAGGGCTGCTCTGTTCTTCCAAGAGGGTGCCTTGTTGCGGCAACCTCAGTGGTGGAAGACTTGAAGGGATGCTGTGTCTTCACATGGCACAAGGCAAAAGGGCAAGAAAGCCAAACAAACACAAATCACATTCATCCAGAAGGAATCCTTATGACCTAATCACTTTGTAAAGGCCCTAAGCTCTTAATACTATCACATTGGCCATTAAGTTTCAATACCTAAATTTTGGAGGGTGCCTTTCAAACCACAGCAGGGCTGTACCCCAACCTGGTTGAAACTTGCTTGGAGGGGGTGTTTCTGCAAGTCCAGTGGGTGATGGACATGTATGCTGAGCTGTTGATGGACTGGAGCTGGGCCATAGAAAGTCACCTGCTGGGGTGCAAGAGAAACTTCCTGGAGAGTGTCTGCCACTGGGTCTCCTGCATGCTGCTAGAGCCATACTTTATGGGGGAAAAACAGCTAGGAAGAGAAACCCTTTCCTCTTCTATGGCTTGCAAGGTCTCTCCAGCTCTCTCTACTGACAAAGACTGACATTGTAGAAGCTGACAAAGAACAAGCGTTTACAGGATTCAGCTCCATTATCCCCATGTAGGGTAGAGAGGTGGATTTGGAGCTTGGAGTTAATGCATTGATAAGTAGCACGTTTGCTAAACATACTTATACTTCTTCTAGTAGCTTGGTCCTTTCCTTGGTAGTTTTTTCAGTAGTTTCTTGGCTGTTTTTTCATGTCGTCTCTTAATAAAATAATTTTACTCCCATCTTTCTGATATGGGTGCCCTTCACTTGTTTTTTCTTTCCTTAATGCATTGGATATGACCTCTAAGAGATTATTTTTTAAAGTAGGGAGAACAAACATCCTAGCCTTGCCCCGATCTTAGGGGTAAAGCATTCAAACTTTTACCATTAAGTATGAGGTAAGCGACAGGGTTTTGGAGTTTTTTTGGTAACATGCTCTTTATCAGGTTGGGATGTTTCCTTTCGTTCATAGTGTGGTAAAAGTCTTTATCATGAATGAGTACTGAATTTTGTCAAATGTTTTTCATGCATCTGTTGACATCATTATATGGTTTACTTCTTTTGTCTGTTCATATGATGAACTACATCAATAGCTTTTCCAATATTGAGACAACTTTTCATTTCTGGGATAAATTCTGCTTGATCTGAAGTTTTATTATTTTATGTATTATTGCGTTTTTATTGTCAAATATTATTTTAAAGATTTTTATGTCTATATTCATGAAAAATATTGGTATGTAGTTTTCTTTTTTTTAAATTGTTTCTATTTTTCCTTAGGTTATTGGGGTACAGGTTGTGTTTGGTTACATAAGCAAGTTTGTTAGTGGTGATTTGTGAGATTTTGGTGCACCACCCATCACCCAAGCAGTATACACTGGACCCTATTTGTAGTCTTTTATGCCTTAGCCCCCTCCCATCCTTCCCCCAAGTCCCAAAAGTCCATTGTATCATTCTAATGCCTTTGGATCTTCATAGCTTAGTTCCCACAAATCAGTGAGAACATACAATGTTTGGTTTTCCATTCCAGAGTTACTTCACTTAGAATAATAGTCTCTAATCTCATACAGGTTGCTGTGAATGCCGTTAATTCATTCCTTCTTATGACTGAGTAGTCCATTGTATATATATACCACAGTTTCTTTATCCATCATTGATTGATGGGCACTTGGGTTGGTTCCACGATTTTGCAATTGTGAATTGTGCTGCTATAAATGTGTGTGTCCCGGTATCTTTTTTGTATAATGACTTCTTTTCCTCTGGGTAGATACCCAGTAGTGGGATTGCTGGACCAAATGGTAGTCCTACTTTTAGTTCTTTAAGAAATCTTCACGCTGTTTTCCATAGCGGTTGTAGTAGTTTACATTCCCACCAGCAGTGTAGAAGTGTTCCCTGATTACTGCATCCATGCCAACATCTACTGTTTTTCTTTTCTTTTCTTTTCTTTTTTTTTTTTTTTGAGACAGAGTCTTGCTCTGTCACCTAGGCTGGAGTGCAGTGGCACAATCTTGGCTCACTGCAATGTCTGCTTCCTGGGTTCAAGTGATTCTTCTGTTTCAGCCTCCCTAGCAGCTGGGATTACAGGCACCCACCACCATGCCTGGCTAATTTTGTATTTTTATTTTTAGTGGAGATGGGGTTTTGCCATGTCGGCCAGGCTGGTTTTGAACTCTTGATCTCAAGTTATCCACCCCCCTTGGCCTCCCAAAGTGCTGGGGTTACAGGCGTGAGCCCCTGTACCCGGCCCATCTATTGTTTTTTTATTATTTGATCGTGGCCATTCTTGCGGGAGTAAGGTGGTATTGCATTGTGGTTTTGATTTGCAATTCCCTGATGTTGAGCATTTTTTTCATATGTTTTTTGGCCATTTGTATATCTTCTTTTGTCTATTCATGGCCTTAGCCCACTTTTTGATGGGCTTGTTTGTTTTTTTTCTTGCTGATTTGTTTGAATTCGTTGTAGATTCTGGTTATTAGTCCTTTGTCAGATGCATAGAATATTTTCTCCCACTCTGTGGGTTGTCTGTTTACTCTGCTGATGTTCCTTTTGCTGTGCAGAAGTTCTTTAGTTTAATTAAGTCCGAAATATTTATCTTTGTTTTTATTGCATTAGCTTTTGGGTTCTTGGTCAAGGAATCCTTGCCTAAGACAATGTCTGGAAGGGTTTTTCCAATACTATCTTCTAGAATTTTTATAGTTTTAGTCTCAGATTTAAGTCCTTAATTCATCTCAAGTTGAGTTTTGTATAAGGTGAGAGATGAGGATTGTTTCATTCTCCTACATGTGGCTAGCCAATTATCCCAGCACCATTTGTTGAAAAGGGTGTCCTTTCCCCACTTCATGTTTTTGTTTGCTTTGTTGAAGATCAGTTGGCTGTAAGTATTTCGGTTTATTTCTGGTTTCTCTATTCTGTTCCATCAGTCTATGTGCCTATTTTTATACCAGTACCATGCTGTTTTGGTGACTATGGCATTATAGTATAGTTTGACATCAGGTAATGTGATGCTTCCAGATTTGTTCTTTTTGCTTAGTCTTGCTTTGGCTCTTTTTTGGTTTCATATAAATTTCAGAATTTATTTTTCTAATTCTGTGAAGAATGATGGTGGTGTTTTGATGGGAATTGCATTGAATTTGTAGATTGCTTTTGGCAATATGGTCATTTTCACAATATTGATTCTACCCATCCATGAGCATGGGATGTGTTTTCATTTGTTTGTGTCGTCTATGATTTCTCTCAGAAGTGTTTTGTAGTTTTCCTTGTAGAAGTCTTTCATCTCCTTGGTTAGGTATATTCCTAAGTATTTTATTTGTTTTTGCAGTTATTGTAAAAGGGGTTGAGTTCTTGATTTGATTTTCTGCTTGGTTGCTGTTGGTGTGTAGAAAAGCTACTGATTTGTGTATACTAATTTTTGTATCCAGAAACTTTGCTGAATTCCTTTACCAGTTCTGGGAGTTTTCTGAAGGAGTCTTTAGGGTTTTCAAGGTAAACAATCATGTCATCAGGAAACAGTGACAGTTTGACTTACTCTTTACTGATTTGGATGCCCTTTATTTCTTTCTCTTGTCTGATTACTCTGGCTAAGACTTCCAGTACTGTGTTGAAGAGGAGTGCTGAGAGTGGGCATCCTTGTCTTGTTCCAGTTCTCAACGGGAATGTTTTCAACTTTTCCCCCTTCAGTATTATGTTGGCCATGGGTTTGTCATAGATGGCTTTTATTGCATTGAGGTGTGTCCCTTGCATGCCGATTTTGCTGAGAGTTTTAATCATAAAGTGATGCTAGATTTTGTCAAATGATTTTTCTGCATCTATTGAGATGAACATGCGATTTTTGTTTTTAATTCTGTTTATGTGGTGTATCACATTTATTGACTTGCATATGTTAAAGCTTCATTGCATCCTGCTATGAAACCCACTTGATCATGGTGGATTATCTTTTTGATATGTTGTTGGATTCGGTTAGCTAGTATTTCGTTAAGGATTTTAGCATCTTTGTTCATCAGGGATATTAACCTACAGTTTTCTTTTTTGGTTATTTTCTTTCCTGGTTTTGGTCTTAGGGTGATGCTGGCTTCATATAATAAGTTAGGGAGGGTTCCCTCTTTCTCTATCTTGTAGAATAGTGTCAATAGAATTGGTACCAATTCTCTTTGAATGTCTGGTAGAATTCTGCTGTGAATCCATCTGGCCCTGGACTTTTTTTGTTGGTAATTTTTAAATTACCATTTCAATCTCACTGCTTGTTATTGGTCTGTTCAGGGTGTCATTCTTCCTGATTTAAGCTAGGGGGGTTGTATCTTTCCAAGAATTTATCCAACTCTTCTGGGTTTTCTAGTTTATGTGCATAAAGGTGTTTGTACAAAGGTTTTGTATTTCTGTGGTATGTTATAATATCTCCTGTTTTATTTCTTATTGAGGTTATTTGTATTCTCTCTCTTCTTTTCTTGGCTAATCTTGCTACTGGTCTATCAATTTTATTTACCTTTTCAAAGAACCAGCTTTTTGTTTCATTTATCTTTTGTATTTTTTGTTTGTTTGTTTCAGTATCATTTAGTTCTGCTTTGATCTTGGTTATTTTCTTTCTTCTGCTGGGTTTGGGTTTGATTTGTTCTTATTTATCTAGTTCTTTGAGGTGTGACCTTAGATTGTCAGTTTGTGCTCTTTCAGTCTTCTTGATGTATGTGTTTAGGGCTATGAACTTTCCTCTGGGATACTTGCTGTATCTCAGAGATTTTGATAGGTTGTGTCACTATTGTCGTCCAGTTGAAAGAATTTTTAAATTTCCATCTGGATTTCATTTTCGATCCAATGATCATTCAGGAGCAGGTTATTTAATTTCCATGTATTTGCATGGTTTTGAAGATTCCTTTTGGAGTTGATTTCCAATTCTATTCCACTATGGTCTGAGAGGGTGCTTGATAAAATTTCAATTTTCTTAAATGTATTGAGGCTTGTTTTGTGGCCTGTCATATGGTCTATCTTGGAGAAAGTTCCATGTGCTGTTGAATAGAATGTGTATTCTGAGGTTGTTGGATGGAATGCTCTGTACATATCTGTTAAGTCTATTTGTTCCAAGGTATAGTTTAAATTCATTGTTTCCTTGTTGACTTTCTGTCTTGATGACCTGTCTAGTGCTGTCAGTGGAGTATTGAAGTCCCCCACTAGTATTGTGCTGCTGTCTATCTCATTTCTTAGGTCTATTAGTAATTATTTTATAAGTTGGGGAGCTCCAGTGTTAGGTGCATGTATGTTTAGGATTGTGATATTTTCCTGCTGGACAAGGCCTTTCACCATTTTATAATGTCCCTCTTTGTCTTTTTTCACTGCTGTTGCTTTAAAGTTTGTTTTGTCTGATATAAGAATTGCTACTCCAACTGGCTTTTAGTGTCCATTTGCATGAAATGCCTTTTCCCACCCCTTTACTTTAAGTTTACATGAGTCCGTATGTGTTAGATGAGTCTCTTGAAGGCAGCAGATAGTTGCTTGGTGAATTCTTATCCATTCTGCAGTTCAGTATCTTTTAAGTGGAGCATTTAGGCCTTTACATTCAATGTTAGTATTAAGATGTGAGGTACCATTCCATTCATCATGCTATTTGTTGCCTGTGTACTTTGGTTTTTGTTTTTTTGTCTTTGTTTTTTAAATAGTGTTTTTGTTTTGTAGGTCCTGTGAGATTTATGCTTTAAAGAGGTTCTGTTTTGCTGTGTTTCCAGGATTTGTTTCAAGATTTAAAGCTCCTTTTAGCAGTTCTTGTAGTGGTGGCTTGGCAGTGGCGAATTCTCTCAGCATTTGTTGTATGAAAAAGACTATCTTTCCTTTATATGTGATGCTTAGTTTCACTGCCTACAAAATTCTTGGCTGATAATTGTTTTGTTTGAGGAGGCTAAAGATTGGGTCCCAATCCCTTCTAGTTTGTAGGGTTCCTGCTGAGACATCTGCTGTTAATCTGATAGGTTTTCCTTTATAGGTTACCTGGTGCTTTTGCCTCACAGCTCTTAAGATTCTTTCCTTCATCTTAACTTTAGGTAACCTGATGACAATGTGCCTAAGTGATGATCATTTTGCAATGAATTTCCCAGGTGTTTTTTGTGCTTCTTGCATTTGGATGTCTAGGTCTCCAGCAAGGCCAGGGAAGTGTTCCTTGATTAGTTCCCCAAATATGTTTTCCAAACTTCTAAATGTTCTTCTTCCTCAGGAACACGAATTATTCTTAAGTTTGGTCATTTAACATAATCCAAGACTTCTTGGAGGGTTTGTTCATATTTTTTTATTCTTTTTTCTTTGTCTTTGGTGGGTTGGGTTAATTCAAAGACCTTGTCTTTGAGCTCTGAATTTCTTTCTTCTACTTGTTCAATTCTGTTGCTGAGACTTTCCAGAGCATTTTGCATTTCTCTAAGTGTGTCCAATGTTTCCTGAAGTTTTGATTGCTTTTATTTATGCTATCTATTTCATTGAATATTTTTCCCTTTACTTCTTGTATCATTTTTGGATTTCCTTGCATTGGGCATCACCTTTGCCTAGTGCCTCCCTGATTAGCTTAATAACTAACCTCCTTTATTCTTTTTCAGGTAAATCAGGGATTTCTTCTTAGTTTGGATCCATTGCTGGTAGGCCAGTGTGAATTTTTTAGGGGTGTTAAAGAACCTTGTTTTGTCATATTACCAGAGTTGGTTTTCTGGTTCCTTCTCATGTGGGTAGGCTCTGTTAGAGGGAAACTCTAGGGCTGAAGGCTGTTTTTCAGATTCTTTTGTCCCATAGGGTGTTCCTTGATGTAGTACTTTTCTCCCTTTTCCTATGGATGTGGCTTCCTGAGAGCTGAGCTATAGTGATTGTTGTCTCTCTTCTGGGTCTAGCCACCCAGCAAGTCTACCAGGCTGTGGACTGGTACTGGGGGTTATCTATACAGAGTCCTGTGATGTAAACCGTCTATGGGTCTCTCAGCTGTGGATACCAGCACAGTATTTGGGGTGTCTCCCAGGTCCTGTAGGAGCAATCTGCTTCCTTCAGGGGGTCTGTGGGTCGTTTCAAGTTTCCTCAATTATTCCTCCAGTCTTTCTGGAGCTAAAATTCATGATGCCGGCCTCCACTCGCTGGTCTGTCCATTCAAGTCAGAGCTGCAATCTAGTCCTGCCTCCTGTCTGCCATGATGGGGGACATTGCACTGTTTTGTATGTAGTTTTCTTATAATGCCTTTGTCTATTTTCGGTATTAGAATAATGCTGGCCTCAGAAAATGAATTGGGAATTATTCTTCTGGAAATGATTGTATAAGACTGACTATCTCTTAAATGTTTAATAGACTTTATCACTGAAGCCATGTGAGCCTGAACTTTCCACTGTATGATGATTTTAAATTATGAATTCAATTTCCTTTATAAATATCAGTTTATTCAGATTTTTATTTTTTCTTGTTTTAGTGTTAGTAATTTGGATATTTTGAAGATTTTGTCCATTTCACCTAAATTGTTGAATTGACTGGCATACAATTGTTTGTAATACTCTTTTATTGTCCTTTTATTGTTTCTATAATCTGTAGTGGTATCCCTACTTTTGTTTTTGCATTGGTAATTCATTTCTTTTCAATGTTTTTTTCCTATTATTATATTTTTTTGCT
The DNA here is from genome assembly GCF_000001405.40 of Homo sapiens. Classification (NCBI taxonomy): domain Eukaryota; kingdom Metazoa; phylum Chordata; class Mammalia; order Primates; family Hominidae; genus Homo; species Homo sapiens. The sequence continues at coordinate 59,353,854 of NC_000003.12, forward strand.
CTCTTATTATTTTCTTCCCTTTACTTATTTTGAGTTGACTTTTCTCTTTTTTTTTTCTTCTAATGTATTTAGGTAGACACTTAGATCATTGGCATTATCTCATGCTTTTTCTAATGTGACCATTTAAAACTCTAAGTTTCTGTTTAAGCACTTGTTTAGTTGCATTGGCACATTTCAATATGTTGTTTCCATTTTAATTTAGTTCAAAAGATTTTAAAATTTCCCTTGAGATTTCTTTTTTAACCCATGGGTTACTAGTAAAAGTAAAAATATTTATTCGTTGTGAAAAGAAACCAGAGTATACTTGACCCATGAGCTATTAGAAGTGTATTGTTTACTTTACAAATGTTTTGGAAATTTTAGGAATCTTTCTGTTATTGATTTATAATTTAATTCTGTTGTTGTCAGAGAACATATATTTGCATTACTTGAATTATGTTAAGACTTGTTTTATGTCCCAGAAGCTGGTTTTCCTTAGTCAACTGTCTAGTTGCATTTGAAAAGAATGTATATTCTGCTGTCACTGGGTGGAGTGTACTATAAATGTCAATTATATTGATTTTCTATTACTTGTTCTATTAATTACTGAGAGGATGGTTGAAATCTCCAACTATAATTGTGAATTTGTCTATTTCTATTTGCAGTTATATCTGTTCTTGCTTCTCGTACTTTGAAGCATTGTTAGTATATGTATACACGTAGGTTGTTATGTCTCCTCAATAAATTGACCTTTTTATTATTATGAACTATTCTTTATCACAGGTATGAAAGTCTACTTTGTCTGTTATTAATTCAGCTCCTTCCTCTTTTTTATACTTAGTACTTGAATAATATATCTTTTCAAACCTTTTAACTTTAATCTATCTTTGAATCTACATTTAAAGTGGTTTTCTTGCAGACAGCATAATGTAGTGTCTTGCTTTTTTTGTTGTTTTTTTTTTATTATACTTTAAGTTTTAGGGTACATGTGCACAACGTGCGGGTTTGTTACATACGTATACATGTGCCATGTTGGTGTGCTGCACCCATTAACTCGTCATTTAACATTAGGTGTATCTCCTAATGCTATCCCTTCCCCTTCCCCCCACCCCACAACAGGCCCTGGTGTGTGATGTTCCCCTTCCTGTGTCCATGTGTTCTCATTGTTCAATTCCCACCTATGAGTGAGAACATGCAGTGTTTGGTTTTTTGTCCTTGTGATAGTTTGCTGAGAATGATGGTTTCCAGCTTCATCCATGTCCCTACAAAGGACATGAACTCATCATTCTTTATGGCTGCATAGTATTCCATGGTGTATATGTGCCACATTTCCTTAATCCAGTCTATCATTGTTGGACATTTGGGTTGGTTCCAAGTCTTTGCTATTGTGAATAGTGCCACAATAAACATATGTGTGCCTGTGTCTTTATGGCAGCATGATTTATAATCTTTTGGGTATATACACAGTAATAGGATGGCTGGGTCAAATGGTATTTCTAGTTCTAGATCCCTGAGGAATCACCACACTGACTTCCACAATGGTTGAACTAGTTTACAGTCCCAGCAACAGTGTAAAAGTGTTCCTATTTCTCCACATCCTCTCCAGCACCTGTTGTTTTCTGACTTTTTAATGATCACCATTCTAACTGGTGTGAGATGATATCTCATTGTTGTTTTGATTTGCATTTCTCTGATGGCCAGTGATGATGAGCATTTTTTCATGTGTCTTTTGGCTGCATAAATGTCTTCTTTTGAGAAGTGTCTGTTCATATACTTCGCCCATTTTTTGATGGGGTTGTTTGTTTTTTTCTTGTAAATTTGTTTGAGTTCATTGTAGATTCTGGATATTAGCCCTTTGTCAGATGAGTAGATTGCAAAAATTTTCTCCCATTCTGTAGGTTGCCTGTTCACTCTGATGGTAGTTTCTTTTGCTGTGCAGAAGCTCTTTAGTTTAATTAGATCCCATTTGTCAATTTTGGCTTTTGTAGCCATTGCTTTTAGTGTTTTAGACATGAAGTCCTTGCCCATGCCTATGTCCTGAATGGTATTGCCTAGATTTTCTTCTAGGGCAGGGTTTTTATGGTTTCAGGTCTAACATTTAAGTCTTTAATCCATCTTGAATTAATTTTTGTATAAGGTGTAAGGAAGAGATCCAGTTTCAGCTTTCTACATATGGCTAGCCAGTTTTCCCAGCACCATTTATTAAATAGGGAATCCTTTCCCCATTTCTTGTTTTTCTCAGGTTTGTCAAAGATCAGATAGTTGTAGATATGTGGCATTATTTCTGAGGGCTCTGTTCTGTTCCATTGGTCTATGTCTCTGTTTTGGTACCAGTACCATAATGTTTTGATTACTGTAGCCTTGTAGTATAGTTCAAAGTCAGGTGGCGTGATGCCTCCAGCTTTGTTCTTTTGGCTTAGGATTGACTTGGCAATGAGCGCTCTTTTTTGGTTCCATATGATCTTTAAAGTAGATTTTTCCAATTCTGTGAAGAAAGTCATTGGTAGCTTGGTGGGGATGGCACTGAATCTATAAATTACTTTGTGCAGTATGGCCATTTTCATGCTATTGATTCTTCCTACCCATGAGCATGGAATGTTCTTTCATTTGTTTTTATCCTCTTTTATTTCACTGAGCAGCGGTTTGCAGTTCTCCTTGAAGAGGTCCTTCACATCCCTTGTAAGTTGGATTCCTAGGTATTTTATTCTCTTTGAAGCAATTGTGAATGGGAATTCACTCATGATTTGGCTCTCTGATTGTCTGTTATTGGTGTATAAGAATGCTTGTGATTTTTGCTCATTGATTTTGTATCCTGAGACTTTGCTGAAGTTGCCTATCAGCTTAAAGAGATTTTGGGCTGAGATGATGGGATTTTCTATGTATACAATCATGTCATCTGCAAACAGGGACAATTTGACTTCCTCTTTTCCTGATTGAATACCCTTTATTTCCTTCTCCTGCCTAATTGCCCTGGCCAGAACTTCCAACACTAGGTTGAATAGGAGTGGTGAGAGAGGGCATCCCTGTCTTGTGCCAGTTTTCAAAGGAAATGATTCCAGTTTTTTCCCATTCACTATGATATTTGCTGTGGGTTTGTCATAGCATAGCTCTTATTATTTTGAGATACGTCCCATGAATACCTAATTTATTGAGAGTTTTTAGCATGAAGGGCTGTTGAATTTTGTCAAAGGCCTTTTCTGCATCTATTGAGATAATCATGTGGTTTTTGTCATTGGTTCTGTTTATATGCTGGATTACGTTTATTGATTTTCATATGTTGAGCCAGCCTTGCATCCCAGGGATGAAGCCCACTTGATCATGGTGGATAAGCTTTTCGATGTGCTGCTGGATTCAGTTTGCCAGTGTTTTATTGAGGATTTTAGCATTGATGTTCATCAGGGATATCGGTCTGAAATTCTCTTTTTTCATTGTGTCTCTGTCATGCTTTGGTATCAGGATGATGCTGGCCTCATAAAATGAGTTAGGGAGGATTCCCCCTTTTTCTATTGATTGAAATAGTTTCGGAAGGAATGGTACCAGCTCCTCCTTGTACCTCTGGTAGAATTCGGCTGTGAATCCATCTGGTCCTGCACTTTTTTTGGTTGGTGAGCTATTAATTCTTGCCTCAATTTCAGAACCTGTTATTGGTCTTTTCAGAGATTCAACTTCTTCCTGGTTTAGGCTTGGGAGGGTGTATGTGTTGAGGAATTTATCCATTTCTTCTAGATTTTCTAGTTTATTTCCATAGAGGTGTTTATAGTATTCTCTGATGGTAGTTTGTATTTCTGTGGGATCGGTGGTGATATCCCCTTTATCATTTTTTATTGCATCTATTTGATTCTTCTCTCTTTTCTTCTTTATTAGTCTTGCTAGCGGTCTATCAATTTTGTTGATCTTTTCAAAAAACCAGCTCCTGGATTCATTGATTTTTTTGAAGGGTTTTTTGTGTCTCTATTTCCTTCAGTTCTACTCTGATCTTAGTTATTTCTTCCCTTCTGGTAGCTTTTGAATGTGTTTGTTCTTGCTTCTCTAGTTCTTTTAATTGTGATGTTAGTGTGTCAATTTTAGATCTTTCCTGCTTTCTCTTGTGGGCATTTAGTGCTATAAATTTCCCTCTACACACTGCTTTGAATGTGTCCCAGAGATTCTTGTATGTTGTGTCTTTGTTCTCATTGGTTTCAAAGAACATCTTCATTTCTGCCTTGATTTTGTTATGTACCCAGTTGTCAATCAGGAGCAGGTTGTTCAGTCTCCATGTAGTTGAGTCGTTTTGAGTGAGTTTCTTAATCCTGAGTTCTAGTTTGATTGCAGTGTAGTCTGAGAGACAGTTTGTTATGATTTCTGTTCTTTTACATTTGCTGAGGAGTGCTTTACTTCCAACTATGTGGTCAGTTTTGGACTAGGTGTGGTGTGGTGCTGAAAAGATTGTATATTCTGTTGATTTGGGGTGGATGGTTCTGTAGATGTCTATTAGGTCCACTTGGTGCAGAGCTGAGTTCAATTCCTGGATATCCTTGTTAACTTTCTGTCTCATCGATCTGTCTAATATTGACAGTGGGGTGTTAAAGTCTCCCATTATTACTGTGTGGGAGTCTAAGTCTCTTTCTAGGTCTCTAAGGACTTGCTTTATGCATCTGGGTGCTCCTGTATTGGGTGCATATATATTTAGGATAGTTAGCTCTTCTTGTTGAATTGATCCCTTTACCATTATGTAATGGCCTTCTTTGTCTCTTTTGATCTTTGTTGGTTTAAAGTCTGTTTTATCTGAGACTAGGATTGCAACCCCTGCTTTTTTTGTTTTCCATTTGCTTGGTAGATCTTCCTCTATCCCTTTATTTTGAGCCTACGTGTGTCTCTGCACGTGAGATGGGTTTCCTGAATACAGCACACTGATGGGTCTTGACTCTTTATCCAATTTGCCAGTCTCTGTCTTTTAATTGGAGCATTTAGCCCATTTGGCCCATTTGCATTTAAGGTTAATATTGTTATGTGTGAATTTGATCCTGTCATTATGATGTTAGCTGGTTATTTTGCTCGTTAGTTGATGCAGTTTCTTCCTAGCCTCGATGGTCTTTACAATTTGGCATGTTTTTGCAGTGGCTGGTTCTGGTTGTTCCTTTCCATGTTTAGTGCTTTCTTCAGGAGCTCTTTTAGGGCAGGCCTGGTGGTGACAAAATCTCTCAGCATTTGCTTGTCTGTAAAGGATTTTATTTCTCCTTCACTTATGAAGCTTATTTTGGCTGGATATGAAATTCTGGGTTGAAAATTCTTTTCTTTAAGAATGTTGAATATTGGCTCCCATTCTCTTCTGGCTTGTAGAGTTTCTGCTGAGAGATCCGCTGTTAGTCTGATGGGCTTCCCTTTGTGGGTAACCCGACCTTTCTCTCTGGCTGCCCTTAACATTTTTTCCTTCATTTCAACTTTGGTGAATCTGACAATTATGTGTCTTGGAGTTGCTCTTCTGGAGGAGTATCTTTGTGGTGTTCTCTGTATTTCCTGAATTTGAATGTTGGCCTGCCTTGCTTGATTGGGGAAGTTCTCCTGTGTAATATCCTGCAGAGTGTTTTCCAACTTGGTTCCATTCTCCCCATCATTTTCAGATACACCAATCAGACGTAGATTTGGTCTTTTCACATAGTCCCATATTTCTTGGAGGCTTTGTTTGTTTCTTTTTATTCTTTTTTCTCTAAACTTCTCTTCTCACTTCATTTCATTCATTTGATCTTCTGTCACTGATACCCTTTCTCCAGTTGATCGAATCAGCTACTGAGGCTTGTGCATTCATCACGTAGTTCTCCCCTGCCATGGTTTTCAGCTCCATCATGTCCTTTAAGGACTTCTCTTTATTGGTTATTCTAGTTAACCATTCATGTAATTTTTTTTTCAAGGTTTTTAACTTCTTTGCCATGGGTTCGAACTTCCTCCTTTAGCTCAGAGTGGTTTGATCATCTGAAGCCTTCTTCTCTCAACTTGTCAAAGTCATTCTCCATCCAGCTTGTTCCATTGCTGGTGAGGAGCTGCATTCCTTTGGAGGAGGAGAGGCGCTCTAATTTTTAGAGTTTCCAGTTTTTCTGCTCTGTTTTTTCCCTGTCTTTGTGGTTTTATCTACCTTTGGTCTTTGATGATGGTGACATACTGATGGGGTTTTGGTGTGGATGTCCTTTCTTTTTGTTAGTCTTCTTTCTAGCAGTCAGGACCCTCAGCTGCAGGTCTGTTGGAGTTTGCTAGAGGTCCCCTCCAGACTCTGTTTGCCTGGGTATCAGCAGCGGAGGCTGCAGAACAGCAGATATCAGTGAACAGCAAATGTTGCTGCCTGATTGTTCCTCTGTAGTTTTGTCTCAGAGGAGTGCCCAGCCATGCAGGGTGTCAGTCTGCCCCTGCTGGGGGGATGCTTCCCAGTTAGGCTACTCGGGGGTCAGGGACCCACTTGAGGAGGCAGTCTGTCCATTCTCAGATCTCCAGGTGCGTGCTGAGAACCACTACTCTCTTCAAAGCTGTGAGACAGGGACATTTAAGTCTGCAGAGGTTTCTACTGCCTTTTGTTTGGGTATGCCCTGCCCCCAACAGTGGAGTCTACAGTGGCAGGCAGGCCTCCTTGAGCTGTGGTGGGCTTCACCCAGTTCAAGCTCTCAGGCCGCTTTGTTTACCTACTCAAGCCTTGGCAATGGTGGGCAACCCCCCCAGCCTCGCTGCCGCCTTGCAGTTTGATCTCAGACTGCTGTGCTAGCAAATGAGCGAGGCTCCGTGGGCGTAGGACCCTCCAAGCCAGGCATGGGATGCAATTTCCTGGTGTGCCGTTTGCTAAGACCATTGGAAAAGTGCAGTATTAGGGTGGGAGTGACCCGATTTTCCAGGTGCTATCTGTCACCCCTTTATTTGACTAGGAAAAGGAATTCCCTGACCCCTTGTGCTTCCTGGGTGAGGCAATGCCTCGCCCTGCTTCAGCTCCTGCTCAGTGCACTGCACCCACTGTCCTGCACCCACTGTCCGACACTCCCCAGTGAGATGAACCTGGTACCTCAGTTGGAAATGCAGAAATCACCTGTCTTCTGCATCGCTCACGCTGGGACCTGTAGACTGGAGCTGTTCCTATTCCGCCGTCTTGGCTCTACCCTTCTGCTCCACCTCGTGAGCACTGTCTTGCTTTTTTATTCAATCAAAAATGTCTGTCTTTCAACTGGAGAGTTTAGGTCATCTACATTTCATGTAATCATCATGTTTGAGTTTAAATCTACTGCTGTCTTGATATTTGCTTATCTGTTCTATTTTCTATCTTTTAAAATCTGCATTCCTTAAACTTGAGTATTTATATTTAATATTAAATAAGTTTAATACTTTATTTTATCTCCCTATTACCTTATTAGTTATACTTATTTTTATTGGTTTAGAGTTTACCATATACATTTGAACTTAGTATGGTTTATTTTAAAATAACATTGTATATATATATTTCACATAATGTGTGACCATTTTAACAATATTATTCTGTGCCCCCCATCTTTCATGCTAATCTTGTTATAGATTTTAATCTCATGTTTTAAATTCTAAAATATGCTGTCATTAGTGTTCTTTAAATAGTTGATATCTTTCAAAGAATTTTAAAACTGAGAAAAAACCTCCTAGATTTATCCATATATTGATCATTTCTGATTCTTTGTCTTTTGCAGATTCATGTTTCCATGTGATGTTTTTCTTCCATCTGAAAAACTACTGTAAGTCTACTGGTGATGACCTTTTCTTGGATTTTGTTTGAAAAAGTTTTTATTTTTCTTTCCCTTCTAAAGAATATTATCACTGGATAGAAAATTCTAGGCTGGTAGGTTTTCCCCTCAACATTTTCAAGATGTGTTTTCATTATTTTCTGGATCTATAAGTTTACACTTTTCATTAAATTTGAGAAATTTTTGGCCTTTAATATTTAAAATATTTTCATAGCTCCTCCTTCTAGGACCCCTACAATGTGTATTTAAAATTACTCTCTGTTATTCCACAAATCATGAAGGATCTTTTTAGTCTTTTTACTTCCTGTGCTTCATTTACTTTATGTTCTATTGTTATGTGTTCAAGGTTACCTATGTTTTCTTTTGCAGAGTCAAATCTGTTGCCAAATCTGTCTAATGGAATTTTTACTTCAGATACTGTATTTTTTTATTTCTAAAAGTTCCTTTTGACTCTTTTTATATGTTCCATTTCTCTCCTCACCATGGCCATGCTTTTTATAAAATATGAATGTATTGTTATAATAGTTGTTCTAACTTTTAACTATGAGTTCCATCATCTCTATCATTTGTATGTCTCTTTTTATTGACTGAGTTTTCTCCTGGTTATGAATCACAATGTCCTTATTCTTATTCTGACAAGTTTTTTTTATTGGATGCTGCAACATTGTGAATACTACATAGTTGAGTGTCTGAATTTTGTTGTCTCACTTTAAGGAGTTTTGAACTTCATATTGGGGGACATGTATTTTTCTGTCAGTTTAAGCTTATTTAATTATCTTTTTAAACTTTGTGAAGGCTGGGCGCAGTGGCTCATGCCTATAATCCCAGCACTTTGGGAGGCCAAGGTGGGTGGATCACTTGAGGTCAGGAGTGGCCAACATGGTGAAATCCCGTTTCTACGAAAAATACAACAATTAGCCAGGCATGGGAGCACACACCTGTAATCCCATCTACTTGGGAGGCTGAGGCAGGAGGATTACTTGAACCTGAGAGGTGGAGGGGGCAGTGAGTGGAGACCGCGTCACTGCACTCCAGCCTGGGCGACAGAGTGAGACTGTCTCAAAAAAAAAAAACAAAAAAAAAAAAACCAAAAAAACAAACTTTGTGAGGAGTAGTCTAGAGTAGGCTTTACTCTAGGCATGAACAAATCATGCCTAGAGTAAATCACGACCCCTCTGGGGTGTCCACAGAATACCCCACATGGCCACTGTGGACATTCTACACTGACTCACCAAAGTTTGAATGCCTCCCAACCCTATTGAGCTCTGGAAATTGTTCTGCTTTTGCAAATCGGTCACTCTTTGCCCTGGATTGTGGACTTTTACTCTATCTATGCACAACCTTATACTTAGGGGCTACTTAAGGTAACCCTCATGCAGATTTCTAGAGCTCTTTTACTGGGTAGCTTCATCTTTTCTGGAAATTTGCCCCACAAGTCCCAGCCATTTCATCCTTCTTAATCTCTGATTTTTGTTTTATCACTTCAGGCAGAAAACCAGACCAATTTTAGAGATTATCTCACTTGCTTTCCTCCCCTCAGGAATCACAATCTGTGTTACCTATTTTTAACTGTCTGGAAATAGTTATTGTACATATTTTGCTCAGTTTTCTAGGTGATTATTATAGGAAGTTAAGTATGGTCCTTTAACTCCATAATGGCCAAACACACACACACACACACACACACACACACACACACTCTCTCTCTCTCTCTCTCTCTCTCTCTCTCTCTCTCTCTCTATATATATATATATATATATATATAAAATTTTAAATGAAATGTGTTAAATGTAAGTCATTTGAATTTAACAGCCGAAAAATTATCTTAAAATGTTGTATTACTTCAGGTAAGAAGAACTACAGTTTTTAATGATACTTTGCCTTTTAAAATATGGGAGAAACCTTAAGAGTTTGAAGAAATTGTTTTTTAACTATGTATATCAAACAGCATTTATAGACTCTCTAGTCTGAAAGATAAGAAAGTTGATCATACTTTTACCTCTTGCCAACTTGTTCTTCCCCCACTGTCTTATAATTTTATTTACCCATTGTTAAGATGTATGACATTGATTTTTGCTGTAGCCACAGTTCATGATGGTGTCCTGTCTTAATTCTATGTTGAACTGAATTTAGTTCTCACTGTTATTTTAACACAACTTACCCATTTTTGAGTTCTTCATTTTAAATTGTATTTTGTTTGGTTGAATTTATCATCAATTACCCCCTCCCCATAAAGACTCATAGGGGGAATGTTCTCTGAGTCCTTAAGGCTTATGAGTTTCTGTGTTTAGCCTTGTACTTGTAGTAAACTTGGCTAGATATGAAATTTCCTCAGAACTTTTCATATATTGCTGTACTGCCTTTTATCATGTAATGTTACTATGGAGGAATCCGAAGACATTCTAATATTTCCCCTTTGTATATGAACTACTTATTGGCCTATATGTCCATAGAATTCTTTGGGTATATCTTTGAAGTTTAGCAGCTTTTCAGGATATTTCTTACTATAGTTCTTTTTGTATTACTTTTTCCTGAGTTATGTCCTTTTGACTATAGATTTAGATTTTTATTTCAAGAAAATATTTTTGCACCTTGGGGCTTGACCTGTTGGAACTTTTTCTAAAGGGCTTTTGCTTGGAATCTGGCATTGGGCAGAGGCCAGAAAGGTCCTGGGGTGACTGTCAGTGGAGGCTTGAAGCAAAGGGAAGAGAACACTATTGAAAGTTTCATAAAAGAAAGGTTATGTTGTACATTAGCAGAACAGTTGATGAGACTAGCTCCTGTAGCAACTTGGAAAAATATAAATATCTAATTAACTTATGTATCTACCTAAGTTATTTCCAGACAGGATATTGAAAGCACCACGGATATTGAAAGCGCCACCTGGTTCTTTGAGCTACTTATAAGTACAGTCAGGAAGAGAGAAACTAAAGAAGGAACTATTTTATTTTTTAAGCATAATTTAGAAGAAGTATTTCCATCGTAGAACTTGTTGGCTTAGCAAATAAAACTATTTCTCATTCCAATATTATTAGTCAGGAGAAATTTCTCAACCTAAGTCATAGTCTCAGGGCAAATATAAGATAACAGAACACTGCCTGTAAAATGTGGCTTTGCATTCAAGAACCTATAAAATCATTTGTTAAGACGTTAGAAAGATATAAGGTGATGTCTCACAGACCCTTTCTCATCAAAAAAAAGGACTTGTAATAATCTTAAGTGCATGATTTGTAGAACCCCTCAGCTAGACGATGGGAGTTTTAAAAATCTCGAGTCTTATCTTATAGCACTTTGACTCACAGTCAGAAAGTAGAGATAGACTTTGTGGGTATTGCTTTTGTCTAATGGAGTAAATTATAACTTGATACCTAGGAATGCCACAGAATTTTTAAAGGGATTATATCAGCTTATACTAAAAGATAGCAGAAATAGTTCAGAATAAAATGAGGCCTCCAGACCTCTAACTTACTTTGAGTAAAAAGAAGTTTGAGAAAACGACTCATCTGTACACATGGAACTTTTTATGTGGGTTAAAAGAAAGAATGACTCTAAGGAAACAGCTAAAGCACAGCGCTTAAAGCCAAGAGAAATGGGAAATGATCAAAGATTATGGCAGAACTGGGTCCTGATCAAGGAATCTGTGATATGTGCCCAGTTGAATTTCAGAATTGCTGTGAACCTCTGATGATTATGTACCTTCTATTGTCCTCACTGTTGAATGAGAGTGTCTATTGTAGTGTTTCTGACCCATTCTCATCTCACGTTGTGTATTGAGAGCGTGTTGGGGTAGTTAGAAACTTGCCTCTTTAGGTCACATGCCTTCAGATAAAGAGCTGTACCTGAGGAGCTTCAGTCATATCTGAAAATGATTTAAATGACGATACTCTGGACTCCAAAACAGAATCTGAGACTGTAATGGATGAGATGAGGTCCTGGTGGTTCTTGGGAGTTAGAGGGGTATATTTTGCATGTGGGAGGGAGATCAAAGGTACATGACAATAAACTCTTATTTTAGTGACTCCTAATGAGCCATGCCTTCCAGTATTTATGCTCTAGTTTAGTCCCCTGTCTTTGAATTTGGGTTGGCTCTGTCGCCCACTTTAAGCAGTAAAATGTGCCGGAAGCAATACTATGTCAGGTCTGGGCAGCTTCCACTTCCGAATTCTTGGAAGTAGTCTCTCACACAAGTCCAACTATCTTAAGACCACCGTGCAGCGAGGAAGCCCAAACTATCCAGGTGGAAAAGCCATGTGGGTGGGAACCAAGGAACCCATGCAACACGCCTAGCTGAGCTCTCAGCTTACCTTCCGCACTGAGTTGCCAGCCATCTGAGTGATACTCATCAGTGAATTAGTTGAGCCATCTATGCAAATGTTATATGGGGTGTAAATGGTCCTCCTTAAGCTCTGTCCAAATTGCAGATTTGTAAGAAAGTAAAATTTTAAGCTACTTTGGGATATTTTATTATACAGCAATAAATAACTGAAACATCTTGAATTTCTACCTTGAGTTATTTTTATTGCAGACATCATGTATTTGAGACCATGGGGGCAATTTCTTTTAATGTGTATTTCTTCATCTCTTTTTTGTTGATGGTGTTTTCTTCATCCTCTCCAGCCCTCCCCACCAATTACCTATATATTTGTTTCTGTTGCATCCTTTTTGATTATTACTAATCATCAAGTAATTTAACTAAGTAATTGAATAACTTAGTAATTCAAATAAAATGAAGTATTGGCTTATAAATAAGAATGCAAAGTGATGTATGGAGAGGGTAAATTATAATGGCTTCAATTCAGGTTTCACTCCTGTGTTCTCTGCCCAGCGTGATATCACCATGTGGGTTTCAGTATTTTGAGTGTTTCTGTGGCTCAGAAAGTAACCCTTAAAAGTTACAAAATCCCCTGCTTGTAATCCAGTGACTACCGCTATCCTTCCTCTGTTTTTCCCACCTTATCTTCAGCAATCCCTTTTAGTAGTAAATACAGAGGCCATAAAATTTATTGTTCAAATGATCACACTGCCCTTATATGGAAGGGGCTTCTATTTATAATTGCACTAGGATGGTAGGCATAAAATGGGCAAATCAGGTCAGCAAGCAACATTGTTTGTAAGCTTGGGTTTTGGATAATATAAACGGCGTGCGCCTTCTTGAGCTCTACCTACTTAGCTTTCCTGCTGTGGGAAAGAATAGGACTATGCAGTGACAGTCCCATGCTGTGGTTTGAGTGTTCTTTTCTCCTCCAAAATTCATGTTGCAACTTAACCCCCAATGCAACAGTAGTAAAATGTGTGGCCTTTTGGAGGTGATTAGGTCAAGAGGTTTCTTCTCTTGTGGATGGATTAGTGCTCTTATAAAAGGGCTGGAGGGAAGTAGCAAGGTCTCTTTTTGCCTCTCCACCTTTTGCCATCTGAGGACATAGCAAGAAGGTACCGTCTTGGAAGAAGAGAGCAGCCCTTACCAGACTGTGAACCTGCTGTTGCCTTGATCTTGGACTTCTCAGCCTTCAGACCTGTAAGAAGTAAATTTCTGTTCTTTATAAATTACCTAGTCTATGATATTTTGTTATAGCAGTGGGAACAGACTGAGGCACCTCACTTCTCCTTTGGCTTGCCTATGTCTCTATATCTCATTGTTTCCATCAATGAATTATTGCATTGACCATTTTAGACTAGGTCATTTGCATATTGAAGGAATTCTATATCCTGCCTAAATTTCTATGAAGGCTACGTGTAGCTGTCAGTGACTTTTCTCATTTGGGGTCAGGTTACAAAGCACATGACAGAGTTTGTGGTTTGTGGTTCACAGCGTGTGATTTGGAATTTTCTTTATCTACCTCTGTCATTACTATGGGGATATACTTTCCTTCTATTTTTACTTTTTCAAATTGCTTTTCTGGGTTTAGAAGGAGAAATGTGGAATTACATATCTTTACTTTGTTATCGTTAACTGGAAGACTACTGTTTTGATATAGAGATATGACCATGATATAGAGCCAAACAGAAGAAAGCAGATTATAGTGCATTAGTTATGGTATGTATCCCTTTGTGTTAAAAAATACATTTTGCATTCCTAACCTACTACTAAGAATATTTATTTCACTCCTAACCAAGGTTATTTTACGGAGTGGAGAGGACGTATATAATGTATATAATTCTGAAATTTTTGCAACGGGCATGAATTAATTTTATAACTCAGAAAAGAAATCAATGAAGATAATTCAATTTTGGAGAAAACCAAAAAGACTCAGACTTCCGTGGCCCTTATTACATCATGGTGTTGAAGATCCATGCCACAAACAAGTTATCTCGTGGTTAAGCATGCAATGCCCTTTTATTTTGACCCCAGTAGCCTTTCATCAAAATTTTCCCATTGCAGACCTTACAGAGAATTATCTTCCTGAGCTCAAGAAAATCTAAAAGTTGCAAGGCAAGGAGCACTTTGTTGCCGTAGGTTAAGGGCTACTAGGATAGGATTGAATTAACCACCACAATAACAACAAAAAGAAAATCCCTTGTCCGTATGGTTGATGCCTGTTGTGTGGGCTTCTGAGTCCACAGTTGGCCTGTTGTTCCCTGACTCTATTTATTCCCCTAGCTCACGTTACCATTTTCCTGCCCACTGTCCTCTGAGTTATTCTCCCCTGGGACTCAGCATTAATATTTTAGCAATAGTGATCTATCCTTTGGCATCTACAAAATGTAGGAGACAAGCAGTAAATCACAGCAATAAGCGTGTGTTGCCAGAGTTTCCATGGAGGGCTTTACTGAGCACACCAAGAAATGGATTCATGAAACTTAGTGTGCTAGAGTGGAAAGTAAAACACAGAAATGAAATAGAGTGGTGCACACAGCTGTCACACTCATGTCAGAAATCTGGACGAGAAAGGGAGGCATCAGTGGCTCGAAAAGATCTTCCAGGGAAGAGCAGAGCTGCTATCGCGTGTCAAGCAGCTGACACAGGAGCCAAGCTTGACGAGTCATTTTGATGCTTAGCTGGAAAATTCCTTGGAAATAAACACAATTGTTCAAAAAAGGCCAAAAAATCCAAATCAATATAGACAAGAGAGCTAAGGGAATGAATAAAAACAAGGAAATGAAGGATAATGAAAGCCTCTGTGCCCACTCCTGGTCATAACTGGACCTCAACAAGGGCAGGTATTTGAGGTTAAGAGGTTGACTTGTGCGGTGGAAAAAATATGTCCAAAGAGCCATGTGGAGCTGTGCTGAGACCTACCTTGCTCACTAGCCACTTGGATTTAGAATATTTGGAAAGCAACTTTGCTCTTGAAAAATTCTCAGCTGGTTCTGTTTGGTTTCACTGACTCTGAGTTTGGATTTCTTTATCTGTAATGTCAAGATAATAGTATTCTGTCCATGATGTCGTTTTGAAGATTAAATGAGATAACACTGATAAACACCTGTAGTCTAAAATTGTTCAGTAAATGCTGGTTGCCAGTTCTCTGGAGCTTGTCCTCTGCCCCTAAGTTCTCTGGGGTGAAACACTTCTGTGCCTTGCCCTGACCTTTCTCCTCTTCCTGTTTCTCTTCTTCCTCTTTCTCCCTCCCCTGCTCCATAAAGATAGTGAAGCCCTGAGCTGGCAGATAAATTGGACTCCCGCTCAGGTGAAGCAGAGAGAATTCTTGATGTATTTTTTTTTCTGTAGCTGAGGAAGCAAGTTGCATTTGTGCTGCTGGTTTCCATTACTGGGCTGGTCGTATTTTATCTTCCCTTAAGTGGCAGCCAGATCCCTCCAGGTCAGGTCAACACAGAATCTGAATACAGGAGAGAGAAGCAGGTACTAAAGCTGGTCAGAAGTATTTATTTCTCTTACAGCTGTACTATCTAAAAGAGGCACTAAAGTTTTCCAACGTGAGGCTGGGAGTTGCAATTCTCCTCTGCAATGCCCTTTGAGCTTCAGGCCTGTTTCCACTCAGCTGATTCTCCATGATGCTCATGACCTTGTTCCTTTGCCCAGGTTTCATCACAGCGCCCATCTTCTCAAAGCCATCATTAACTCCCCATTGCCCATAAAATATATCTCCAAATCCTTACCCTGGTATACAGTGCCTGCTACTCTGACTCATACTTACTCTTTGTTTTATTTTCTACCATCCCTAAGCACTTGCAAGTCTAATACCAAACTATTCACTGTTTCCCACCTACTCCTTATATTTTCCTGCTTCTGTGCCTTTTTGATGTGTCTGGAATATTCCTTTCTCCTCCTTCTCCTCCTCACTCCCGTGGTCAAGTCATACCTGGTCTGCAGAGCCCAGCTCCAATGTAAGCCATGAAGTTTTATTTGTGCACCCTTCAGCTGAGGGTAATCCTACCTTTCTCTGAACTCCTTTGGTTTTCTGTGAACAGAGCACTGATGACTGGTACTAAGAATTCTCCACTCTGCAGTACAGGCTTTTCCAAGCTTAGTGTTCTTCCCTAATAGAATGTAGGCGCCTTGTAGATAAGACTTATGCCTGACCCCTACTGCTTTTCCCCACAGTGTCTAATATACTTTGGCAACTGGATGACTGAATTTGAGGACATTAGTTGAGCTGTTTACATATATACAATTACTGATGACCTAGGAGTTGATACACCAAGGATGTCAAATTCCTGCCATGCATGCCCTCACAGCTCCTCTGGTGCTGGTGGAAAAATTCTCACACATTCACCCCAGTCAGGAAGTGGCTGCTTGGAGAAGTAGGTAGAGAAGGATTCTCAGGTTGTGTCTTGTGCCAGTGGGATGGAGTGCTGTGATTGATTGGTGATGTCTCCTATTACCGATGGATCAGAATTGACAGAAAGGTGGAAACGTTATGTTTCCATATTGGTAGAAAGAAAGTTCTGATAAATGGGATGGTTATACTTACAATGAAAACTGACTCTTCTAAAATTGTTAGGAGACAACATAGAATTGGAGTTAACTTTCATTTGGACCTCTTCTACTTGGGAGCTAGTAGAAAATTACTTAATCTTCATTTTCCCACATGTCAAATGAGTTACTATCACCTATTTTGCCCACCTCAGTTAAAGAAGTATTTTTTCGGTGTTATGATGGCAAAAGGAGATATATATGAATACATCAGTTTATTTTATGTTAATTCTGATGACTTTCCTTTTGGTCTAGAAGCTTCTGTACTGTCAATGTCCAGTGATGTCCATGTTGACCTCCAGTTGAGGCATCTTAGGCCTAGCAATGAGGCCATTTGAGATCAAAGCCTTCCAACTGGGGAATGTGGCACTTAACTCTCTCTTCCCAAGTCAGGCCGGAGATGTGAGGATGGACACAGCTCTCCTGTTGTGTTTTGTACACACTGAATTTAATATCCAACCAATTTGCCCTTTATATCCAATCAAAGAATAAGTGGCTCATGAGAACAGAGTACAGTCCTGCAATTCTGCATTTCTTCCTTGTGTTTATTCTTTGACCTATTTATTAACAAACACAAAACACCTTTCCTCTTAAAAAACACAATATTTCAATCCAAATGAAATTATTTTTTAAAAAATGACATTAGGATATGTACAGTTTTCTCTCCAATGTAGTTTCCAACCCCAATAAGTAAGTTCTACGCTCTGAAGAAGCTACATAGAAATTAAACTAAGTGTATCCAAACAAGTTCATAATTTTTATGCTACTGTCTCCTTTAAGGCCTAAGAAATTACCTATTGACCCTTTTAAATATTAAATCCCTTTTATTATCCCTTTTATTGGCCATCTACTTAATGTTAAGTGAAAGAGCCCTAAAAATAGGTCCAACATTTAAAATCTGTGATAATTGCCCTTGAATGGGCAAGAGAGTAGACCTGTCTGTATCGAGTGCTCATGAAGTCAAATCTTGCGGGGCTTTTCTGATCTGGACTGGGAAACCACGTCAGCCCTTTGGGCCTCCTGCTGAAATGGACTCTTTCAAGTAGGAAACATAAATTAAGTCAAAAGATTGGAGTTCTAGAAAATCTGCCATTCCCCACCCCTCTCCAAAGCCATAGAAGAAAATAAAAGAGCAAGAGGAAAGAGATTTGTGAAATGGCTAATGAAAACTAGTCACATAAGGACATTAAGCCAAGAAAATCTGAATGGGGAAACTAAGCGTCAGATATGAGAATGTTAAGGAGATGGTTACTCTCCCTGGTTGTGTAAAGCTGGGCGGTTTTCACAGCCATGTGGTGTACCTGCTGACTAGTCACTTCATGCTGCTACACAGAGAAACTTGGAAGGCACTAAAGGCTTCTGAAGGGCACTTGTCACCATCACATAATAGGATATTTTGTGGTCTGGAAAAATTATTTGATTGAATGCTTTAGCGATTTCAATAGTGATTTGTTCCTTCTGTCACATTTGTTACATCTGTGTTAGCATCCCAGGGAAAACAATACAGTTGTGATTTGTTACCTGTATTGTTTTCAGAATAAAAACTGGATGACTTCCTGTGTGTGTGTTTATTTTTCCCTCACCAGGTGAAGCTGTTACTCAATAATTAACATTAGGTTTAGACACTGGGTTTAAGAAATAAACAAAGCACTTGATTGTTTTTTTTACACCTCCATTATGGGGAAGAACTTTAGGGGAAGGCAGGGAGAAAAGACTTTTCAAGAAATTGCTATACAACACGATGAAGAAATCTCTCTGTGATTATAAAAACATAAAAATATAGTTGGATGGTGAGACCACCTGATTCTCCTGGGAACTCTGCTGACATTTCTGATAATAGAGAAGGGTCTCTGTGTGAATCTCAGAAGCATTCTGTAATTTTTCCCTCTTCTCTCTTCAGCTCAATGGGTTCCTGGCCAAACCCCAGGACCAGGCATTGAGAGAGAGGCTGGGTCTCAGCTCACTCTCAAGATGAAGTGAAATGCCAGATGTGCTCCAAATACTGTCTGAAATCTCCAGGGAAGTTAGAAAAAAAAACTTCAGAGCTGTCTACTTTGTGAACAAAAAAAATCCCCAAATTAAGCCATCCAGGGTAGCTTCTGACCGACTCTTTGGTGCTTGTCTCCTATGGCACGGTTGAGAAATCCTGTTCCAGTCAACGTGGGTCTCTATGGGAAGGTGCTGAGTGAGGGTGTTTGGGGAAGGTCACATTTCAAGTGGAAAGTGAAAATCTGCACAGCATGGGAAAAGGAGAACCACTGTCCACAGGAGACAGGTCTTCATTAGTCTTAACTAAAATATTGACATTTCAATTGGACCTTTGGTAGTAATTGCTCTGTTGCACAAATACAAAATGTCCAGCCAGGCCAGAACTTAGAATACCTGTCCTAGATGCTTAAGAGTAACTAACAAAAACTAGATAGATTTCAAAAGTATTAGAAAACACGACACAGACTGGGAGAATATGTTTGCAAATGACAGCTGTAAAGGACTGTTATCGAAAGTTCACACACAAAATAACTTAAAACTCAACAATAAGAAAACAAGTAACCCAATTAAAAAATAGTCAAAATACCTGAATGTCAAAGAAGATACACAGATAGCAAAGAAGCATATGAAAAGATGCTTGATGTGGCATGTCATTAGGCAACTGGAATTGCAAATTAAAATGACAATTAGATACCACTATGTACTTATTAGAATGGCCTAAGTCCATGACACTGATAACACCAAATGTTGGTGAGGATGCAGGGCAACAGGAGCTCTTATTCATTGCTAGTGGAATTGCAAAATGGTACTGTCACTTTGAAAGATGGTTTGATAGTTTCCTACAAAACTAAACATACTTTTATCATACACTCCAGCAATTTCACTCCTTGATATTTTCCCAAAGGAGTTGAAAACGTATGTCTACACAAACACCTGCATGCAGATGTTTATAGCATCTTTATTCTTAAGTCCCAAAATTTGGAAGTAACCAAGACTTCCCTTAATAGATGAATAGATAAATATTCAGTACAAAAAGAAATGATCTGTTAAGCCATGAAAAGACATAGAGAAAGTTTAAATGCATATTACTAAGGGAAAGAAGCCATTCTGAAAAGGTTACATACTGTATGATTCTAACTATGTTACACTTTGGAAAAGGTGAAACTGTGGAGACAGTAAAAAGACCAGTAGTTTCCAGGGGTTGGAGGGAGTAGGAACAGAGGGCACTTAGGGTAATGAAACTACTCTGGATGGTACTGAAACAGTGGATACTTGTCATTACACATTTGTCCAAACCCACAGAATGTACAACCTCAAGGGTAAACCTCATGGTAATGGACTTTGGGTGATAATAATGTGTTAATGGAAGTTCATGGATTGTAACAAATGTACCACTCTGGTGGGGGATGTTGATAACGTTGTGGTGGGGGGAGGTTGTGCAGATGTGAGTACAGGGTGTATATGGGAACTCTGTAATTTCCACTCAATTTTGCTGTGAACTAAAACTTCTCTAAAAATATAAAACCTAGTAAAGAAAATGGATGGCTTGAAATTTGGAGAAAAGTAAAAAATGTCAGATATAAGAGGCAATGACAATAGAGAAGCTCTCTTTCCTTTTAGCACCATTGGCCCTTCTTTGATTTCTTAAAACCCATTTACACCTAGTGTTCCCATTATTGGAACGCAAAGCATGTGGGAGTTATTTATATCCTATTGCTCAAGGTCATCGCCAAGGTCTGATTGCAAAAATTCAAAAAATTGCAACCTCAGGTATAAATGGGTTAATAATCTTGAAATGCCTACTATTCATGGAGTCCATTTGGGCATGGAAGGGCTTCCCATGCGTTATGCCACTCAATCCTGATAGCTGCCCTATTTATAGGTGTCAGATTAGATAAAGAACCTGAAGTTCAGGGAGGCTCTGTGGTTTCCATAAGGGAGTCCAATTCATGCGGAGGTCAAAATAAAAATGCTAATGCATAATTTATGAACACCCTTCCTGGGATTCTTAATCCTGATTTTATACACATCAGAATCTCTTATGGAACTTCCAAACATGCACATTTTTAGGTCTTACCCAACACCTCCAGGTAGGGGGTTGGGAAACCTTGGCTTTTGCTTATTTATATATTCAGCTTTCCAGCAGATTCTGAGGCGTAGCCCTTCAGAGCCACACCACAGGCCTAGAATGAGTAGGCTGTGCTTGGCAGGATTGGAGAAGGCCAGAGAAGTTGCAGAAGAGCCTCAGGCTGGTGCTTGGAAGAGAGCATAGGCACGAGGTTGGCTCTGTTGCCCAGCATCACCAAGGACACTGCAAGAACCTTCTTCTTCACTGTGCCTGGGAGTTTTAAAAATCATTTTCCTTGCTTCCAGCCCCCAGCCCAATTCCTCACACAGAGTTGGTACTCCAGCATGCTTGACAAATGACTACACAAATGCTTCATTCTCTCCATAGCTCATAACACAGGAAATTTAGGGTGTAGACTGAAAGGGTGTGACTGACATCTGGAGAGCAATATTCTGTAGTCAATGAAAGAATGGGAAGGAGCAGAATTTTCTGAATGGCTGAACACCAGACCTTCCTGCATGTCATTTCATTCCTTCTCAAGACTGCCCTCCAAAGTAACTTCCGTTACACACACTGAACAAACGAGCAGCTGGGGTTCAGCAAATTTGCATATCCTGCTCACAGTCACAGGGCTAGTGTGGGAAAGGCCAGAATTGCCACCTATTTATCTGACACAAAGCCCATGCCCTTTCTGCTTTATACGCTGTGTCTCTGGATTATAGAATAGTCTTTGTCAGAACAGCACCATTCAATGGAAATATAAGACAAGCCACAAATGTGAACCACATATGTCATTTTAAATTTTCTAATAGCCATATTAAAAAGATAAAAAGAACAGATGAAACTAATTTTAATGATATTTAACCTAACATAACCAAATTATTATCATTTAAACATGCAGTCAATTAAAAAATCTCAAGAAGCTATTTTACATTATTTTCTTCATGCTAAGTTTTCTTTTTTCTTTTTTTTTCTAACATAAGATCTTTTTAAAATTTTTTTTTATTATTATTATACTTTAAGTTTTAGGGTACATGTGCACAATGTGCAGGTTAGTTACATATGTATACATGTGCCATGCTGGTGTGCTGCACCCATTAACTCGTCATTTAGCATTAGGTATATCTCCTAATGCTATCCCTCCCCCCTCCCCCCACCCCACCACAGTCCCCAGAGTGTGATGTTCCCCTTCCTGTGTCCATGTGTTCTCATTGTTCAATTCCTACCTATGAGTGAGAATATGCAGTGTTTGGTTTTTTGTTCTTGCGATAGTTTACTGAGAATGATGATTTCCAATTTCATCCATGTCCCTACAAAGGACATGAACTCATCATATTTTATGGCTGCCTAGTATTCCATGGTGTATATGTGCCACACTTTCTTAATCCAGTCTATCATTGTTGGACATTTGGGTTGGTTCCAAGTCTTTGCTATTGTGAATAGTGCCGCAATAAACATATGTGTGCATGTGTCTTTATAGCAGCATGATTTATAGTCCTTTGGGTATATACCCAGCAATGGGATGGCTGGGTCAAATGGTATTTCTAGTTCTAGATCCCTGAGGAATCCCCACACTGACTTCTTCATGTTAAGCTTTCAAAATCTGGTGTGTATGCCACATTGACAGCACATCTCAATTAGGACCAGCCACATTTCAAGTGGGACATGTAGCTCATGGGGGCTAGATGGACAGTAGTACAAATCTAGACAATTAGTTGTGCTATGAGGGCATTTACTTGGGTTAATGTGGGAGAACATGTTGTTGGTAACTCAGGAAGAGATGACACTCTGAAGGGCAATTAGGCAGTTTGGTGCCAAGAAAATATGTTCATTTATTTCATAAACTACTGAGTACCTACTTCATGCCAGACACTGTTCTAGGCCCTGGGGTAGAGAGGTGAACAAATCCAAGTGCTTTCACTAATGGAGTCTACATTCTAGGAGAGAAGACAGACAATAAGCAAATAAACACATAACGTAAGTGATTTGAGAAAAATGATGTCAGAAAGCAGATAGAATGTGGCAAGGGCTGTTTTTGATGCATTAACAAGGAGAGGTCTTTCTAAGGAAATGATATTTGAGAAGCGACTGAATTAAGCCAACATAGGAATATCTAAGGAAAGGGTGTTTTTGGCAGAAGGAACCTGAAGATGGCAACAGGCTTTGTATATTCTGGGAGTAGCAAGGCCAGGCCAGTGTTGGAGGAAAGGGCTGATGGTGAGGAAAAAAGACTCAAGAATGAGAATGGAGTTGGCTCATGTGAGGGTTCATACGGTGGGGTAAGGACTGTTCAAGTGTGGTGGGAAGTCTTCATAGAGTTTTGAGTCAGGGAGTGGGGTGCTGTGATCTACATATTCTGTAAAGGGTAATTCTGGCCACCGTATAAAGAATAAAATGGGGTTAGAGTAGCATAGGGTGGGCAATGACAGGTTGTTACTGCAGGAAATGTGTCAAGCTCTGAGGAATATGTCCAGCTATATTGAAAAAAGGATGAGCGAACAATGGACAAGATTCAATTCTCATGGTACAGCTATCCTAAGTGCTGGTTTATATGGTATATAGACACAAGGTGATAATCAGAGAGCATTTCTCACATTACACAGTTGAATGATAGGAAATGAATTACCAAGACAGGAACCCAGACAGAGAATTATATGAGGGCCAATTGCCAAAGCTAGGGTAGGATGGCTTCCAGAAGACAAGAATTTGATCAGGAACCCAGAAATGCCAGACCCTGCCTTAGCCCAGCCACTTCTCTTCTCTCAGAGGGGCCCAAGGAAGGCTGAATTACAAAAAAATGATATGTGGGAAGTAAGAGTAGTACTTCATTGTTATTGACCTTGTATTAAAAGCTTCAGTTTAGAGATACTGGGTTAAAAATGGTGCAAGAGTCATGAAAGGGCGGTTCCCCTCTCTTAGGCACAAATCTTGGAATCTTACAAAAACAGATGAGAGCAGCCCTTTAATAGAATGTAAGCTTTTTAAGGGCTGGGATCCTATCTTGTTTATAGCCATATCCCCAGAGATACAACATCTAATACATATTCAATATTTGTTGCGTCCATCCACCCATTCCTTTGACAACTCCTACATCTAATGAACATTTTGACCAGGCACTGGGCTACAGCAGGGAGGAGACATGGCCATTGCATTCTGAATTCATAGTCTGCCATCAGAAACAGCCTTTCACTACAGGATGGTGAGTTCTTTGTAGAGGAGGGACAGCTTGCTCTGAAAGCATGAAAGACGATTCTCAAATCCAAGGCAAGGAAGGGTGGGGAGCCTCCCCTGAGGCAATGGTGCCTGCCCAGATCTGTGTTGGGTTTAGAGTGGGAGATTTCTGGCATTTGTAGACAGTAAAGATACACTCTGTTGGTAAACTGGCTGGCATGTAGGTAGCTTGAATGCAGAACTGAATATTTAGAATGATAGAATGATGATTAGTTGGCAAATTTAAATGGTGATATAGCCTCATTAATATGTATAACCTATGCTTTTCCTAAATTTGGTAAAATCAAAAGCAGGAATATATGCTCATTTTTAAAACTCTACATTCATACCATTCATTTGTGTAATATGGCATCTAATACCTGATTATCATAATTTTACCTAAATAATGAATAAATTAGACAGGGGAAAAATTAAAACCTTTCATATTAGACACAATTGTAATTCTTTTACTGTAACATTCACAGTTAAATTCTTAATTAAGCTTGTATGCTTCTTTTACAGAAATACATTTTGTAGATACAGTTAATTTTTTAGTATTTGCATCCATGAGAGGAAAGAGCAGCATAGATAATTCCCCAAAACCAAAGTTTAAAATCCTTTTCCGCTGAGCTGTGTCTATCCTGTACAATGACTGATATTTGCTTTCCTAAATGATGCTCTTTATGGGATAATATTAACATATGTTTGTATATTGAGAAAAGAAAATAACTGATATAAATCAGCGGAGAGAATATGGTAGGGGCTGAGTGATGGAGAAGTCTTGTGGGATTGAGTTTTTTTAGTGATAATGTGTAATTGCCTAGCCTACACATCATAAGTTGAAATAGAAGATGGTAGTTTTCTCTCCCCTCTCTCCCTCCCTCCCTCCCTCCCTTCCTTCCTTCCTTCCTCCCTCCCTCCCTCCTCCCTTCCTCCCTCCCTTCCTCCCTCCCTTCGTCCCTCCCTTCGTCCCTTCTTGCTTCCCTCACTTCCTCCTTCTTTCCTTCTGTAACCACAATTTATGTATTATATTTCCCAAAATGTTGTGTAAACAAAGACACATGAATCCATCCAAGTTCAGGTAAAACCTTAACAATAAACTTGGGGAAGCAGTTTATCAATATGATCATCTCTGTGGGAACTAAATACTCCAGCCCATTTCTAGTCTAAAATCCTCTAGGCACATGATCATAAACTTGACGAGGATAGTCTCTTGCTGTGCATATGTTGATACCTAATACAATATTTTTTTTGAAAATTACAGAGAATTCAGCAAGCATCTTCAGTCATGGAAGGACATTTTGCAATATTTGTTGCTGTCATCATCATAAAGATTACAAATGATCTATTTCCCTGCCACTCAGTGTGTATCTTCTAGGATCAAACATCAAACCAAAGATGGCAGAAATGCATTCAGAGCCTCATTTTATGACTTTACTTTGCTTATTGCATTTCTTTTCTTGGAAATGTAATTGCTTTAGAATTACTGGGATCATGGGAAAAGCATGCCATCAAGAAAGTAAGCGATTGAGTGGGGGAAAAGTAATAAAGTCAATTTATTTAAGTTTGACAGAAATCTTGGGGTTTTCTGATCCACAACTTCTGGGTAATTGCTTCAGTCTTTGCAAAGTCAAAGGGAATATTTTCATTCATTTGTTGTTGCTATTGCTGTTCAAAACACACAACAGGTAGGCCTAGTGCATTACCAGAAGACTAGAAATCATTGGAATAATATGACATCTGTGAACACAACTATATAATCCAATCATCACAGACATATAATTGAGTTTGGTTGTGAAAAAATAAATGAAGAAGGAAAATAATTGTTCAAGGTAACAAATACTAAACAGACATTAAATTAAGCCAAACTTCTCTTTCATTTCAACAACAGCAATCTTAAATCCTATTTAGCTCATAAACATTTAACAAAATATTTTTTTAGTAGTTGTACAAGATATCATAAAAGTTGCAAAGCATTTTCTCTTGGGCATGAGGTGTACACTTCTGAGAATAAAAGCATGTAGATGTATACACACACACATTCACACACTGGAAATCTCATCCTTTTTATTCTTTTGGCACTATGTAAATGCAAAGATGTAGACTTAGTTGGGTTCCAAGCTAGGTTTCTTTGATTGCAAGTAACAAAAATGGATTTTGGCTAATGTAACCAAGCAGAAATGTGTTGGAAGGAATGGGATTGCTTACAGAATCAGTGGGAGGCTGAAGAAGAAGCCTTGGAAAAGGGCAAGAATCAAGGCATTTCTAGTTTACAGGAATTATTTTGCAGCAGCATCAGTGTGCAAAGGCTCCCTGAGTGAGCCCCAAGCATTTTCATTCTACTCAATCCTTGGTTTAAATTAAGATTCCTGGAAGGGAGCATTCAATGACCTATTTACTCAAAAGTTCATCCTTGGAAGGAGAGAGTAGGATACTTCCATCAACTGTCCCACCAGGCTATATCCAATGGAGGAGGGTGGGTCCCTACAAGGATGGACACTGTGTAGCCAAAAACAGCAGACCCATACAGTCAATGGTGTGAGGGTGAGTAAGTTTTATTCACCTTAACCCTGAGTGATGATCCTAACACTGAGTGGAGAAATGACCATCTCCTTTTAGACTATTTCCAAAGTACAAACAGAACTTGGCATGATGTCATGAGCTTCTGCTGGGATCTGATGACTGGGTCTCATACTACTGAGTTTTGTGACTTTTTGCAACACTCTTATTCTCATTGCATCTTAGTTTCCCCATCTTACATATCTCACAAACTTATCATAGATACCAAGAGCAATCTATATTAAAGTATATGAAAGCACTTTGTGAAAGCTTACAGTGGTTTCCAAATGTTCCTGTGAGTTTGAGAATCCTCTAGCAGTGACTGCAAGAGCCTAAAGAGAGACACAGAAACGTAGGAGAAGGTCTGAGGTCCTGAGCATTCCCTGGGTAATGAGATCAATGTCCACCCCATGGATGTGCGTCCCTGACAGATGAGATGCGTGAAATGCTATCTACCCACCAGACTTAGGCCATACCTTATAAAGCAAAGTCTTCGCTTTCCTCTTTCTAAAACAATGTTCTGTGTTGCTGGTTCCCAGCAGTCTGCAAGCTTCAGGAATCTGCCTGGATTTTTGGTTCTTAAATGATAAATGAGAAACATACACAGAGAGGTCATACTTTATTGGAGAAATATGTTCTTATATAATTCAAAATTCACCTATTCAAAGAATAATATCAGCCAAAAATGGGAGGGTGTTTGTTTGCCAGCTAAATGAGCGTTCCCATGTAGCCCTACTGTAAACTCTGTTTACAGTTCACTTGCCTTCTTTATGCTGAGATTAAATTATGTGATTGCCAACAAAATTTAATTGGGTAGGAGGAGGTTACATTATTTCAAATTTTGTACATTAAGAGAGGCTCAAAATATTATATGTCACATAATCTTGAATTCATGTAATTTATGCAATGTGGTGTCACTATAATTTAGGACGTTATAATACTCATCCTTTCTACAACACCCCAACACACTACCACTGTCAAATGTATGCTATTTAGTAAATGTATAAGGAGGAACCTAGTGAGGCTTGGGTACTATAATGTACATTTCACTTTAGCCCACCTATAGAAAATTTTGGTTTTAGTAAAATTGGGCACTGGTGTCTGATGGCTATGTCCTGTTTTCACACAGGCCAACTCTTATGAATTGAATGAAGTTTTCATTTCCACACTGGGCCGGTTTCTCAGTAGTGAAATGAGTTTCTCTGCTTTTGCTGAGGGGTTGAGCAATACAAGTCCAGGGAGAAAACCTCACCCAGATTTCCTTGGTTAGTTTCAAGGAAGCCTTCACACTAAGAAAGGCATTGCGATAGGGCTGACCAAGAAAACACTGAAAGTGTGTGGAAGGATGCAGTACCCACCCTGCTAATGTAGCCCTGGGCATTGGCCCATGGGGTCCTTGCAACAAGGCTTTGAAGTCCTCATGTTCATTCTTGTTAATAAGGCAACTGAGGCCCCTAAAAGTCAACCCACTGCCCAAAGTCATACTGCTGGTACACAGTGAAGCTGGGCCCACTGCAAAACTGTATCATCCTGCACAAGCAACCCAGGTTCTCCTTAGAAGGCAAGACCTTTAAGCCATTTTATACAGGAGCCCCTGGAACATTTTCTCTTGTTTTCTCTAATATGCTCTCCCTTCCATATCTTTTCATGCTATTTTCTAAAAACAATTCTCAGTGCTCTACCCACCAAATTCATTTTTTTTCAAGGAATGATTAGGTGTTTTGTCAAATAAACAAACCCCTAGGACTCTGTATGAGGTAAAGGAAAAGCATTACATTCCAAAAAGAGGTGGCTATACAAATTACCTGAAAAATGTTTAATAGGACAATAGGATAATTCTTGGATGAATATACATCTTTCAAGTGAAATGCTGTTTTGTGTAGTTATGTGAGCATGGCATAGATGAATTATGAAATAATTTTCTAGATTCCCCTGCCTATATCCTTGGCTCTAACTGGAATCTTTCCTCCAACTTCGTTCATCTCTCTTCTTTTTTTGCGTGTGTATCAGTATGACCTTGCCTAACGTTGCACTGGGAACTTAATAAATGAAGCTATTCTTCTGTTATTCATGATATTGTCCACCCAGGTTCTATCACTTCCTGAAATAAAAATAGTCTCTTACAGTGGTCTGGAGGTTTATTGTCTACAAAGCACTTTCTGCCTATCTGATCTCATTGTGGCATCTCAGTGCCCTTTGGCTTAGAGATAGAGTGAATATCACCCCTTTCTTATGGATTAGAAGCTTGAATTGCAAGATATTTTGAGGCTTGCCAGGGGCAAGAGAGCTGATATCCATGCCCATGTCACTTGATTCGATGCCCTCTGTTCTTTTCCTTTTGCCACACTGCTTTTCCCCAGGGACACTCCTTGGATGCTGCCCACTTCTCCCCAGGTCTGTATTACGGGGCTTGGAATATCCACAAACGAATGTGACCTGAAGTAGAATTCTAGCAACAACTGCCATCCCAGGTGGTGCCTGCTCTTCCCCTTAATGGCATAATTATTTGTATCTAAGTGCTGCTCTGCAACCAAAGCCTAGTGTCCAAATGGCAATTCACTGAATCTAAAACTCAGGAGTGGTCAGTTGCCATCATGCTCCAACCCTCTTTACATCTTAACTCACTGCTCTAGAGAAGAAGTTTTGTGTAGCCTTCTAACCAGAACCTACTGACAACACATGCAGGCCCTGCTGTAATTAAGTATTGATTTCATGTGATGTGTGTATACAGAGGAGGCTCATCTCATTTGTGGGCTGCTGTTATCTGTCAGTAGAACAAAATGTGTGATTATCAGTGGATGTCCTGTGGCTATCTATGGCATACTATAACCTCTCATCCATCTAATCGTAGAGACATTATGGTACGCCACTCAAGAGTGGGCCATTTGTCTTAACACGGCCCCTGCTGCAGTTGGCCTGCTTTTGTTCCCAGAAATAGCTGCACAGATTCTTCACTGAAACACCTTCTTAGTTCCAATTTGGTGCTGCCAGAATGGAGACCTAGCAAGGTCCATCCATGATAATGTAATATGGCTGTGACTTCAAATAAATGGAACACCAGGCATTATTCCTCTTCTGCTTTCTTTGAGGCAGTCACACCTCCTGACATTATTCTGGTTACCTTGCTGAACCCAGGAGAAGGGAACAAGTAATTGTGGATGGAACAAAGTTCACCTTATAAACATTGTCAGGAAATGCTGGAGGTTCTTGAGTCCGCCATCATCTTTATGCAGCATTCATGGCTCCCAGGCTGAACTGAGAATGCTCTGCTTTTTAGATTTGAGGGGGAAGCTATATTGGGTCAGAAAGGGGCTTCATGCCCACTATGGGAATGAGAGCCTGAGGAATTGAATTCTGAGTCTTTCTTAATTGTGTGATTTCTCTTTCTGCTTGACAGTTTCATCTCTACTGAGCCACTGGCTGTCTTTACTAGGAACTTTCTCCTAACAGCAGAATGAGAGTTTCTAAATAAAGACATGAACTTTTTGTGTAGGTGTCTTTGCTTATTTGGCATTTTCCATCTTGGGGTGGGAGGTTGGATGGAATAGCTTTCGTAGGTAGTGCTTTTGCTGTCCCTACTTGCTCAAAATATCGGCCTGGGGTATCAAGAACTGAACCAATTAAAAAATCTTGTTTCCTGTGCTGGTGCTCTTTCCTTTAACACAGTGGTTTTCTCTCTTACCTACTGCTACCCAAAGTTATTTCCATTAGGTGTTTCTTTCCTGCTGCCATGTAAAAAGATTAAAAATAGTATTGTAGACAGACTGAATTTAGGGGGAAATTTTTCGGTCCTGTGCACCATTGTGGATTATGTCTTTGAAGCTCACACTGAACTCCTCAAGCTCCATTTTAAGTGTCATTTTATCACATCCCATTCACTTGAGTCCAGAGTCCTGAGCTAGGGAATGGCAGATAATTGCCAATCCCACCATGAAAGTGTTATCTGCATATTAAACACGTCACTCAGGAATCCAGTGAATGAGTCAGAGACAAAAGTTTAAAATAAGATCATCATTCTTGCAGGTCCTCCTTCCATACATTGCAGCAGGAGTCTGTTAGGGACCATATCGAAAAATAGAATTGCAGAAATCAAGTATGTTTCTTTCAGTACCTCTAGGTGGGGAGTGGAGGGTCAGTAGGAGAGAAAATATAGGCTTTGGGTTGAGAGGGATCTGGGTTCGATTTCCCAGCTCTGTGATATTAAACAAATCAATCACTCATCCCTAAGGAGTCTCAGTCTTCTCATCTATAGAACATGGGCAAAATACTGATCTTGCTGGTCAGGAAGATTAAACAGGCATCACCCGTAAAGCCACCTAGCTCATGCCACGCATAGAGGCATCCGGTGGCACATTGCCCTCAACACTGGGTGAATACCATTTTGAGTTAATTACAGCTCTGATTTCACAGACCATTTCCAAAGTTTAATTGTATTTCTTTCATGCAGTCATTTGAACTATCTACAGCGCGTTTCTTGTAGGTTACACCTGGCTACTGGAAGACGTCCTAGGTGATTGTTCAAAGGGGCCCATTGAGAGGTGAGTGATGAGGCTGGTGAGAATTCTGTGGTGTGCTTAAGAGTCTTCTGGGCATTTGCTAAATCTAGTCAGATTCTAGGACTCAACCCCAGAGAATCTGATACAGCGTTTGAAGAGGGGACTCTGAAATTTGCACAATGAAGGTTCTCCTCAGGTACTTACAATGTAGAGGCCTTTCGCACTAGACTTCAAAACACACTGCCAGAAACATGCCCACAGAAGAACCGCTAACGACTTAGTGATATGGAAGGGGGGCAGAGAGGTGCTGGGAAGAAAAGGACATGGTCCCTGGTGAGGGTTCCACCCCCGGCCGGTGCCCACGGACCTAGGTGAGAAGAGGGACTCCTGCATTTGTGGCCAAATATTGCATTTCCCAGGACCACCCTGGCCTGCCACACTGTCATCCTGTGCCTATAAAAACCTAGAAACCCTAGCAGGCAGACACAAAGGTGGCTGGACGTCAAGAGGAGCACATCAGCAGAGGAACACATGGGTGGCTGGATGTCGAGAGGAATGCACCAGTGTAGCACAACACCAGCACACTGGCAGGCCATCGACTGGCAGAACAATGCGGAGTGTGGCTGAGGTGGTTGGAAAAGAGTCGGGCGGCCAAGCGGCCGTACTCCACGGGAAAACCATCTCCCTTCTGGCTCCTCCATCTGCTGAGAGCTACTTCCATGCAATAAAACCTTGCATTCATTCTCCAAGCCCATGTATGATCCGATTCTTCTGGTACACCAAGGCAAGAATCCCAGGATACAGAAAGCCCTCTGTCCTTGTGATAAGACAGGGGTCTAATTGAGCTGACTAACACAAGCCACCTATGGATGGCTAAACTAAAACAGCACCCTGTAATACACACCCACTGGGGCTTCAGCTGTAAACATTCACCGCTGGACACTGCCGTTAGGTTGGGGCCCCACAGCCTGCCCGTCTGTGTGCTTCCCTAGAGGTTTGAGTGGCAGGGCACTGAAGAAGCGAGCCACACCCCCATCGCACGCCCTGCAAGGGGGACAAGGGAACTTTTCCTGTTTCACTAGGATTGACCACTGGGAAAATGCCACTCATGGGAGATGAGACAGCAGCCATCCAGTCACCAGAGAGCTGTGATATCCAGTCACCAGAGAGCTGCGATATGGACAAGCATGGGATTTGTCCTGGAGCCCCAGGGGTCAAAACAGAGCCTGATGGGTAGAAATTCCAGGGAGCAAATTTCCATTTAATATAGATGAGTGCTTTTCTAAGAATTAAAGGTGTCCAAGTGTGGCCTATGTAGCTCCAGGGGAAATGAACCTTCCAACTCAGGAGAAATTTAAATTTGTCTGTCTGAGTGACCTCTGGGAATTTTATAGAGAGGAGATTATCGCATGCTCTTAGCCCCCAATGGCACCCGAATTACTCTTATTGCCATTGCTTATACCTTTAGGTCCAGTGTGTTCACTCTCACAGATATTTGTTACCCATTTACTCAGTGCCTGATTCTATGAGGATGAAGCAGGAAAGTGCTCTGCAAATCCAGGACAGAGTGTGATTTTCGCAGATGCTGTTATTAGAAAAGAAAATGTCGGGTTTCACTTTCCATATGGAAAGAGGTAGTAGGTATTTCTGGTAATGAGAAGAGAGGGAGGGATTACTCATTGGAAGAAAGAGGTAATGAGTAAGCTAGTTCCGCTTTGAGAAGAAAAATGCTTTCACAACAGCTTTTAACAGATTGATTAAGCAAAGTTTTCGTTTTGTTTCAAATAATTATTTGTTTTTCTGCCTTTCTCTTCAGAGCTGTGAAATTCTAGACGTCTCTTAGAAATAAAATGGGTTGCTACACACTTATTTTTCTCAGCTCTATATACATTTCTCCTTCTTCTTTGAAATTTGTGGCCACCATTAATGTATATAGGATGTTCTCATTTTGATTTTCAGTTGAGACACTGCAGACTTTTATGAGGGATGCTTTGGATCAAGCAAGAGACACTGAGTAGTTTCCTTCCTTCCAAGATTTCAAAGCAACAGCACCATATTGAGTCTAAACTCAAAGCCTTTGTTCAGAAGCCAGCAGCTGGCTACTCACACCAAGATGGCATTGGATGTTTTTGGAGTGGGATATCCAGGTGACATTTTAATAAAAGCTTTCATGGGCCAATTATTTAATCTATAGAGTTTTATAATTAGCTGACTTTGAAACCTTATTAAACCCCATGTGCAAGATCATGTGA
This sequence comes from Homo sapiens, assembly GCF_000001405.40. Classification (NCBI taxonomy): domain Eukaryota; kingdom Metazoa; phylum Chordata; class Mammalia; order Primates; family Hominidae; genus Homo; species Homo sapiens. The sequence goes on from NC_000003.12 coordinate 59,387,000, forward strand.
AATTGTACCTCAAGTTTGATTTTTCTTTGTTGTACCCCTCTTCTCTCCTACTTCCTTGATAGTTGCTATTTGTTTGATATTTTTAAAAATTTCTTATTGACACACAGATCCATCCACAAAACAAAGTCATAAAGGCACCTTGATCTGTAAAGTGTTCTGAGTTTCTTAAAACTCTAGTACAGAATGAGAGTCTCTAGAAGGTAGAAGGCCTAGTTTTGGAAGTTGCCATCAGCATTGGATTTTTGCCGAATAGTGCTATATATGTTCAATAATAAAGTTTTCTGTTTTTGTCAACTATTTCTTATGGAACTATTCTCTGTGATGCTGAGGTTACAGAAAAATATCATTTTTCTGTCACTGTTGGTGTTCTTCAGGACCTCACTTTTAAATAGATGTCCTTTTGAAACCTAGGTGGTTATGTGCATCAGAAAAACACCTTATCCTGTGCCCCATTGGGTGACTTGGACAAAGTAACACAATTTTGGTGGGGGAAATGGTACATATTATGTTTCATAGGAGCCAGATTCCAATAGTAACCATCTGACCCTTGTGATCCTATGTTTTCAATTTTCCTATAAAAGAACGCAACAAACAGTGCTGCTCAAGCCTATTTTTCTATTAAGTGTTCTTTGATTCGTGAGTTGCTGGGTAGATTTTCCATTCTCAGTGTTAGAAGACACGAACATCAAATACTTTTCTCTTAGAGTAACTTCTCATGCAACTGTCTCATGGCATATGCTAAAAGAAAAGAAAGTTCCTTACGTATGAGTACAGAGAAACGGAGCATGATTTTAACCTTGGTTTCAGGTTTTGTTATTTAGTCTTTTTGACTTGAATATGAACTCAAGTGTTTGCTAATTAAAAGAATAAACACAGCAGCCATTGCTCCGCCAAAATACGTTTATCGAGTGCCTATCTTGTGCACAGTCCTTTGCTAGGCTCTGTTTATATAACATATCCTATTTAAAAGGCTGCTTGATAAATAAGCAGTTTGGAAATCCCTGGTGGGAGGTAGGTGGCGATATTCAGTGTAGCTTCCCCAGCTGCCACCTGGAACATGAGTCTGAGAATGTCTATGCAGGAAGATGATTAATTTCAAAAATCATTTCTAGGAAATTCTCTGGATCTTTATATAATTCCCTGGCCTCCAGGGAAAGAAGTTAAGATAACTTGAATTACTTGCCTTGGTAAAAATGTTGAACTGAATCCTGATCTCATTTCTTGCCTCCCCTTCCTTTTCTCTTCTTTCTAAATCAAAGAACAGTTTGACACTAATATGGTTGTTGTATTATTTATCTATTGCTGCGTAACAAGTTGACCCAACCTTAGCAGCTTAAAACAACTAACATCTATTATCACATAGTTTCTGGGAGTCAAGAATTCAAGAGAGGCTTAGTAGCTAAGTGGTTCTGGCTCAGGATTTCTCAGGAGGTTCTGGCTTAGGAGGTGGTGGTTAGGAGGTCAGCAGGGCTGCGGTGATCTAAAGTCTCACTCTCTGGCAGTCTGGTGGAAGGCCTCAGTTTCTCTCTACATGAGCCTCACCATATGGCTGCCTCAGTGTCCTCAGGATATGACATTTGGCTTTCCCTGGAGTGAGTGATGAAACAGAGAGAGAGAGATCAGACAGAAAACAACAGTGATTTTTATAAATTAGCCTCCAAAGGCACATACCTGTCACTTCCTCTTTATTCTGTTTGTCAGAAGTGAGTCACTAAGTCCAGCCCACATTCAAGGGAAGGAGAATTAGATTCCACCTCTTGAAAGAAGGAGTATCAACTAACTGAGAGCACATATTGAAACCACCGCAGCTGCACATGTCATTTAAAGTTTTCAAACATGGTTTCTTCAAAAGAGTCCTAAACACCTTTATCTTGCCTGATTCTGGTACAAGCATCTCTTACTCTAGAAGAATTATTGTATATGATCAGCCTTTTGCACAAGTCTCGGCTCCAACTGCTATCCTATTGCATCTGGAGCAGAATTTGTCTTAGCCAGTAGAGAAATGATAATGTACTGGGACATTTTGCTGTACTCAGAGCACTTCTCTGTGGTTTGAAGACTTCTCATCATCATGTTTTCATGTCATGAGGATGGTATCACTGATGAGCAAGTGTAAGTGGACTGACATTTATCTTGTGAGCGTGGGAGAGAGAGGGCTGCTTCTCTCTAAATGTGTGGTTCTCCTTGGTAAGACAAATGTAAACAAATCATATATTCATAAAGTTTAGAAAAGAAAGTCAGAATATACTGGAAATTGGGATAATAATAAGGCTGTTTATATTTATCTCCTGAGAAACTCTAAGCATTTCTTTTTTTTTTTCTTCTTTTTGACAGAGTCTCGCTCTGTCGCCAGGCTGCAGTGCAGTGGCGTGATCTTGGCTCACTGCAACCTCCACCTCCCAAGTTCAGGTGATTCTCCTGCCTCAGCCTCCTGAGTAGCTGGGACTTCAGGCACAGGCCACCACACCCAGCTAATTTTTTGTATGCTTAGTAGAAACAGGGTTTCACCATGTTGGCCAGGATGGTCTCAATCTCTTGACCTCATGATCCTCCTACCTCAGCCTCCCAAAGTGCTGAGATTACAGGCATGAGCCACCGCACCTGGCCAAGAAACTCTAAGCATTTCTAAGATATTAAGGGACTGCTAGTGAGAAAGGTTTTGTTTAAAAATTATTTTAGATTAACATACAGTAAAATTGAGCATAGTTGGTACACAGATCTATGATAACACATGTATAGCTCCTTCTAACCAGCACCAATGATCAAGGTACTGAACAGTTCCATTCCTCCAAATGGCTCCCTCTTGCTATCCCATCCTAGTCACACTTTCCCCCACCGCTACCTCATTTCAGCCTCTGATTGTCTCTCTATCACCATAGTTTTGTCTTTTTGAGAGTGTCACATAAATGGGTTTACACAGTAGGTAATCTTTTGAGATTAGCTTCTTTCATTCAGCAAAATGCTTTTGAGATTCATCCAAGGTGCTGTGAGTATCAATAATGCATTCCTTTTTATTGCTAAGTAGCATTTTGTGGTATGGTTGTACCACAGCTTGTTCTTACATTCACCTGCTGAGGACAGTTGAGTTGTTTCCAGTTTTTGGCAATTATGAACAGAACCACTATATACATTCATGTATAAGTGTTTGAATGAACATCAATTTTCATTTCTCTAGGATAAATACACAGTAGAGAGATTTTTATGTCATACGGTAATTAATGTAGACTTTAGAAGAAATCGTCAAACTATTTTCTAGGGTGCCTGTACCATTTTGCATCCCACTAGCAACAAAGAAGAGTTCCAGTGGCTTCATGTGATTATCAGCACCTGGAGTTCTCAGAATGTTTATTTTAGTCACTCTATTAGATATGTAGTGATATCTCATTGTCATTTCAATCTGCATTTTCCTAATGGCTAATGATTTTAAACACATATTCATGTATTTATTTGTCTTCCATATACCCTCTTTAATTAAGTGTCTGTTGAAATCTTTTGTTTATTTTTAAATGGGTTGTTTTCTTACAGTTGAGTTTCGTGAGTTCTTTATATATCGTGCTTTTATTGTCATGTCTAGTAACAGCCTAAACCTAGGTCATGAATATTTTCTTCTGTGCTTTATTCTAAACATTTTATAATTTTAGACTTTACATTTAGGTCTATAATCCATTTTATTTATTTCTATTTGTTTAAATTTTTGTGGGTACATAGTAGGTGTATATGTTTGTGGGGTACCTGAGATGTTTTGATACAGGCATGCAATGTGAAATAAGCACATCATAGAAAATGGGGTGTCCCCTCAAGCATTTATTCTTAGAGTTACAAACCAATCCAATGACACTCTTTAAGTTATTTTAAAATGTACAATTAAGTTATTATTGACTATAGTCACCCTATTTTGCTATCAAATAGTAGGTCTTATTCATTCTTTCTAATTATTTTTTGTACCTATTAACCATCTCCACCTCCCTCTCAGCCTCCCACTACCCTTCCCAGCCTCTGGTAACCATCCTTCTACTCTCTATGTCCATGAATTCAATTGTTTTGATTTTCAGATCCCACAGGTAAGTGAGAAAATGTGATGTTTGTCTTTCTGTGTCTGGGTTATTTCACTTAACGTAATGCTCTCCAGGCCAGGCGTGGTGGCTCATGCTTGTAATCTCCACACTTTGGGAGGCTGAGGTGGGTAGATGGCTTGTGGCCAGTATTTTGAGACCAGTCTGGGCAACATAGTGAGACCTCGTGTCTACTAAAAATTAAAAAAAAAACAAAACAATTAGCCAGGCATGGTGGCACATACCTGTCGTCCCAGCGACTCGGAAGGCTGAGGTGGGGAATCACTTGAGCCTCAAGAGGCGGAAGTTGCAGTGAGCTGAGACCGTGTCACTGCACTCCAGCCTGGGTGACAGAGCAAGAGGCTGTGTCAAAACAAACAAATAAAAAACCCAACAAACAAAACAAAACAAAACCATAATGATCTCCAGTTCCATCTATGTTGTTGCAAATGACTGGATCTCATTCTGTTCTTATGGCCAAATTATGTATGAGCACCATTTTGTATAAGTACTACATTTTCTTTGTCCATACATGTGATCCATTTTAGTTAAATTTTGCATAATATGTAGGTTTAGATTGGAATTTATTTCCTTATTTAGCATATGCTGTCCAATTGTTCCAACACTATTTTTTTTAAACTACCCCATTCATTAAATTGCCTGTAAAACTTTGTCAAAAATCAACTGGTTGTATTTGTGTTTTGCCTATTTTGGGGCTCCATTCTGCAGAGTCGAGATTTTTCTGGTTCTTTATAAGCTGAGTAAAATTGTATTAGATCCTGGACATTTTGAATATTGTGTGATGAGACTCTGCTTCTTATTTAAATCCTATGAAGAATGTTGGTAGTTTTGTTTCAGCAGGCATTTAAACTGGTTAGTTCAGGTCACAAGTTCTGATCAGCCTTCTGGGAATTGTAGTTTTAATGTCCAGTTCATTTTGAATGACTCTATAGTGTTATTCAGTGCTATTCAGCATCCAGTCTGGGACTGGGTGGTTGATTCTGGTGCATTGTTTAGGGTCAGATCTATGCATGAGCTACTTGGGGTAAGTCCAGGAATCCATAAGTCATTTTATGGGTTCATTTCCCCAAGCTCCTTCTTCTCCATGATCTCCCCTGTACTTTCCAGCTCCTATGGCTTTTCTTTTCCATCTTCCATTCAGAAAACTGGAGCTTTACTTATCCTACTCTGCTGCACATTTCCTGTGACTGCACCCTTGACCAAGGCCAGGCAGCAGAAAGACAGAACAACAGCAACAAACAAACAGAAACTAGGGTTTTCCCCACACACTCTTGGAGACAACAGCTCCTTTGATCCAGGAAGAAACTTCTGCTTCCTCAAAGTTTTAGGTGCCTGTGGATCACCACAGCCGGTGTAGAAGAGAATATAAAAAAGAGAGAGGGGGAAGAAAGAAAAAAGACTAGGAATTTTCCCCACTCCCTCCAACCCTTGGGAATTCTCTTGATAGAACAAAAGAGCTCCTGCTAGAGCTCTCTCAGTATCCTGTACCCATTTCTAAATTTTAGGCTTCCTTGAGTTTGGGCAGGGGACATTGGAGAAAAAAATGGTAAACTCATTTCCACTCTCTGAGGCAGCTGAAAAGGTCCTCCAATTTCAAGGAGAGGAGAAATAGGCTTTGTCTGATGTCATGGCCCTGGGACCTAAATATTGTTGTGTCCTTTTTGGACAAAATAATCTGCCATGACCAATTAATTGATCAAGGATTTCAAAATCATTATATTTAAATGTTACTTTATAATATGTATTTGCTGGAATATTTCTATAAAGTAAAACCTCCTCCCACCTGTGGTTAATCAGTGGTACCGATATGTGGAAAAAGCAAGATTAGCATTTGAATCTTTCCCTTTATTTTTTAGTTATCAGTAATGAATTGTTCATGAACATCATCAAATAATGTCCAATTAGTCTTTTTTAAAAAAGGGAATCATTATTAGCTTATGGATTTAAACATATTTGATCTGTTTAGATCATTGCAGTTATTAACCTTATTGATGCTCAAACTGAGTATGTAACTTTTTATTATCATCCACCTAGGATAAACCATGACTTAGGCCAAGTCACTTACCCAGATCACTCTTTTCCTTAAGAGTGTATTGCCATTATCGGCCAGCAAGTGCTCGGGAACTAAGTAGAATGACATCTATCCATTGAACCTAGAGATGCTTATGAACACCACTGTGTGCCAGGCACTGTACTAGGTACAGGGATTTCAATAGTAAGTAGAAATAGATATAGATTCCCTGTCCTCTTGGAGATCATATTAAAATCATGGAGAGAAAGACTACTTAAATAATCGGAGAAATAGTGTAAAATTGTAATGTGTCAGGAACTAAAAAAAGGAAAAACTTTGAGGAGAAGTTATGGGAGTGATCAGAAGAGTTGATCTCTTCTGGAAGGCCAGGGAAGGCCTCTCTTAAAGAAGGTAATTTATCTAAGATCTACAGGAAGTAAAGAGGCTGACCAGGCAAAAGTGGGAGGAGAGATGTGGGTGCATGAATGGGTAAATGGAATCTGGAATATTTTTATATTATCCTCTCCCCGTGCTATCCCTGTTTATATTTAATGATCTGACCCCAGACCAGCCGCAATCCTCCTGGGTCTAGATGGAAAAAAATTATTTTGAAGACTTCTATTATTATTTAACATTTTTCTTCTCTCCCTTTTTCATTTTCCTTCCCCAACAAATGGCACTAATCTCTTCAGTCATTAGATCAAGTAAGCAAAACAGGCTGTTTGCAAAAGTAAACAAACACAGATTCTACATTAACTGCACCCCACCCCCATTAAAACCCCATCCATAGGGTGGTCTTATAAAGATTCCCTACACCTTCCCCTGATTTTTCTTTGGGGCACTGCTGGGTTTCCTTGGAGAAGAGTCTACGAGCACTTAATTATCTGTAAAACAAGTTGAAACATGCCTCCAAGATCAATTTTGATTCTAGCTCAGCCTACTAAGCCTTAGGCCCCTTGGACTTTCTTAGTTTGTTTGCATTTGCACTGGTTACTCCCGGTAGCCAGGCCTTGAGGAAAAGGAGTAGAAAGCCTGGATGGTGGCTAAAGAAACTGGTTGTTTACCCTGGGGACCATCCCCTTAGAGCTGGACCTGGCCTTTTCAGAGAGGAGAGAGGCTTGACAGAGACAGACAGAAAGAGACAGAGATAAAATGAGTAATGACCACAGTGGCCTTCTACCTTTAAATTAGAAAGTGTCCAAGCCACTGAAGACATCCCAGACATGTGGTCCTAGGCATTCCTCTGTTGCCTACAACAACGAGGAATAAGATTGACAGCACTGCAGTCTTTCTATTTTGTTCCTTCTTTCCCAGGTTCATCATTTGCAGCTGCATGCAGGTGCAGGGGGTCCAGTCCCACCTTGGGGCCCAGTGAGAATTCACCCTTAATCTGAGAGGCTTAGTCTGAGAATGGCAAGAAGCCATTCTGTGGATGCTCTACTGCAGGAGAGCTTAAAGCTACCGGAGCAGAGCCCTCCCTCTGGCTCAAGGATCCCCCATCCCCTGATCAGGCCCATTTATCACACTTTAACAACCACCAGAAAGCCAACACTGGTTTGCTCTCATGTGCTGGCCTTGGACCTCCAAACATCCAATGAATCATAACCAGAAAGATCTGGCTAGTGTTACAATTTCAAGGAAAAATAAATTTCACTGGTGGCTCTTTTTCTAAACTCAAACCAGGTAAAGCCAAAGAGGATTTTGTTGCTCTTACAACTGAATAATACCTAGGCAGACAAGCCTTCTGGCAGAACATGATTCAAGTGATGTCAGGAGCCCTTGATGTCTTTCCAAAGCTACAAAAGAAGATTGGGGTACTGTTACCAAAAGAAGAAAGAGATGGATAAAAGTCTGTTTCAGATATACATAGTATATCTGGGTAGAATTATTTTTTCTTCTCTCTTTTTCTTCTTGTTGGATCCTGGTACTTCTCATGGATAAAGTAATGGAAAGGAATGTTTGCAAAGCAACTCCAAAAAATGATGGAGATAATGTGATACATGAGAGAGGATAACAGAAAGTTAACCTTTACAGGGCAAGATGTCAAACTGGTTCTTTAAAACAATCTACTCAGGGGTGGAGCCAAGATGGCTGAATAGGAACAGCTCCAGTCTACAGCTCCCAGCATGAACAACGCAGAAGACGGGTGATTTCTGCATTTCCAACTGAGGTACCAGGTTCATCACATTGGGGAGTGCCAGACAGTGGGTGCAGGACAGTGGGTGCAGTGCACCGTGCGTGAGCTGAAGCAGGGTGAGGCATTGCCTCACCCGGGAAGCACAAGGGGTCAGGGAATTCCCTTTCATAGTCAAAGAAATGGGTGACAGATGGCACCTGGAAAATTGGGTCACTCCCACCCTAATACTGCACTTTTCGAACGGGCTTAACAAATGGCACACCAGGAGATTATATCCCGCCCCTTGATCGGAGGGTCCTACGCCCACGAAGCCTCACTCATTGCTAGCACAGCAGTCTGAGATCAAACTGCAAGGCGGCAGTGAGGCTGGGGGAGGGGCGCCCGCCATTGCCAAGGCTTGAGTAGGAAAACAGCAGCCGGGAAGCTCATGAGTGGAGCCCACCACAACTCAAGGAGGCCTGCCTGCCTCTGTAGGCTCCATCTCTGGGGGCAGGGCACAGACAAACAAAAGGCAGCAGTAACCTCTGCAGACTTAAATGTCCCTGTCTGACAGCTTTGAAGAGAGTAGTGGTTCTCCCAGCACGCAGCTGGAGATCTGAGAACGGGCAGACTGCCTCCTCAAGTGGGTCCCTGACCCCTGAGTAGCCTAACTGGGAGGCATCCCCCAGTAGGGGCGGACTGACACCTCACACGGCCGGGTACTCCTCTGAGACAAAACTTCCAGAGGAACGATCAGGCAGCAGCATTTGCAGTTCACCAATATCTGCTGTTCTGCAGCCACCGCTGCTGGTACCCAGGCAAACAGGGTCTGGAGTGGACCTCCAGCAAACTCCAACAGAACTGCAGCTGAGGGTCCTGACTGTTACAAGGAAAACTAACAAACAGAAAGGACATCCACACCAAAAACCCATCTGTACATCACGATCATCAAAGACCAAAGGTAGATAAAACCACAAAGATGGGGAATAAACAGAGCAGAAAAGCTGGAAACTCTAAAAATCAGAGTGCCTCTCCTCCTCCAAAGGAACGCAGCTCCTCACCAGCAATGGAACAAAGCTGGACGGAGAATGACTTTGACGAATTGAGAGAAGAAGGCTTCAGAAGATCAAACTACTCTGAGCTAGAGGAGGAAGTTCAAACCAATGGCAAAGAAGTTAAAAACCTTGAAAAAAAATTAGACGAATGGCTAACTAGAATAACCAAAGCAGAGAAGTCCTTAAAGGACCTGATGGAGCTGAAAACCATGGCACGAGAACTACGTGATGAATGCACAAGCCTCAGTAGCTGATGCGATCAACTGGAAGAAAGGGAATCAGCGATGGAAGATGAAATGAATGAAATGAGGAGAGAAGAGAAGTTTAGAGAAAAAAGAATAAAAAGAAACAAACAAAGCCTCCAAGAAATATGGGACTATGTGAAAAGACCAAATCTATGTCTGACTGGTGTACCTGAAAGTGACAGGGAGAATGGAACCAAGTTGGAAAGCACTCTGCAGGATATTATCCAGGAGAACTTCCCCAATCGAGCAAGGCAGGCCAACATTCAAATTCAGGAAATACAGAGAATGCCACAAAGATACTCCTCGAGAAGAGCAACTCCAAGACACATCATTGTCAGATTCACCAAAGTTGAAATGAAGGAAAAAATGTTAAGAGCAGCCAGAGAGAAAGGTCGGGTTACCCACAAAGGGAAGCCCATCAGACTAACAGCGGATCTCTCAGCAGAAACTCTACAAGCCAGAAGAGAGTGGGGGCCAATATTCAACATTCTTACAGAAAACAATTTTCAACCCAGAATTTCATATCCAGCCAAACTAAGCTTCATAAGTGAAGGAGAAATAAAATCCTTTACAGACAAGCAAATGCTGAGAGATTTTTGTCATCACCAGGCCTGCCCTAAAAGAGCTCCTGAAGGAAGCACTAAACATGGAAAGGAACAACCAGTACCAGCCACTGCAGAAACATGCCAAATTGTAAAGACCATCAGGGCTAGGAAGAAACTGCATAAACTAATGAGCAAAATAACCAGCTAACGTCATAATAACAGGATCAAATTCACACATAACAATATTAACCTTAAATGTAAATGGGCTCAATGCTCCAATTAAAAGACAGAGACTGGCAAATTGGATAAAGAGTCAAGACCCATCAGTGTGCTGTATTCAGGAAACCCATCTCACATGCAGAGACACACATAGGCTCAAAATAAAGGGATGGAGGAAGATCTACCAAGCAAATGGAAAACAAAAAAAGGCAGGGGTTGCAATCCTAGTCTCGGATAAAACAGACTTTAAACCAACAAAGATCAAAAGAGACAAAGAAGGCCATTACATAATGGTAAAGGGATCAATTCAACAAGAAGAGCTAACTATCCTAAATATATATGCACCCAATACAGGAGCACCCAGATTCATAAAGCAAGTCCTTAGAGACCTAGAAAGAGACTTAGACTCCCACACAATAATAATGGGAGACTTCAACACCCCACTGTCAACATTAGACAGATCGATGAGACAGAAAGTTAACAAGGATATCCAGGAATTGAACTCAGCTCTGCACCAATTGGACCTAATAGACGTCTACAGAACTCTCCACCCCAAAGCAACAGAATACACATTCTTTTCAGCACCACACCTATTCCAAAATTGACCACATAGTTGGAAGTAAAGCACTCCTCAGCAAATGTAAAAGAACAGAAATTATAACAAACTGTCTCTCAGACCACAGTGCAATCAAACTAGATCTCAGGATTAAGAAACTCACTCAAAACCGCTCAACTACATGGAAACTGAACAACCTGCTCCTGAATGACTACCGGGTACATAACGAAATGAAGGCAGAAATAAAGATGTTCTTTGAAACCATCAAGAACAAAGACACAACATACCAGAATCTCTGGGACACATTCAAAGCAGTGTGTAGAGGGAAATTTATAGCACTAAATGCCCACAAGAGAAAGCAGGAAAGATCTAAAATTGACACCCTAACATCACAATTAAAAGAACTAGAGAAGCAAGAGCGAACACATTCAAAAGCTAGCAGAAGGCAAGAAATAACTAAGATCAGAGCAGAACTGAAGGAAATAGAGACACAAAAAAACCTTCAAAAAATCAATGAATCCAGGAGCTGGTTTTTTTGAAAAGATCAACAAAATTGATAGACTGCCAGCAAGACTAATAAAGAAGAAAAGAGAGAAGAAACAAATAGACGCAATAAAAAACGACAAAGGGAATATCACCAACGATCCCACAGAAATACAAACTACCATCAGAGAATACTATAAACACCTCTACGAAAATAAACTAGAATATCTAGAGGAAATGGATAAATTCCTCGACACATACACCCTCCCAAGACTAAACCAGGAAGAAATTGAATCTCTGAAGAGACCAATAACAGGCTCTGAAATTGAGGCAAGAATTAATAGCTTACCAACCAAAAAAAGCCCAGGACCAGATGGACTCACAGCCGAGTTCTACCAGAGATACAAGGAGGAGCTGGTACCATTCCTTCTGAAACTATTCCAATCAACAGAAAAAGAGGGAATCCACCCTAACTCATTTTATGAGGCCAGCATCATCCTGATACCAAAGCCTGGCAGAGACACAACCAAAAAAGAGAATTTTAGACCAATATCCTTGATGAACATTGATGCAAAAATCCTCAATAAAACACTGGCAAACTGAATCCAGCAGCACATCAAAAAGCTTATCCACCATGATCAAGTGGGCTTCATCCCTGGGATGCAAGGCTGGTTCAACATACACAAATCAATAAATGTAACCCAGCGTATAAACAGAACCAAAGACAAAAACCACATGATTATCTCAATAGATGCAGAAAAGGTCTTTGACAAAATTCAACAACCCTTCATGCTAAAAACTCTCAATAAATTAGGTATTGATGGGACATATCTCAAAATAATAAGAAGTATCTATGACAAACCCACAGCCGATATCATACTGAATGGGCAAAAACTGGAAGCATTCCCTTTGAAAACTGGCACAAGACAGGGATGCCCTCTCTTACCACTCCTATTCAACCTAGTTTTGGAAGTTCTGGCCAGGGCAATTAGGCAGGAGAAGGAAATAAAGGGCATTCAATTAGGAAAAGAGGAAGTCAAATTGTCCCTGTTTGCAGATGACATGATTGTATATCTAGAAAACCCCATTGTCTCAGCCCAAAATTTCCTTAAGCTGATAAGCAACTTCAGCAAAGTCTCAGGATACAAAATCAATGTACAAAAATCACAAGCATTCTTATACACCAATAACAGACAATCAGAGAGCCAAATCATGAGTGAACTCCCATTCACAATTGCTTCAAAGAGAATAAAATACCTAGGAATCCAACTTACAAGGGATGTGAAGGACCTCTTCAAGGGAACTACAAACCACTGCTTAAGGAAATAAAAGAGGATACAAACAAATGGAAGAACATTCCATGCTCATGGGTAGGAAGAATCAATATCGTGAAAATGGCCATACTGCCCAAAGTAATTTATAGATTCAATGCCATCCCCATCAAGCTACCAATGACTTTCTTCACAGAATTGGAAAAAACTACTTTAAAGTTCATATGGAACCAAAAAAGAGCCTGCATTGCCAAGTCAATCTTAAGCCAAAATAACAAAGCTGGAGGCATCACTTCAAACTATACTTCAAACTATACTACAAGGCTACAGCAACCAAAATAACATGGTACTGGTACCAAAACAGAGATATAGACCAATGGAACAGAACAGAGCCCTCAGAAATAATGCCTCATATTTGCAACTATCTGATCTTTGACAAACTTGAGAAAAACAAGCAATGGGGAAAGGATTCCCTATTTAATAAATGGTGCTGGGAAAACTGGCTAGCCATATGTAGAAAGCTGAAACTGGATCCTTTCCTTACACCATTTTCAAAAATTAATTCAAGATGGATTAAAGACTTACATGTTCGACCTAAAGCCATGAAAACCCTAGGAGAAAACCTAGGCAATACCATTCAGGACATAGGCATGGGCAAGGACTTCATGTCTAAAACACCAAAAGCAATGGCAACAAAAGCCAAAATTGGGCCGGGCGCGGTGGCTCACGCCTGTAATCCCAGCACTTTGGGAGGCCGAGGCGGGTGGATCATGAGGTCAGGAGATCGAGACCATCCTGGCTAACAAGGTGAAACCCCGTCTCTACTAAAAATACAAAAAATTAGCCGGGCGCGGTGGCAGGTGCCTGTAGTCCCAGCTACTGGGGAGGCTGAGGCAGGAGAATGGCGTGAACTCGGGAAGCGGAGCTTGCAGTGAGCCGAGATTGCGCCACTGCAGTCCGCAGTCCAGCCTGGGCGACAGAGTGAGACTCCGTCTCAAAAAAAAAAAAAAAAAAAAGCCAAAATTGACAGATGGGATCTAATTAAACTAAAGAGCTTCTGCACAGCAAAAGAAACTACCATCAGAGTGAACGGGCAACCTACAGAATGGGAGAAAATTTTTGCAGTCTACTCATCTGACAAAGGGCTAATATCCAGAATCTACAATGAACTCAAACAAATTTACAAGAAAAAAACAACCCATCAAAAAGTGGCCAAAGGATATGAACAGACACTTCTCAAAAGAAGACATTTACGCAGCCAAAAAACACATGAAAAAATGCTCATTATCACTGGCCATCAGAGAAACGCAAATCAAAACCACAATGAGATACCATCTCACACCAGTTAGAATGGTGATCATTAAAAAGTCAGGAAACAACAGGTGCTGGAGAGGATGTGGAGAAATAGGAACACTTTTACACTGTTGCTGGGACTGTAAACTAGTTCAACCACTGTGGAAGTCACTGTGGCGATTCCTCAGGGATCTAGAACTAGAAATACCATTTGACCCAGCCATCCCATTACTGGGTATATACCCAAAGGATTATAAATCATGCTGCTATAAAGACACATGCACACATATGTTTATTGCGGCATTATTCACAATAGCAAAGACTTGGAACCAACCCATATGTCCAACACTGATAGACTGGGTTAAGGAAATGTGGCACATATACACCATGGAATACTATGCAGCCATAAAAAAGGATGAGTTCATGTTCTTTGTAGGGACATGGATGAAACTGGAAACCATCATTCTCAGCAAACTATCACAAGGACAAAAAACCAAACACCACATGTTCTCACTCATAGGTGGGAATTGAACAATGAGAATACATGGACACAGGAAAGGGAACATCACACACCAGGGCCTGTTGTAGGGTGTGGGGAGTTGGGAGGGATAGCATTAGGAGATATACCTAATATTAAATGATGAGTTACTGGGTGCAGCACACCAACATGGCACATGTATATACATGTAACAAACCTGCACATTGTGCACATGTACCCTAAAACTTAAAGTATAATAATAATAAAAAATAATCTACCCAGAGCCTCTATCCCTTTTTTCATCCTCATGATTTGAAGTTTCCCTCTCCTTAGGAACAGAACTGGGTAGAAGAGAGAATGACTGCCAACCCACAAAGTGGAAGTGGTATTAGGGTGGAGGAAAAAAAGGAGCTGGAAGGAAAGAGGGATGTTTGGAGATGGGAAGAGAATGTGAATGAGAGGTTCTATAGCTGAAGTGTTGGCCCTGCAGGGATGCCCTAAAAATCCTTAGAGGCTGGGCACTATACCCAAAGCCTTAGTATTCTTTAGACTCAGTAAAGGTTGAAGTAAATAATTTGTAAAACCTTCTTTGGAGTTCTGGGGTGTGTTTGTGTGGATGTGTGTGCACACGCACACCTGGTTGAAGGAGGGAAGCACCAGGAGGTGCCTGGACTCCCCATTCTGGAAGTTGGGGCATGAACAGAGCCCTTAGGATAGACCAACCCATGGATCAGTTCCCTTTTTCTTTGTAAATGATTGCTCTACTCTCTCTCCTCCAAGATCAGTTTCATCTACAATCATTCAACAGCTATCTGCTGAAGGGTTAATGTTTCTATAGAAAGGCAACATACTTCAGTGCTTTTATATATGCCCTTGGGGTCAGATGGACCTGGGCTCCAGTTCCGTTTTTGCCTCCTGCTATACATGGGACCTGGAGCTGCCCATGGGACCTTGGACTTTGCATGGGATCTTGAGCTGTCCACAGAACCTTGAGCATGCTACTTATCCTTGCAGATAGTAAGCTCTCAATAATTGGGAGACACAATAATGATGCAGGTTCCTATGTCTTTACTGGGTTTGTCTAGGGATTTGGGGATGTGAGCCTGAGGGTCCAATTGGAAAAAATCTCAACTTACTGAATAGTGACTGAAACATTTGAGGTGTGAATCCCTGCACTTTGACAGTGCCTGGTGTGAGACCATAGTGCTACTTACCTGAGCTGTACTTTGGTTTCTGTATCTTGGACAGTGTGTTTGTATGGGGTGAGTGGTGACCAAGATGACTGCTGCTCCCATCTTACAGGACTATGTTAGAACCTGGTTTGGATCTTGCTTTGTGAATTACAAGGGGTGGGGGCCAAGGAACAGGGTATGGGCAGGGGAAGAAATAGAGGGGAGGGGATGCCTCCAACTACCAGCTTTTGAGAGCAATACTGTCTCCCTCTCCTTGTGCTGTTTGGGGCAAGAGGTAAGGCAGCCAGTGGTGTGTGGAACATCTCAGTCTCGGTGCACAACATTCTCACCTTTGTGTTTTCCTTGGAAACAGAGGCCTGCCAGAACAGTGAACTTATCCCCTAAGCCCAACCCAGAGGTTTATTCAAGAAAGTGTCTTTAAATTCATCTGCTCTAATTCAGAGTAGTGAGAGATCATTTTATATGCTCTGAGCTGAGAGGGAAGAAAAACTTCTTATATTGTTTCCTTGGGATATATGGAGGTATGAGTTGAGTTCTATAATTCTAGAAATTATGACAACGCATCCATAAAGATGAGGCAGAATCCCCATGCAGCAGTTCCGGTAGCTTAAAGGAATATTATTTAATACCCATTCATGGGAGTGTGGCAGAATTTAAAGACTTCATGTAACCCCTTAATCACTGTTGGAAAATGAGCAAGCTCAGGCCAGGTACCTGGAGGCTTGGAAGCTTTTATGGAAGGCTTGGTATCTGAAGTTGTTTGGGGTCTGTTCACAGTTATTTTGTGTACTTCTAAAGAGTGATTGAGCCTGTTTAATCTACATTTAAATCTCTCTCTGCTTAAAGCCAGCTTCTTACAAAAAAAGTTCTGATTCAATTTAATTCCATTCAATTCAAATTAATTCAATTAAGGGAATTAGTTGAGCAGCTAGTTGGTGCCATGTGAGGCCTGTGGGGAATCTAAAGATGAACTGGACCAGGCCTCTGATCCCCCAAACAGAAGGGGATGTTCAGCAATTGCTACTTAAATCTCCACGAACAAGAGAATTAAGGAATTACTGGAACTTGTACACAGTTCTCTGACCAGAATTAGCCTATTCTTTTCTATTTTATATGTTTTCATCTTCATCTCCTTGTCTTACCTAATAACTAACACATTCATTTATTCAGCAAATATTAATTAAGAATCTATTTATGCCTGGCAGAGAGGCAGTGTGGGGAGAACAGCTAATCATTCTCATTTGTTTGCAGCATAGCTTGATAGGACCAAGAACCCAAGCTGGAGAACCAGATGGTGGGGCTGTGAAAGAGGACAAGTCCACAGCCTCTCTAAGCTCCAGTTCCTCATGCACACATGGAAATAATATTAATAAATCCCTCACATGGCAGGGAGGACTAAAGG